>NC_000006.12:24302424-24605454 GCF_000001405.40 Homo sapiens
CATACTGTGTTCCATCATCTTTCCTTTCCCATTCCCATGCACCTGCTTTCTGATCCTTGGCCCCCACCAAGTGCCTGACCCCACCCTTTTCTCTTAAGACTGACACAAGCAATTTTTCCCAGGTTTCACTTTCTCCCCTATCCCCCATTGAATCAGGTACACTCACGCCAGCACCCTCAATTCCCGCAGCCCTTGCCACTGGGTAGATGTGATCACCTTTGCCTCTCTTTTTGCTTCCAGGGTCCCAGCTGCTATTAGAGAGAACCACGGGGCCCCATGAGCAGCCCTCACCTGAGACCAGCTTTCAGCATCAAGCCATCACCTGGACCTCAGTATAGCTTGCTCAGCCAGCCCTCCACTCCTCCCACAGTTCTTTTTTCCATTTCCCACAGTGGATAGTCCAAATCCTCACCTCTCATCTCACCTCACCCCTCACCTAACCCTTAAAATCCCACTCCAGGCACACACACTCTCAGCAGGTCATTTCATTCCAAATGTCAAGAAATAGAAGCCAGTAGACACGAAGCCCCTCAACTTTCCTTCCCTCCACAACTCACCTCATCTAGATCCTCACCATTTTTCTCCTTTTCTGCCTGTCTCAGAAGGAACTATATGCCTTTAGGAAGCTAACCCCACATCTTGATTTTGTCCCCGGCTGTCTCTGCTTGTTCATTCATTTAAGACCTCCATCTCTACCTGGTGCCTTTAATTTTCCCCTTGACCTTATGGCCGCTCTCAAGTACAGCTGCCATCTCTCTCTTCATTATTCCTATTCCGACTTCCTCCCTATCCTCTCTTCAGGCTTCTGCCGTCTGGTGTCCACCTTTAATACTGGAAGATAAATCCCGACTTTCAAGCATGGCCTGCAAGAACTCCCAGGGCCAAGTGCCGCTTACTTGGTGCCCTCATCTCCTACCAACACTCCTTCCACACAGACTCCTCGTCACGCACTGTAGTTGAACCAGCCTGCTCCCCTCCATTCCCAAAACATCCCCTGCATCCACACCTTGCCTTTGCCCCTCTGGCTAAAACGCCCTCCTCATTTCTCCACCTACTGGAATTCCATCTGCTCTTCAAGGCCCAGCTCAGTTATCACCAATCATTCCCTGCTCATTCTTCTTGCGCTTTCTGTCTCAAACTGCTACAGCTACTATAGTATTGATTCTTGCACTTTGAGTTTTAGGTGATTTTACCCCATGATTTGAAAGGAAAACTTACAAACAACACTAATTTATAAAAATAGGTAACAGTTGTGCTATATTTCATGGCAAGCACCGTACTAAGTAATTTATATGCATTATATATTTTCTAATCATCAAAACAGTGTCCTGAAGTGGCATTACTATAGTCCCAATTTACTAAAGAAACTGGAGCTTGATTAATTAATTGGCCTAAAATCACACATAATAAGTGGTAGAGTTTTAGTGAACCTATGTCTATGAGCCCCTACTATTTGCTACGCACTTTGCTAGTTATCTTAAAAATCAAATAGTAGCCCTAGATCATTTATGGGACTCCATTCTTGGTAGAATTATGCCATCTCTGAGAGAAACAAGAATGAATATTTTTTCTGTGACTCTCAAGTGCCTAAAACAGTGCTTGGCAATGCCTACGAGTTGCACAATAAATGTTTGTTAAAATGTCATACTCTAGAGTACAATTTTTAAAATTTAATCATAGTAACTTTTTTTCATTTTAAGCACACAGGTTCTTAGCCCTACACTAACACCTAGCATCACATTAAGTGACGCTGACTTTTTAAAAAATGTTTAACAGGGCTGGGTGTGTTGGCTCACGCCTGTAATCCCAACACTTTGGGAGGCTGAGGCAGGTGGATCTCCTAAGGTCAGGAGTTGGAGACCAGCCTGGCCAACATGGTGAAACCCTATCTCTACTGAAAATACAAAACTTAGCTGAGTGTGGTGGTGTGCACCTGTAGTTCCAGCTACTCAGGAGGCTGAAGCATGAGAATTGCTTGAAACCGGGAGGCAGAGGTTGCAATGATCTGAGATGGCACCATTGCACTCCAGCCTGGGCAACAAAGCGAGACTCTGTCTCAAAAGAAAAAATAAAATAAAATGTTTAGCAGGTAATGCACGCACCTGAACAAAATTCAAGTGGTTAAAGGGGGTGTACAGTAAAAAAGAAGTGTCCTTCCCACTCCTATGCCCTAATCACCAAGCTGCAACCAGAGTTAGAAATATTCCTTCAAAGATAGTCTGTACATACACATGCATATTATCTTATGTACATAGCACATACATACAATTTTTAAATGCGCTGATGGCCTGCTTTACCAATTCTTCAGCACCTTGCTTTTTTAATTTAATAATTTATCATGGAGATTGTTTCAAATGGGTACTTACAAGTGAGGGTTATATCATTTTTTTTCCCTTTTAGAGACAGGGTGTTGCTCTGTCACCCAGGCTAGAGTACAGTGGTGCGATCACAGCTCACTGTAACCTCAAATTCCTGGGCTTAAGCATTCCTCCTTAGTGCCTTAGCTAGCAATGCACTAAGCACATACAGAGGATGCTCTGCTGTTATCTCTTCAATATGTGACTCTCTAACCATACCCATTCTTGATGGTTTAAAATCTTGTTGGGTTATTGAATTAAAGGCAAAAGTTAATATGTTATATCAATAAGTAACTTTAAAAATCTTGTTGCATTGTCTAAAACATGCTGTTTTGCTTTAGAGCACAGATAGCTATAAACAATATATTGAAATTCATAAAAATACATGATTGTTGAAATAATTATGTAATTTGATTCTGAGTATGTAAATTATTACTTGAATTCAATCAAACCATCTGTTTTAAATAATAATTGTTTTCCTCATTCGGCATGGCAAAAGTGTTCCCCAAATGTTCATGATTAACCAGTTGAATTGAAAACTAATCTTAAAGTTATATTTCCTTGAGTTACATAATTAAAATAACTAAATTACTGTTTTCAGATACACTAAAAATCTGAAAAACTACTCAAAGTAGTATACCTGAATTGTAAAAGAAACAAAAAGATAATTATAAAAAATGATTCATACTTTTTAAAAACAATACCAGTTTTTATATAAAATGCATTTTTAGCAGGCATTTTAAGTAATAAACAACACACAAAAAAATTAAACCAAATCAACTGGGTATAAGAGGAACTTCTCCAGAGCCCTAATCGGGGATAAAGGGTTGGTCAGTTGGTGGTACTCTAGGGACATGATGGCTTTAGATGATGGGGAACATAATGATAAATTAGAATTTTTAAATCAATTTTCTTATTAGCCCATACACTTCCCCTTGCACTGTAAACATAAATGCCACTTCAGGCCAGGTGCAGTGGCTTACACCTATAATCCCAGCACTTTGGGAGGCCAAGGGGGGGTGGATCACCTGAGGTCAGGAGTTCGAGACCAGCCATGGCCAACATGGTGAAACCCCATCTCTACTAAAAATACAAAAATTATCTGGGCGTGGTGGTATGCACCTGTAATTCCAACTACTTGGAAGCTGAGGGATGAGAATCACTTGAACCCAGAAGGCAGTGGTTGCAGTGAGCCAAGATTGCACCACTGCACTTCAGCCTGGGCAACAAGAGCAAAACTCTGTCTCAAAAAAAAAAGAAAGGAAAGAAAAGAAATGCTACTTGAAATATGAGGGTAATATTAAGTATCAACACTCCTAGTTACAAGGAGATGGACACCTAGAGATGGAGTATGAGGTATTCTCACTCAGAGCCCCGTGTAGCCAGGGATGGAGTTCACTGGTGAGCAGACTGACCAGCGTGTAATCTGTGACTACGAAACCAATCAAATGGTAAGTTATCATTGCAAAATTCAAACTTTCACTTTGTACTTTGACTTTGTCATTTGGTGAAGGAATCAACACCAAGCAAAAGCAGGACACACTGATGACTGACCTCTTGCCTTGATTCTGCACTGGGCTCAACATTGTCTTGAAAAACCAAATTTATTTCAATATTGAGAAGTAGGTTAGCCGAGTGAATTAGAGAGAGGAGTCATTCTGGAGCAGGCTGAAGAGGCTGGCAAAACCCCATTTCAAACCCCTGAGTGGAGATTAGATAGATAGATAGATAGATAGATAGATAGATAGATAGATAGATAGATAGACAGACAGACAGACAGACAGACAGACAGACAAAATATTTCTTGGAAATATTTCCAAAGTCAAAGGTGGCAAAAGTAACTTAACCATTCTTACCCTGCTGGAATGGGATGAGCTAGGAGTCTAGTGCAGAATTTGGATACAAATCACATGCTGTCTCCAATATATCACCCTGTCTCTGACATCTTATTTAGATTAGATTTTATGTCACAGATGACCATACAAAAATAAAATGCTTCATGTGAATCCAGTAAGTTTACATAAGTAATTTAAGTCAAGTTCACAAATTCCATAACAGTAGGTCAATATCACAGCTGGGTCAACATTCAAGTTAAAAGCTGGATGAATCTGTTTGCTATGAAAAATAAAATCAATAAAATCAAAATTGTTCCTTTAAAAACATATATTTGGAATAACAAGATCAAGGTTGATAAACTGAGTAACTGACTAAAGCTCTGGAATTCTGAATTTTGACACTGATTGCCTAAACCTTTTTACATGAGCCAATTCAACACTTCACACTTCAATTTCTAGACCTATAAAAGTAGGAATAATCCTGCTAAACTAGCCCAAAGGGATGCTCCATGAACTAATTAATAAAGTGGAAATATCACTCCCTGGGGCTGTAAACTGAATGCTTCTGAGAATCCCTCTGCCTCAAATCTCAGCACTCACCACGTCTTGAAAACCTGGTCCAAAAAAAAACAAACTCTGTCTAAAGAGGTGAGGAAAGGATGCTGTTAAATGATACTATCACAAAATTGTAATGACCACAAACCTCTTGGAAGAACTGATTATAGAATTTAAAAGCTCAATTTTCAATAACTTTAAAAAATACATATCAGATTTTTGTGACTGTCCATGAGATAGGCATTTTTAAAGAAAAATATGTAGTGAAATTTCTTACTTGCAAAATATAAGCCAACCTACACAAAAAAGCTTCAACTCTATTTTCTTTATCGTATGGATTTAAGGAAAAGTAGGTTCTCAAAATGGTAATTTTAGAGGAAACTGTTACTACTTAGCAAACAGCACACAGCATCAAAGAGAACAAAATCCTTTACAAAATAATGAATCAGTTTTCACCACTTTTTGATAAATGAGAAGGGCCAAAGGCTAGTAAAAGACACCAGACTAGAAAACAATTTATCAAGGAGTCAATACACCAGATACATCCAAATTATAGATTGTTCTGAAAAAGATTTTTTAAAGAATCATTCTTTTTTTTTTTCAGTATCACTATTTTTTAAATGGGAGAAAGACTGGCTAAGATGTCTGATGAGATCTACTAGACTGAACGGGCCCTATTTTTGAGGGGATGTGCCATAACTGATATTGGAAAGTGCCAATGTCACTTTGTTAGGATGCAAAGATGTCTAGATGAACTAAATTCCAGAGAGTGATGAACCCTTTCTAAGGGAGAAGAAATCTTCAGCTGCTTTCATCCCCAGGGGCACAAAAGGCAGAGGAATAAACCTCCATAGACAGTCAGCCTGTGTTAGTCAGCATGACCAAGGAAACCCAGATGCAGAGCAAGTCCACACCACCCATGAATTCTTCCCCATGGGGCCTTCTTCAAGTGCACGGAAGTGTAACAAAAGCCAAGAGCAGGGCAAAAGAGCAGAGAAAGGAATCCCATAGTGTGGAAAGCTGTGTAACAGACAGAATCTCCAGTGGTGGAAATAGCTAATAGCTGGACTAATTGTAGAGACAGATTTCTAAATCTCACCAATATTAACTCCCAAGTCCTGTTGCACAGAAAGCAAGCCCTGATTTCACCCTCAAAGTGTTTGAAACCACTAGTAAACTAAATCTAACTAAAACGGCAGCCCAGCCTGTTCCCAGCTCAACTATGGATTATACTATAAGATCAGCTCCTTTCCCTAGCAGCCCAATAGAAGAAGGGGACATGCTTTTTCCTGGGGATAATTATCACCTACTTTAAATTTCTATAAGTTTTATACAAAATTTCATACAAAATGACTAGTACACAACACAAACTATAAAACATGTAAATAAAGTAGAAAACATGACGACCCGTTATCAAGAGAAATAAAGTCAAACCCAGAGATGATCATGATATTGAAATTAGCAAATAAGGATTTTAATATAAATGTTATAAATACGTTAAAAAATTCAGTAGAAAAGGTGGAAAAATGATAAAATAAGAGGAATTTTAGCCCAGAAATTGAAACTCTAAAGAAACAAAAGAAAATTCTAGAACTAAAAAACAGAATATCTGTAATGAAGAATTCATTCCATGCGCTTTAGCAAATTAGACACAACAGAGAGTGCCCTGAGAAAATATCCTCCAAAAAGGAAGTTGAAACAAAGACCTTTTTTAGACAGATAAAAGCCGAGAGAATTGACTGTTGCCAGACCCATGCTACCAAAAAATCACAAAGGAAGTTCTTCAAACACGGAAAATAATACAAGATACAAACCTGGATCTGCACAGAAGTATAAAAGGACATTGAATGGAAATATGTGAGTAATTTTTAAAACTTAAAAAAATTAATCCACGCCTGTAATCCCAGCACTTGGGGAGGCCAAGGTGGGTGGATCACAAGGTCAGGAGTTCAAGACCAGCCTGGCAACATGGTGAAACCCCATCTCTACTAAAAATACAAAAAATTAGCCAGGCTTGGTGGCGGGCACTTGTAATCCCAGCTACTTGGGAGGCTGAGGCAGGAGAATCACTTGAACTCAGGAGGCAGAGGTTGCAGTGAGACGAGATCACGCCATTGCACTCCAGCCCGGGCGACACAGTGCAAGACTCCATCTCAAAAAAAAAAAAAATTAGTCCTAAAGACTAGTTTAAAACAAAAATAATAATGATGATTCATGAGATTGGTAACATATATAAAACTAAAATATTTAATAGGAACACAAAGGTACCATTAAAGATAAATGGAATTACACTGTTGTACAGAACTGGCATAATATTATTTGAAGGCAAACTAAAATAAGTTAAGGATGTATATTGTGAGCCCTAGAGTACCTACTGAAAACAAAATCCCAAAGAGGCATAGCTAAAAAGCCAATAGAGAGATAAAATGAAATAATTGTTTAAATGTTTGATGAATCTGTTCATAAAAAAGACAAGAAAGAACAAAAACAAATATTAGATGGAACAAAAAAACAAATAACATGATAAACTCGATTCTAATCATGCCAGTAATTCAGTAAATTCAAATGAACTAAAAATTCCAACTAAAGGACAGAGACAGGCAGACTGGAAAAAGGAACAAGATCTCACAATATACTGTTTATAAGAGACACACTTTAAATATAAAGACGTGAGTAGGCCAGGTATGGTGGCCCATGCCCATAATCCCAGCAGTTTGGCAGGCTGAAATGGGAGGACTGCTTGAGCCCAGGAGTTCAGGACCAGCTTGGGCAACATAGTGAGACCCTGTCTATTAAAAAAATAATAATTAAAAAAAAGACAAAAACAAGATATGGGTAGGTTAAAACTATGGAAAAAGATATACCAGATAAATATTAATCAAGTAAATTCAGATGTTTTTGGTCAATGCAAAATTACAAAAGAAACATAATATCCATTTTCTTGATTAATTTTCATAGTAGATTTGTATTAAAGTGTTTTTTAAACAAATATACTTTTTATACTTGGCTATGTCTTAGAGAACATTATATCCCATATAATATCTGATGTGCTAAAATATCTTTTTCTAGTATTGTGCTCTTTTGGATGTAAGAAAATCGAGCTCCAAAAAATTAAGCTCCAGAAAATTAAATAAGTATTGTTAATCTGAAATAGTACAGCTCCCGGGTATTTTGGGTATATAATCTTCTATGGTATCAAAGGAAAATACTAACTGCATAACTGGATACTCCATCACAGTTCAGCAATATGTTGTCTCTGAACCCCATCCTTCTGTGACCATTCTCAGTTTCCTATACCAACAACTCCTCCTCCTTGGCTCACATTAAATGTTGGTATTTCCCCCCAAGAATTCCATCTCTGCCTTCCCGGCTTTTAACCCAAACACTCTCTTGGTCAAATTTATCACATGCCATGTTGTTTATGACCAACATCATTTTGCCAATGACAACCAAATCCCTATCTCTAGTCCAAATTTTTCTCCTGACACCAAATCTGTATACCCAGCTGGATATGTCTAATGCTTTTCATTAAAACTAAGATTTGTAAAAGTCTGTCTATACCTAAACAGTCATCAAGTCAGCAGAGTCACTAAAACATAAGAAATTTGTTTTGCATTATTCAGTTTTCATAAATCACCTGCATTTTTTTTCAAAGCAGTTGCAAGAAAATGTTACCACAGGACACATCGTTACCACTGATGAAATCCCAGAGCTCTCCCCACTCAAAATTATTTTATCTGTCCCCTTCTTACCTGCCCCCACAGCCCAAGGCCAGGTCCTCACAAATCCTCTAGGAGCTGCACCTAGCATGGTCTAACCAGGATTCCTGCCTCTAGCATCTTTCCTCTCTCATCCAACTCTGTGTGAATTCATCTTCCTGAAGCACAGACCCAAACATGTGATGTCTCTCTGCAAACACCTATAAAAGCTGCCACTGGCTTCAGATGATGTCCTCGTGTCTTGGACTGGACTTGATTATTTGGATCATATTTGAGCTGACCCCATCCTACCACACTGTAACCTTATTTCTCCTATTGCCACATTTACCATTCACTTGGCTGGATAATTTCTCTCTTCCAAAATGCAAATCATTTTGTCTGAACTTTTCATGCAATACTTTTTATACAATACTTTTTATAAAGTTAACATATTCCCCAATGGCATCAATATTTATGTAGACTGCATATTTATTTGTTTTCTTAGTAAACAGCCTTATCTATAACCAAAAAACCTATTATTGGTGCTTTGAATACAGAATTTGCTCAGTACATACTTTAATTAAACAACAATTAGGACACCAATTTTTGAGCATATATTATGCCCAGAACTGCATCAAATACTTTCCATATGTTACTTTGACTTTTCACAATATCATTCTAAGGTAGTTATTTTCTAATAAATTTACAGTTGTAAAACACATCAGAATTTACAAAAGGTTTTCATTTATATTCACATTTGTTCCTCAAAATAACCTTATGAGGCTACCATTACTCTAATTGTATAGATGGGAAAAGATGAGCCTCCCCATCTCTCAAGGTCATGCAGTAAGCAAAGAAGCAGTCACATGAATCCACTTCTGACTTCCAAACCAGAGTTCTTCCTACTGTGCCTTGCAGCACATACGTTCTCACGTTCACCCAAGTCTGTCTCCCCTTGACTACTATCAAATATTCTTCACATGAGGCTAACAGTACAATTTATGTACAACCTGATGTCAGGCCTCTGAGCCCAAGCTAAGCCATCATATCCCCTGTGACCTGCACATATGCATTCAGATGGCCTGAAGCAACTGAAGAACCACAAAAGAAGTGAAAATAGCCAGTTCCTGCCTTAACTGATGACATTCCACCATTGTGATTTGTTCCTGCCCCACCCTAACTGACCAATTGACCTTGTGACATTCCTTCTCCTGGACAGTGAGTCTCAGGAGCTCCCCACCGAGCACCTTGTGACCCCCACCCCCGCCTGCAAGAGAACAACTCCCCTTAACTGCAATTTTCCACTACCTACCCAAATCCTGTAAAACTGCCTCACCCCATCTCCCTTTGCTGACTCCTTTTTCGGACTCAGTCTGACTGCACCCAGGTGATTAAAAAGCTTTATTGCTCACACAAAGCCTGTTTGGTGGTCTCTTCACATGGACACGTAACACCTCAGTGGAATGAAAATTAAAATCTGTTAATCCCAGTAACTTCTAGAAATTCCATAATCCAGGGATGGTGGCAAAATCAGGCCAGCCACGGAAATATTTTGGAAAGAATCTCTTTACCGGCATTGTTATATAATAATATTTTTTTTTAAATTCCAATTGCACTAACCAGTGAGAAACTAGTTAGAGAATATGTCTTTAATTATAACGAACAAGCTGTCTGGAACATTCCCAGAAGGGTCCAGTTAGTTTCTATGAGCTGATGAAACCACTCATCTCTACCTGGGTCCTATTGGTCCCCATGTTGCTGTACCCAGTACACAGGCTGATTTCCAAAGGAAAGGTTAGGGCTTATCTGTCAAGTGTGGATTATCATTCCTTATTCAGATGGCTATTTTCCTCCCAATAATGGATACCATAGCATCGGTTTGCATATTTTGCCTTTTGTACTGTGATCTAAATGAATACCTCCATTCACTGAGACAGGAAAACAACTCAAACCAAATTAACAAACAAACAGATGATATGCTATTCAAAACAAAGCAAAGTAAAATATTTCTTTTTTAACCTAAAAATGACCCAGAAGATAAGATACCCATCATAAGTAATACCTTCTTTGGAAAACTCTTCAATGTAAGTATATATTAAGTAAATGTTTATATTCCTAAGTCTTCTCAGGAAATTTTGATGCTTCAAATCAGTTTTCATACCACAAATTTTTAAGCTATTGAAATTCTGGTTTGATTTTTCTCTTTATTGTTTTCTGTGGAATATATCACCACAGAAATATTTCCACAGATGATCCTAAGCATTCTGAATATATAATGTTAAGCCTCAAGTGTACTAACTTATTCTAAAAATAATTATTTGCAATGGGCACTTACAAGAAAATAAATGTTACTTGAATACTTGTTAAGGTATTCACAAGTAAATGCCCATGGGTTTCCCTAATGCTATGCTTAAGAGAATAATATGGCCCCCATAAAGTTAAAAAATAACCAATTAACTCAAGAGAATTCTCAGAAGTCTACAGGAACTGCCACTAAGCAAGCACTGGGGAAAAAAAAAATAAAAGTATTTGGGGATTGTTTGTCTTTTCTTTTGTATTCTTTCTTAACTTACTACACCATACTTAGATTTCACCATTGCCATTTTTTGTTTTTGTTTTATTTTCCCAAATGGGATTTTGGTTATCAAACATATCTAGGCAGTGGAATGTAAATTTTCCACTAGGAATGCAGAGCAGCTGACAGTGTGTACATAACAATGCAAGATAAAAGTGAGCAATGCTGAGTATGCAGCGGGCAGCCCGTGTGGGCGGGTGCAGCTTCCACCTGCAAGGAAATAAGTCATTTAGCCCCCAGGATTCCCACTGGAGAATGTGCCAACTGTACATGATCTACATTCAGTCCTTCAGAAATACTATGAAAGCTGTGAACCCACCAACAGATGGCAAGAAAAGGGAAGCTAACATTTTTGGCAAATATTAGTTTTTCACCCACAATGTGCTGGCTTTATGATCTCTTCAGAGGATTCAGCAGAGGAGGACAGACGGGGTCCCCACTCTCACTGAGCTTACAGGGATGGCAGACAGTAAAGGGGTAAAGGGAAGAATAAGGTGGTGCAGCTTATTCAGGAGCACTGGACTGGGAGTCAGCTCCTAGCCCTAGAAGCGCAGCTCCTCACTGAGTTTCCGGAGGCAGTCACTTCACCAATATGGGTGACTTGCATACTCAGCTACAGGATGAGGGCACTGCATTTCAGCAATCTCTCCAAGTTCTCACATTCTCCAAAAATACTAAAGTGTTATTAAAATACAAGTTATTTCAAACAAAAATAGAGCTTTTAAAATTAAACTATTAAAAATATGAGCCAGGCATGGTGGCTCATGCCTGTAATCCCAGCACCTTGGGAGGCCAAGGCAAGAGAATCACTTGAAGCTCAGAGTTCGAGACCAGTCTGGGCAACATAGTGAGACCTTGTTTCTACAAAAAGGTTTAAAATTAGCTAGGTGCAGTGGCTCATTCCTATAATCCCAGCTACTCAGGAGGCTGAGGTGGGAGGATTGCCTGAGCCTAGGCGTTCCAGGTTGAAATGAGCTATGATCATGCTACTCTATATATTCCAGTCTGGGCAACAGAGCAAGACGTTGTCTCAAAAAAAACAAAAACAAAAACAAAAAAGCACTAAAATTAAAACTAAAAATATGGCCTTACTAACCCTAAATGTCAAACAATTGCTAAGGCAATAGGAACCTCCAAAATGGAACAAATCATCATTATGAACATCAATGGAATCCGATATAGGAATCTTCTCATAACTGTTTAAAAAAATGAACATTGACTAGATCAGCTAGGTTTTTAATATAATAACCTATAAACTTCAGTTTCAATTGCTTACTAGATGCCACATTTCACAAGGCAAACGTGATAGTAATTAAATTTGAATAAGTGTCAGTGTTGGAAAAAAGTCCGGAAGATCAGAAACCCTTCCTAACAGGGTCACAACTGTTCAGCAACAGACCAATGATGCTGCTAACTTGCATTGTTCTAGGTGGTTTCAAGGTAGAGAAACGTGTCCTGTCCTTAACCAAAACTGATATACTAGTGCTAAGTGCTTGAGATCTTTCAAAAGAAATATATTTTTCTTGTAATAGGACTAAAACCTAAATTTAAGAATCTGAGCATGTTTCCCACTCAAATTAATCCTGCCTCAGCAGTTCATGTCCGTTTTCCCCATTGCTATATAATAGCTATACCTCTCTGATAGATATACTAGTGGAATACACTTTGATTTCCAAAAACACACTTTAAGGGCAATGTTCCAGGATGGAAAATGATATTGATCTTTGCTTTTTTTTTTTTTTTAAATAACCAGCCCCATAAATAGTCCCAGATAATGCATGTTTCTGTAGCTCCTTAGCGAAGCACTTACACCTTAAGGAACCTCCTAGAACCAAGTCGTCCACACCAGCCACCAGCCTTTACTGCAGTGGTTGAGGACATCTGAAGAACCCCAATGCAGAGAAGAAAGCCTTCCATACATGATACTCCCCTTCCAAAGGAAGAGACAGGCCCTAAGAGGCACCCCACATTCTGAAATCAGAAGCTGTCTACAGTAAATCGTCTATGTACCTCCTAGTTTATTTACTATCCACAGAGAGGGCTCATTCATTCAATGACATCTATCAGTCATCTACTGTGTGACAGGCACTGGACTAAGTGTTGAGTATTTGTTGGTAAATAAAATAGTCAAGACCCCTGCCTTCATGAAGCCCACAAAATAACAGAGAGGGTTAGTGATACACAAAAAAATAAGAAATCAAACCAAAAAAATACTTTGGGAGCAGAAAGGAGGCTGGAGTAGCTGGAGTGCAGTAGGGAGAAGGAGGAAAGGACAGGCTGGCGGGCACAATGCAGGGCCTCCTACACCAAAGAAAGAAGGCTAAGTTTCAGCCTAAGCATAATTAGACTCCACTGCAGATTTTTATAAACATCACCCCAGCTGCCACATGGAGAAGAGACTGCAGAAAGCAAGAATGGAAGCAAGGAGACCAAAAAGGAGGCTGGTGAGTTATCCAAGTCAGAGATGGTGGTAGCTTTTCCTGGGGGATGACTGAGGAAAAAAAGAAAAGTGGGTGAAGCCTAGATACATGTTTGCAGTAGAAGCTGGAACTTGCTGAAAGAAGTTTGTGGCTAGTAAGCGAAGGAGACCTGGAACAGTCAGGTGGACAGTGATGCTGTCTACTGGGACAGAGAACATTTGCACTTGCTGTGGATCCAGAGTTCAGTCTTGGACATTACATCTGAGATGCCTATGAGACCTCCAGATAGAGGTGCCATTCATGCAGGCAGGCTGGGGCTCCATGAAGTCAGGGCTAGAGACACAGATGTGGGAGTAATCAGCATACTGATCATATTTAAAGCCATGAAAATGAAAGTGTTCAGCAACGAAGAGAGTAGAAAGCAAAGAAAATGGTTCAGGACCAAGCTTTGGGGTTGGGTAATGGAGGAGAAAAAAATTCCAGAGGACTCAGGAGAAAAGTGGACAGGGAGGTAGGAGAGTGCAATGGTAAGGGGTAAACCAAGAGAGCGAACCATTTCAGAAGCTAAGAGAGAAGGATCAGCTGTATGGATGCCACTAATGGAAATATTAAGATAAACGAGTAAGAAACAAATGCCTAAATACTGCCAAATTCAGAGTGCTTTAAGAAAACCTGAAGTTTTACATATTCTACAGGTTATTCAAAAATCATTTATCCAATGCTGAGAAATTTGAGGCAAAACTACCTTACTGATAACATTTTAAATTAATATGTTTTTTCAAAACTCTGTAGAATTAGGTATTCAGAGGCATAAAATGTGTTATATCCTTTGACAGTAAATGTCTGCCTGATTTATCCTGATAAAATAATTAAGATGTGGAAAAAAGCTATATACTTAAAGATGATGACTCAAACAATAGAAATTTTCTAAATACAATTGTATTAAGTAACTTATGACATCAGCTCAATAAAACAGTATATATTGCTATCAAAAATGATGACAAAGACGATGCAAGTATGAAAAATACAAGGAAAACAATATAAGAGAAAAATAATGAAAAAAGCTTTGTATAAAATATTCCATGATTACAACTCTGTATATACATATGTGTATATACATATATATGTAGAGAGAGAGAGAGAGAGACAAATTTGACTTCGTAAAAACAAAAAGCTATTTTTCCATGGCAAAAACACTACATATATGCACACATACATGCATACATCTGTATTTACAGATGTATGTATGGAGAAAAACTGAAAGATAATTTTAAAATATGAAATCCAATTGTTTGAATGTTAGACTCAGGGACAATATATTTTTCATTTTTTAAAAACTATACTTATTCTAAACTACAATTTTGATAATTTTTAAACCATAATTTTAAAAATTAATTTTAGCAGGGTGGTACTTGTGCATAGACAAATAGACCAGAGGAATAGACTAGAAAGCCCAGAAACAGACCAAAGGAAGTACATATGGAAATTTAGTATATGATGAAGTTGGCATTTCAAATCACTGGAGCAAAGATAAACTTTCAATAAATGGCTTTGGGACAGTGGGGTAGCCTAGGCATCTCTGGAAAAAGAGAAAATTCGATCCATATCTTATACTATAGACAAGAATGAACTCCAAATGGAATAGTAATATAAAAGTACAAAATGAAATCATACAAGTACTAAAAGAAAACATGGGTGAATTCCTCTTTAGCCTTGGTAAAGACAAAGACTTTCTAATTATGACTCCATATCCAGAGGCAATAAGCTGGATAAATTTGACTAACATAAAAACAAAAAATCATTTTTCCATGACAAAAAAAGCACCATAAGCAAAGTCATAAGACAATTGACAAACTAGAAGAAAATATTCACAACCTATATCAGAGATAAAGCATAAATATCCTTAATGTAAAAAGAACTCTTTATACAAATAAAAAAAAAACTCTTTATACTCTGATAGAAAAAATGAAAGGACAAGAACAGGCAATTCATGTTTTTAAAAAAAATCTAAAAATTGATCTTTACACATATAAAAAATGTTCGAACTTGTAACTAGAGAAATGCAAATTAGAACAACACCAAGATACCATTTCTCACCTACTAGATGGCAAACAATGAAAAAGTAAGGCAACATATTTGTTTTTTAAGACAGTAGAAACAGACACTCCCATACATTGATGATAGGAACACGAATTGGCACAAAGCTTCCAGAGGGGAATTTAGCAATGTCTAACAAAACTACATATTCCCCCATCTTTTGGCCCAGCAATGCCACTTCTATAAATCTACTCTAAATATATACCTCCAACAAATGAGACAAAAATACATATTCACAGTTTTATTCATTGTAGTATTATTTATAATTCCAAAATATTAGAAACAACCTAAATGTCCATACATAGGAGAGTGCTTAAATATAGCACATCCATACGATGGAGGGCTCTGAAGTTGCAGTAAGGTGTGAGAAAGATCTTTACATACCAATATGGAGAGGTTTCCAAGACATACTGGGTTTTTTGTTGTTGTTGTTAGTTTTTTTAGTTGTTTTTTGTATAAATTTAAGTGGTACAAGTGCATTTTTATTACACGGATATATTGCATAGTGGTGAAGTTTGGACTTTTAGTGTATCCATCACTGGAATAATGTACAATGTATCCACTAAGTAATTTCTCATCATTCATCCCCTTCTGCTCCAGCATCCTTCTGAGTCTCTAATGTCTATCATTCCACATTCTATGTCCATTTGTACACATTATTTAGGTCCCACTTATAAGTGGGAATATGCACTTCCTATGTCTTCCTGTGTCTGAGTAGTTACGCTTAAGATAATGGCTTCCAGTTCCATCCATGTTGCGGCAAAAGACATAATTTCATTCTTTTTAACAGCTGAATAATATTCCGTTTTATATACGTACGTGTGTGTGTGTGTGTGTGTATTATATCACATTTTCTGTATCCAGTTATCTGTTGATGGACACTTAGGTTGAGTCCATATCTCTGCTATTGTGAATAGTGCTGAGATAAACATATGAGTGCAGGTATCTTTTTTGATGTAATGATTTCTTTCCTCTGGGTAGATACCCAGTAGTGGGACTGCCAGACTGAATGGTAGTTCTATTTTTAGTTCTTTGAGAAATCTCCATTATTTTCCACAGCAGTTGTACTAATTTACATTCCCACCAACAGTGTATAAGTATTTCTTTTTCTCTGCATCCTTGCCAACATTTGTTGTTTTTTGACTTTTTAATAATAGCCACTCTGACTGGTATAAGATGATATCTCATTGCATTTTTAATTTGCATTTCTCTGATGATCAGTGACGTTGAGCAGTTTTTCATATGCTTTTTGGCCATTTGTATGCCTTCTTTTGAAAAATGACTATGCATGAATTTTTCCACTTTTTAATGAAATTATTTGTGGGGTTTTTTTTTTTCCTTTTTTGAGTTGTTTGAGTCCTTGTAAATTTGGATATCAGTCCCCTGTGGGATGCATAGTTTGCAAATATTTTCTCCCATTCTGCAGGGTGTCTGTTTACTTTGTTGATTATTTCTTTTGCTGTGTAGAAGTTTTTTAATTTAATTAAGTCCCATTTGTCTACTTTTGTTTTGTTTTGTTTGTCTTTTTCTCTGGTCCTTGATTCAGAATATTTTTGTTTTTCTTGCTTGTGCTTTTGAGGTCTTAGTCACGAATTCTTTGCCTAGACCAATGTCCAGGAGAGATTTTCCCAAGACATTTTGTTAAGTGAAATACAGTAAAGTGCCAAAGACTATCTACAGTATGCTACCCTACATATAGGTAAGAAGGGTATTTTGAAAATGTATACATGTATCTGCTCATTTGTGCAAAAGGACAGGATAAGGACAGGAAGGATAAACCAGAATCTAAGGAGAGTGGTTTCCTACAGAGAATGGACAGGAAATAAGTAGAAGTAATGGGTAGTGTGTGGGTAGGAACTGAGTAGCAGAGATGGAGGGAGAGGAGCAACCCTTCTCTCAGTATATATTTTGTATAGCTTATGACTTTTAGGACCATGGCAAATAATTAAAACCAACCAAAATATAGGAGGAACACAAAATAGAAAGATACAGTAACAAATGAACCTAACTGTGTTACAAATCAATAAATGGACGGTGAAGGAAGAAACTAACCCAAAGAGCTTGGGAAAACGGTATTCTTACTATATACTGAAGTCTAACGACAAAAAGCTGTACACAAATACTGTACTTTAGTCAATCAAATGCTTCTCATAAGAGTATAGGTTAGCAATTCTAAATCTATTTTGAATCTACATTAAAAGTAAACCAATACATAAATGTAATGTGGATGATGAGAGTAGGGTTTCCTACTATTACAGAAAGAAGTTACAAATAAGGAACTGAGGCAGACTAGAATAAACCCCGTGGTGCTGGAGTAGAACTGGAGGTATCAGTACAAACTCAATTTTTTGGTTTTTGTTTGTTTGTTTGTTTTGTGGGGGGTGGGGTTTGAGACAGAGTCTCACTGTCGCCCAGGCTGGAATGCAGTGGTACAATCTTGGCTCACTGCAACCTCTGCCTCCCAGGTTCGAGCAATTCTACTGCCTCAGCTTCCCAAGTAGCTGGGATTACAGGCACCTGCCACCACAACTGGCTAATTTTTGTATTTTTAGTAGAGACAGGGTTTCACCATGTTGGCCAGGCTGGCCTCAAAATCCTGACTTCAAGTGATCCGTCCACCTTGGCATCCCAAAGTGCTGGGATTACAGGCATGAGCCACCACACTCGGCTACAAACTCAGTGTTTAAAATATCTATTTGCATATAGACATGCATAATAGATACAGAATAGATACAGAAATAACTAGATTTGTATGTATGTATAGTTATATATGTACATTTATTTTCTAGTTCTGTCTACTGAGAGGGCCTAAAAGCATTGAAACCTCAATAGCAAGAAGCACCCCTAATGCCCAGATGCTGGTTTCTAAATACCATTCTCCAATAAAAGGGACTAGAGATCCTTGGAGAAACAATTTATTCCAGGGCCAGAGAAAGAAAAATATAAGACAAGCCTGGAACATCTTGTGGTGCTGGAAAGTAATTAAATAAAAAAATTAAAAAAAAAAAAAAAACAGCAGGGCCATACTGGAAAGACACAAAAGCCAACTTGAAAGAGTTCTCAGTGGCCAAATCAAGAATAATTTAAGCAACAAAACGAATGATATTATTAGATTTTAACACCTAAAATAAATATCTAAGAATCCATACTGATGCAAATAAATGATTGAATAAATACATTAAAAAATAAATGAGGGCAATTCTTCCACATAGAAGAATTCCAATTAATATGTAGAAGAAATAATGAAAATAGAAAATCACCTTTTGGTAAACACAATAGTAAGTTACTACAGAAAAGAACCATCAATGGATGCTAAAATTTGTGGGTGAAACTATGAATATTAAGAAACAGTATATTTGCATAGTCTCAAACTATCTCCTCCACAAGACGGTAATTAATTACAAAGGAAAAAATAATGGTAACTTTACAGTGGGGAAACCTGGCAGACATCACCGTAACCAACTGATCAAAGTCAGTCTCACCAGTAATATGACATGTCAGCATCATGTACTGCAAGGACAAATACAAATTAAAAATAAGAGGTTTAATTCTAAAAATAAGAGATCTCCCTCCCTTCCTTTTTATCAGAGCATTTGCTTTAGAATACTAGAGTATAAGTACTTTGTCCTCTCTGTGAAATCTGCATAATTATTTTAAACACTACTTAGGCCTTTTGTCAACTTTATGACCCAGAAATGTCCCACTCAAGGACCTAGCAGTCATCTCTTTGAAATGCAAAAAGCAAAAGCGATATCACTGGTATTTCCCAGTCTCTGTGGGAGGATAGGATCCTAACTTTGCTGGGTAGGAGCCAAACTTCCTGTCATAAAGACATGAGACGTTTGTTTCTCCTTTGGATAAAAACAAATTAGCTAATACAAATGGTCACCCCAAATACCTGGTAAAATTAGGATGAATTAATTACGTGTGACAAATGATGCTGTCAAGCCCTCTTTCTTGAAGACTAGTTTTGTTTATCTTGAAAACATGTATGTAATGGGTAGCCTCTACTTGGCTATCTAAAAGGGTAAGATTTCTTTTTGTCTTTGCAATCGTTTCATGGATTGCCTGTGATGGGTGTCATATTCTGATTTAACGCTTGTGTAATAATAACACTCTTCTTTCTCTACTACCTTTTGTGGAGAGAATTTCTGGATTGGGAAAAGACTTTTTTTTCAATCATGTTTCCTCAGCAGTGTCTTCTAATACAATGCACTGAACAGGGAACATAATTTCCTGGTATTTTTGCTCCCTGAAGATTAAGCTCTGATTTTTTATCTTGCCCAAATTCCTATCTAAGGGGTCTGGGGAGTCATAACCTACAAATCATAAATTCTCATCAGATGGGTTTTATTTGACCTTGCATATCGTGACTTACTTTCCAATCTGATTCTGGCATAACAAGGAAGAAAATAAAAATGTTTTACCCTAAAATATATTTCCTTGCCATACCTTGAAATTGCCCTGCAAAGTCTCTTGTGGGAAAAATCCACATTCTATACGAATCTCCTTTCCCCTTTGTTTTCCTTCCTTTTTTTTTTTTTTCCAGATCCAGGAGATAATCAACTAAGAGCCAGGTACCCTTTTAAGTCCAGTAAGAAATAATTTACAACCTGCTCTCTCTGAAGTCTGCTATCTGAGAGCTTCCTCTGCACAATAAAACTTGGTCCCCACAATCCTTTGTCTTTAACCGGAACATTCTTTTCTATTGATCCCAGGTCTTTGGACAAACTCAACCAATTGTCAACAAGAAAATGTTTAAATTTACCTATAGCCTGGAAGCCCCCACTTTGAGTTGTCCCGCCTTTCTGAACCAAACAAATGTATTTCTTTAAATGTATTTGATTGATGTCTCATGCCTTCCTAAGATATATAAAACCAAGCTGTACCCCGACCACCTTGGGCACAAGTTCTCAAGATCTCCTGAGGGCTGTGTCACAGGCCATGGTCACTCATATTTGGATCAGAATTAACCTCTTAAAATATTTTACAGAGTTTGACTCTTTTTGTTGACATCTCCAAAAATGAATCATTTCAACCCGATCACAAGAAAACACCAGATATGTCCTAAATTAAAGGACCATCTACAAAATAACTGACTTGCCAGATATGGTAGCTCACACCTATAATCCTAACACTTCGGGAGGCCGAGGCAGGAGGATCACTGGAGCCCAGGACACTGAGGCTGTAGTGAGCCAAGATTATGCCACTGCACTCCAGCCTCCAGAGCAAGACTCCACCTCAATTTAAAAATAAAAATAACTGACTTTCAAAATTGTCAAGGTCATGAAAGACTGAGGAACAGTCACAGGGTAGTTGGTAGTTTGGTAGTTTTCTATCAAAACAACCTAGTTTTGGCAGAACCTAAGGAGATAGGAACACCAAACAAGACGTGGGATTTTAGATGGGATCCTGGACCAGGAAAAAAATATCAGTGGGAAAACTGACAAAATTCTAGTAAGATCTGTAGATTAGGTAATTGTATCAATTTTAATGTTCTAGTGTTGATAACTATGCTATGGCTATGTAGGACATTAACAAAGGAACTGGGTGAAGTAAGGTATACAAAGAATTCTCTGTAAGTTCGGCAACTTTTTTCTAAAATCATTTCAAAATGAAAAGTTCAATGAATATAATGCTTAATAGACCTTAATGCAAATAAAAGATCTAATACATAAGAGACCTCTCCCTGTCTTCATCTCTCTCCCTGTCTTCTCCCAATAATCAAGCACAAGTATGTACTTACAGTGTGATAAAAACTACCACCTGAGGCAACCAGCAACAATCTCCATCTGTAACTAGACTACATTTAAGCACTTAAGCATAAACTTCTGTCATTTGCTTACATTGGGTTTTGTTTTAGTTTCAAAGAAATTTGATCCTCTATTACTTTGTGAAGCAAGTTGAAAAGAACAACAAAAAGTACTCAAACTATATTTAACACTAAAGTAATTATTTATCATACCACTAAAACAGAGGAGAAAGTACAGTTAGCCCCTGAAATCACTCATGGGTTTTGTCACTAATATTCAGAGGGAGGTCTTTTTTCACATACCAAGCTTATTAGCTCAGAACAGTGAGAAACAATGGCTTGTAGTTAACCAGTGAACCAAGCTTAATTGGAAAAATATTTGCATTCCCTAAGGGTAGAGCTGGGTCAAAAGAACCTCACTTTCACATCAAAACTGCACCATCCAGGAGGTCAAAGCACCTGATGTAGATACAGAAGAATGCTCAAGGTTCAGTGAGTTTTTTCCTCAAAAAATGTAAGAAGCTCGCAAAAAGTAACAGTTTAAAACTGTCAATGGCCCCAGTGACCACCCCCTTACCTAATCAGCCCACTGTAAGCTAATCTCTATCCTACTAGAATGAAACACATTCACCTAAGAAAGGAAAATGAATGACAGTGAAACTGGTTTAAGAAAAACACATAAAGAAATAAAATCTGTATTTGGTCCATCCAGATTTGCAGAAGCAAAAGCAAAAGTTGTTTATGATACTGAGTGTGTCTCACTTGTTAATATTTGTTAGCAAGAAAATCAAAGTCTGTTCCCTATTTGTCCCATCTTTTTCATATTTTGCCTCGTCTCCCTGGATTGTTTGGGTGAGGGTAGCTCATCAAAGAGCTATGACACTTTGGGGCCAGGCACAGTGGCTCACACCTGTAATCCCAACACTTTGGGAGGCCAAAGCTGAAGGCTGGCTTGAGGATAGGAATTCAAAAACAGCCCGAATAATATAGTAGACCCTATCTCTACAAAAAGTTAAAAATTTAAGCAGGCATGGTGGCTCATGCCTATAGTTCCAGCTACTTGGGAGGGTGAGGTGGGAGGAAAACTTGAACCCAGGTGTTCAAGGCCACAGTAAGCTATGATTGTGCCACTGTATTCCCACATGGCTGACAGAGCAAGAGCTTGTCTAAAAAAAAAAAACAAAGAAAGACAGAAAAGAAAGAAAGAAAAGAGAGAGAGAGAGCTATGACACTTTGGCATCTCAAATAGTTCAACTACATCAAAGACAGCACAAGAAGTAGAAGAAAGGATTTCACATTAAATGCAATGAAGAGTAAGGCCATGTTCGTCTTACTCTCAGCCTGCCTACCACAGAGAATGCCTTGGAATCAGAGGTTCCCTGAAGAGACCCTCTCCTCTTAGAATAATCCAAAACCAGAATCTCCAGAGCCCCGTGGTCAAAACTAAAACGTTCCATCTAGGAGTGAGAGAGCACGATATCTACTTCCTCACACTTCTCCTCGGTTCTCAAATAAAAGCGCTCACTTACATTTGCCATCTTTATTCTGTGATCCGTTTTTATGTTACAGCAAATAAGCAAATTATGAGGTCCTCTGGGCGAAAGGAAAATCAGCATGGAATGTAAGTTATTGTGCCATCTAGAGAAAATGTGAGAGGCTGGAAGCCTCAATCAACTGTCTTCCTTGAAGAATAACCTAGATCTTGGCTCCCACTGGCAAAGATGAGTGGGGGTTATTGTCTTCTCTAAGAAACTAAACGTCCCTCACATGCTTGAAGATGTCGCAAGGGAGACCTGATGGCCCCATTTCTGTGAGGTTGTTCCTCAAAGAAGAATCAAAGATTTCAGTCACATTAGCATCATCATGTTCTCTTAGTCCAGAATTTTTCAGCAAACATATTCCACAAAATTTTCTGCAAGTTCAGGGTACATATAGCAGGTGCAGTGGATTTTTGTTATGTTTTAATATAACATACTAGAGAAAATCCAGAACATTCTTCTCCCTCTCTCTTCTTCATCACATTCACATCTCAGCCTATAGAGCAGAGTTTATTCCTTAGTATAATATCAAGGCCTGTTTTAAAAATATATATATTATACATGTGAATGAGAAATGAGTCACATTTATTTTACCATGTCTCTGGTTTTTAAATAAAATTAAAAGGTTGGGAAACTGTTTTTCAGTGTCACAACCTCTCTGTTCTTACTACCATAATATTTACTTGATATTATTTCAGTTCTTCCTTCCCCACACCCATGTTGAATCCCAGACCACAAACTACTGTAATTTTTCTTTATTATCAACATATGTAGGAATGCAGAATTAAAATTATTGATCAAGTTTCATGCAAAGTTCCAAAACCAAAGAAAGAAAGAAAGGAAGAGAGGAAAAAAGAGAGAAAGACAGGGAGAAAAATAAAAAGAAGGAAAGAGAGGAAGGAAAGAGAGGAAGGAAAGGAAGGAAGGAAGGAAGGAAGGAAGAAAGGAAGGAAGGAAAGAATGAAGGAAGGAAGGAAGGAAGGGAGGGAGGAAATCAGACCTTTTCATTTCATCGGGATACCTACCACCTCTCTTTTTGACTCAAGCTAATGTTAAATGTTAAAAAGAGTCTCCATTTTTAGAATACACCAACCAATAGAAGGACCCCCCCATGCCCTAGAGCTCCCTGGATAGTAGAAAATTAGTCAAAAATTTAAAATTTACTATAGATGATCCATAAAATTAAAAATCATACAAAGCATGTTAAGAGCTGGGTGACATATATATATTAACTATAAAGAGAGCAGATATAGAAAGGAAGCCAACATTTATCTAGCAGAAGAAAAAAACACCATCATTTGTATCAATAAAAAGCATGTATGATGAGCGGGCATGGAGGCTTATGCCTATAACCCAGCACTTTGGGAGGCCGAGGCATGTGGGTCGCTTAAGTCCAAGAGTTCAAGACCAGCCTGGGCAACAATGGCAAAAATCCGTCTCTACTAAAAGTGCAAAAAATTGGCCAGGTGTGGTGGTACATGCCTGTAGTCCCAGCTAGTCAGGTGGCTGAAGCAGAAGGATTCCCTGAGCCTGGGAGATCGAGGCTGAAGTGAGCCTTGATCATGCTACTGCACTCCAGCCTGGGTGACAGAGCGAGACCCTGTCTCAAAAAAAAAAAAAAAATGCATAAAAATGTTCATTTACATCCTCATTTAACCCATACCATACTGTATTCTACTTGCAGTATTTGCTAACTACTCCCCAGATAGATGGGCTCACTTTGAGGCCAAGGATTGTGTTCTACCATAATCTCATTCCTTCAGCACAGCTCAGCACCTGGCAAATTGGAGGCAACAAATGTCTATGGATCCCTCTGTAACCATGAACAAGTCAGTCAGGGTAACTGCACTGTCAAAACTTACAATTAACTGGATAGTATGTATTTGATGAGGGGAACTGAATTACAGGGAAACCTAGGTTAGGCCAAGTGTTGCTTTCGTCACCAATTCACAGTTAAGGAAACTGAGGCCACGGGCCACCCAGCTTAGGACTTTTGACTATAAACCCTGAGATCTCTCTCCCTTACATAAGCATTTTGTTTTCATTGCTGTTGACACTTTGTTAATCTTGCTTACTTAAAACTAATTTCTGCTAATAGCTTCAGGGTCTTTAGCAACTGTCAGCATGTAATGTGTCTGCATTTCATATATATAATTAGTTTTCATGGCAACAGTCCACTTTTAGTCAATCAACATTATAAACTTATTTATTTATTTATTTATTTATTTATTTATTGGCTGATACGGAGTTTTGCTCTTGTTGCCCAGGCTGGAGTACAAGGGCCCAATCTTGGCTCACTGCAACCTCCGCCTCCCGGGTTCAAGCAATTCTCCTGCCTCAGCCTCCTGAGTAGCTGGGATTATAGGTGCCCGCCACCACACCCGGCTAATTTTTGTATTTTCAGTAGAGACGGGGTTTCACCATGGCAGCCAGGCTGGTCTCAAACTCCTCACCTCAGGTGATCCAACTCGCCTCAGCCTCCCAAAGTGCTGGGATTACAAGTGTGAGCCACCGCGCCTGGCAACATTATAAACTTATAATGAATTTATGGAGTGTTACTAGTAAACAAAATGAATATTCTTTAAATAAAAAAAATTTCTAAAAGCCTCTCAAATGTGCTTGTCTTTCTCCTTGCATTTGCTAGTCTCTGCTTAATATATGTTTAGCTTGATGCATTCTTTGATGCCCAACATGTGTTACTCTTTGACAGATGGCAGAGATGGCAAGCACAAAGAAATGAGATTCACGCTATTCCATTTGCATGGATGAAAATACAGACACTTTCTAAGTGAAGTAGAAATTCTCTGACAATTAACAAGAAGAGTTTCTGTGTCCGAGATATCTAATAAATGTTATTTGCTCAAGAACCAAAGAGAAATACTTTCTTCAAGGGCATACATCTCCTCTGTATATACAGGAAACTTGGTAAGCCCTATTGCTCAGGTCACAGAGTAATTCTAAATCCCCTGCCTACTGGCACTGAGTTGTTGACAACTGAGGATTTTAAAGTGGATTCCCTTGTGTAGATTTACATTTACGATTATTAGATCTCTGAGTAATAAGGAGTTTAGATTTCTGTAAAGTACTCTATAAGGAATATCAAACTGGCTGTACTTTGGACATCTGAATATGCAAGGCTTATAAGTTCAACTAATTGAGGCCATAACTTGTATCTGAATATCTTAGGGCACAGGGGGAGTTTGTATAGTTTGAATGTCCCAAGAGTTGAGAATCCCTGCTTTTGGGACTTGTTATAGCCAGAGCCCCCTTCTGCCAAGTTTGAGGGCCAAACCCACGCCCATGGCCAATCATGCCCCAGAGGTATATTGATCAAACTAGTAGCCAACACAGCTGCTAAATTTTATGGTTCTATGTCCCTACTCCTGGCCTTTTAACCCACCCTCAATGGTCCACTGAACTACTGATTTTTCGAAAACCACCTCCTCTCTGAAGTGTCCTTTCCTTGATTCCCTTATCATGCAATATTAATTGCATGCCCCTTGAAATGCTTATCAACATTGGGCTTAGACACTGTGAAGCAATTACTACAGGTTACTACAGTTATTTGTACGCATATCTACGCTTGCTGGACAACAAGCTCTTCCTTGGAAAGCAGGAGCCACATAGTTCTCATTTTTCATCAACATCATGTATCCGATACATGATAGATATTTACTTAATATTTCTTGATAACCACAGCTCTAAGATAAACATTAGTTTTTTCCAGTCTCCACAGAGGAAATTATATTATAGGTCCTAGAATCAGGATTTAAACTTAAGGCTATTTGTTTCCAAAATTCACGTCTTTTCCACCATGCCATGCCATGCCATCTCTCAATGATAAACAACGCAAAACAGAAGCATTTAGGTAAAAAATGATGAGCCCTCCCTACTGACGGAAACACATAAATGAAAGTTTGGAGAGATGATTCAGGCTAAAGAAGCTTAATCACCCAAAATGTAGGCAGTAAATGTAATCAAAGAGGTATGCACACAAAAAAATAGCACAACCGAAGGAGAATATTAACCCTCATTCCCTTTGCACAGAAGCTAGACTTCCTGGACAGACTTTATCATTTGTTTGTTTTCCTGAGTATGTAAGTATCAATATTAAGAAGAAAAACAAGCTGAATTAAATCTCTCTTTTCAACTTAGGTTTATTGAAAGAGTAGTTGAAAAATATACCATTGCTATCCTATTTCATTTCAACTCCTCATTTTCACCCTGCAATCCCAAAATTATAATGGTACGGTAAGAAAGAATGGTAATAACTTGGAACTTAAGATACAATGCAGACAGGCAACTTGGGCAACAACTTAACATTAGCCATCCAATATTCCAAACAGAATGGGGAATTGGAGTTAGAACCAAGCTACCCATTGCCATGATTCATCTAAGTTTTGCAACAAGAGGCCTAGCTTGCTTTGTGCCTTAGTTACATTCAATACAAATAATTCAAGGAATCCATGAGATGACACAAAATCCATCCCACATGAAACATTCTTTCCTGCGCTATCTTCTATCAGCATTTATTTTTATAATACCAAAATGAAGACATGAATGAATAAAAAAGGGGGCAGGCAGGGAGAGGCTTGTGTTCAAATGCCCACACTGTGTTCCTTTCCATTGAATTGTAATACTTGCATGGTATGAAATACTGGAGGAAAAACACATTTATTTAAGAAAGCAAGTCTCTTACACTTTCTTGAATACAAAGAAAAAATTAGCTACTTTACCCCTCAAATGAAAAAAGAATGATACTCCATCCAGTGTTAGTCCCAACTAAAGTCTTCAGTGAACCCATTATCAGGGACTACTGTAGAATTATTATTATTTTTTAAATTCCACTAAATGTGTGTCAGAATTACTGTACCCCAATTAGCAATAACCAAAATGTAGCAGTCAGTTTTGTTTGCAAGGGCTGTCTAGTCAATTCCTGGCTGATCCCTCCTGGTATTACTTTCATTATGAGCACTCAGAAGAATAACTGTTTGGATGGCTTGTTGTGGCAATTACGTTTCCAGGTTACCAACTACCAAACAACCCCGGGCTGAATGTAACTTCTACACGTACTGTTCCAAAGACTCTAAAACCTGCCCTATGTATCAAAAGATAAATTTCAATCTTCACACCGTGGGGAGTACAATAATAAACCAAAGTAAAGGGTCAGGTCACATTGTACAAACATATTGTTTGGGCAACTTTGCTCTAAAAAGTCATTTTGTCTAGCTTCAAAAGGAGAAGGAATTTGGCCTCTAAAACTATCAGAAAACCTTTTAAAATGGACCACCACAAAGAACACTTGAAAGAATTTCTCTCTTGTAAATTTGCTTTGCTAGTGTGCAAGGCAGGCTATCTTTGCCATTCAATACTCTTTCATCTCTTTCAAGATTAGTATGTTCACACAGGATCCCACAGCTCAAGGGGGACAGAGAGAACTTAGAAAGGAAAGAGTGGGCAGCCATAGCAACTGAGGGATGGAGAAACAGGATCCACAGGGAATGATGTTTGAAACTGAAATTATTCTATCTGAATAAGAGAAGTCTAGGTAGGCTGTGGTTTAATCATATTTTTCAATACTGCGATGAACCCTTACGCAGCAGAGTAGTGCCAAAAAGGCTTAAATTGCAGTTTTAGAAACTAGGCATTTTTATCGTTTATAGATGAATTATAACAACTGGGATATTTACTTTAAAACTACAATATTTGAGGAGAAAAAGAATATTGAAATAAAAAGAAGGCAAAAAAATGAAGGCTTCTTCCCTGTTCCTTCCAGGATGATAAAGATATATATTTGCTTTCTTTTGTTTCCAGCTCTTCCTGGCATCTTCCTTCTTTCACTCAAACAGCTAATGAAATATCGCCCCTTCTATAAAATCTTTCCTATCTAACTGGAAGACGGGAAGAGAATTCCCTCTGGTAACAATGTATAATTCCCATAGCTCTCTCTACTCAACCCTTTAAAGTGCATTGAGCCATTGCTTATACAGTGTTAATAAATAAAAGTTAATTCTTAGTTTGAAGTTTTTTAAGTTGTCTATATATACCTTTTTTTTTTTTTAATTCAGAGACAGAGTCTTGCTCTGTCACCCAGGCTAGAGTTCAGTAGCACAATCACAGCTCACTGCAACCTTGATCTCTTGGCCTTAAGCGATCTTCCTGCCTTTGCCTCCTGAGTAGCTAGGACAGGAATAGATGATATGGACTAGAATGGGTCGTATATTATATACAAAATGGTAATATTTTAAATCTAATCCTTTATTTGATATGCGATACTAAAGTACAAAAGTTATTGAATAATTATATTTAGAATTAACCTTTATTATATCTAAATAGATATTTGAATCTCGTCAGAAATATTTGGATATACTCAGCAATATCTAAATGCTTTTAAGTATTTTTTATAATTATATAAAGTAACTTCTTTTAGATTATCTGCATGTGAGTATACAGATTTCTCAGACTAAATTGTACATGTAATAACATATTTCTACTTGATTCTGATGACAGATTATATTTCAGGAGATCAAACTCAGTAGCTTCTTCATATTCTTTTTCCAATATTGGTAATCCTCCACAGGAAAAAATTTCCAAAAGAAAGTGTTGCTTCCTCAGCAACCAGAAAACCAAGAAGGAGAAATTATGTATAGATTGGAATAAACATGTTGCACAACTATTTTTTAAGTGTATTTAATTCTGAAAGCAATTAGGTGAAAAATCAGTTCTTCATTTCAGGAGGCTAAAAAATAAGAGATTTGGAAAGGAAGAGACCCTGTGTGAAATTCACAAAGTAACCATCAAATATACTGACATCTAAAGGCATGCGGTAGCTACATATCTAAATGAATTGTAATTGAAATACATTCCCAGTGTGGGAGACTGTATTTTCCAAAAATGGCCACAGCAATATTTCTGGCTCACATTCTTTTTTATAATTTTGCCACTTCCCATCAAGAGATGGAATCTATTTCCCCTCCCCGAAAACCGGGATATGACTTCGGACTGCCTGGAAGAATAAATGCAATAGGAGTGATGCTGCGTGATGTCCAAGCATCTTTTCCTCGCAGTCTCCCTCTTTTTTCCTGCTCCCAGCTTAGAACTCCACCACCATTCTGTAAGGAAGGAAAATCTAGCCCACAAGAAGAGACCACATGGAAAAGTCAGGTGAAGAGGAGGAACCAGGGCCCAATGACAGCCAACATTAGTCACCACTCATGCATGTGTAACAGCCCTCAGATGGTTCCAGCCTACAGCTTTTAGATCTCCAGCTAAGGCTCCAGACATCGTGAAGCAAAGAAAAGGCATCTCTGCTGCACCCTCCCTGAATTCCTGACACACAGGAATCCAGGTGCAGAATAAGTCATAGTTTTACGGTACTAAGTTTTGGGGTGACTCACTATGTTGTCTTAATAATTGGAACAGTTTGTTTGTTTTTTTTAAACTAAGCAATTTAAAACATAAAAGAACAGTAGTATTTAAAGCAAAAACTCATTACAGCCATTTTCATATATTAGGAAAACAGCATGATTACTATTCATTAAATACACAAACACACACACACATATTTCTGTGCACAAGACACTGTGTTTGATGCTGGGCTGGTATAAAAATGAGTATAAACAGGCATGGTATCTAACCTCTTGGAGTTTACAATCTAGGAGGAGAGTTAGACTTCAGCTATGCAACCCCACAAAGGTAAAATTCAGCTGTAGCAAGTGCTGCAAAGGAGAAAGGCCTGATGTATATCAATAATGGGGAACTGACCTAGTTAGGAAAATCAGACAAGACTTCCCTGAGGAAATGACACTGGTGCTAGGGTAAATATGAGCAAAAAAGGCAAAAAGAAGAATGAGGGAGAATGTTCCAAACTCAAGAGAACAGCCATGTGCAAAGGCCCTGAGATAAGAGGTAGCACAGGTATGCTGTGGACAGAAGAAAGGCCAGAAGTCATGCCATGTCCCTTCCATTGCATTTTATTCTTCCAAGTAGTCCCAAGTTCCATCCAGGTTCCCAGAGAGAAAAAACATACTCCACTTCTTGAAAGACGGTGGCAAGGTCAGAGAAAAGAGAGCAAAAGGAAGTGTTAGACTGTGGATCCTGAAAGGTATGACGACCCCAGAACACACATAGTATCTTTCAGACTTCTATTGACCAGAACTCAAAGTAAGAAATACGTCTTATGTTGCAATCCAATCCAATTCACACACACACACGCAACCAAAATCACAATTTCACAAAACAGTACTTATCTTTGCTATCTCTAGTGCAGCCTGATATGTTCTATTTTATGTTTGTATACATTTGTCACAACTACCTAAATTGATTTTCAACGTACTGAAGATTCATGAACTGAAGTCCAAAAAACATTGATGTAAAGTCTTGCAGGCTAAGTTTAAGGCATTTATCTTTATGCTAAGAGTAACAGGAAGTCACTGATGAGTTTTAAACTCAATGGTAACAGGATCAGATTAGTGTTTCCATATTCTGGATGAAATAAAATATAAAACAGAATGCAAAAGCTGAATGGGTGCAAGGAGACACAGTAGGAGACTACTGAGGCAAATCAGGCAAGGTGTACAGTAGCTTGGGTTATGATGGTAGAGGTGGCAGAAGTGGAGAGAAGAGGGTGAATTTCAGAAACAGGAGTTATAACTGATGGGCATGATTAAGCAGTGAGAATAAGGAAGGTTTATGACTCTCAAAACTGGAATGGATAGTGGGAAGTGAAGAGAGGAGAAGGAACATAGGAGGAAAGTCAGGTATAGAGCAGGGAAGATAGCCCTTGCAAACAAAACCGGCTTCTAGTTTGTAGTTATTGCTAATTGGAGTACAGTAATTCTGAAGCATGATTAGTGGAATTTGTTTTTAAATAATTCCATAGTCCCTGATAATGTCTTCACTGGAAACTAGCTGGAACTAACATTGGACAAAGTATCATTCTCTTCTGAAGGTTGTACATAGAGAGTCAAATGAAAAAAACAAAGGTATTGTTCTTTTATCATGGGTATACTTACTGGAAATGCTGGACACAATATGTTATCTTGGATAGCTCTGAGTTTTTGCTTAGCTAGTTGACGAAAACCAGGACTTGCGGTGGCCCTCATTAAATAAGGTTAAGATGCCAAATTTTCTTCAAGGTAACTCAGAGCAGAGGTTGGCAAACTATGACCTATGGGCCAAATTCTGTCTATCTTCTGATTTCCAATAAAGTTTTATTAGAACACAGACACACCCATTCACTCACAAATCATCAATAGCTGCTTTCATGCTACCACAGCAGAGTTGAGTAGTTACCACAGTGACTATATGGCCTGCAAAGCCTAAGTTATTTACTATCTGTTTACAGTAAACATGTAACTTAGAGAAAGGGATTCAAAGGCTAAAGGAAACAGAAATTGTGGAGTAGCTTTGGCATGAGCACCCCACCCACTAATCTTCTATCTATGTAATTCAAGTGAGGATCCCAAACACACTCCCTTCAACGAGGCCTTGAGAAACACACTGGTGAAGAATGTTGCTCCAGCAACTCTAAAAGTACTCTACTTGTTGTTCTCCCTAGACCAGACATGCTGGTGGAAGATGCTGCATTTGAAACGGGCTTTCTGGTTTCAGTGATGTATCAGGATCCTGGGGTGGCAAAAGGAGAAAAACAGCACTTATTCTCCAGAGACAAAGCAGGCAGAGCAGTCACAAGAGGGCGGCACAGCAAACATGGTAACCACAATCAATGGATTTTATGATGGTGACTAAATGATCACGAGATTCCCAAGATTAAAAGACTTGTACAACCCTCTACTTGATTTGTGTAACAAAAAATAGCTAGATCATGTAAACTGTGGCCTGATGTAAACTATCAGTCATCTCAACCCCACAGTCAATTACCAGACCTGACAGCCCCCAAAATTGAAGGGAAGACCTGGTACTTTGCTGAAGGATCCTACAATAATATCACAAGTAACTGCTTTGAGTCTTCCTCAAAGTCTTTTCAAAGCACACAAAGCCATTCACCAGGCAAATGTGCCCTGTGAGAAGTGAGATAGGATGCGATAACTAAAGAGACTTGAGGTTGCCTCCTCCTGAAGAGGAGGAGTGTATTTTCAAAAGCATTAGAATTAGCGGCATTAATTTTGGCAGAAACAAAAGATATGTGGTTATTCGACCATCAAAGGATGTATAGTAAGTATTTGTCATATTTCAGCTTTCCAGCATCTGAATGCGTTTTCTATTTGAATAGAATTCCAACCATATGTGTCTGGCAGGGAAGCAGATCCCACCACCACCCACAGAAGGTAAAAAGGCCAGATGTTCACTTTGTCAGCCTATTGCAGCCAAGCCCACTGTATTTGTCTGTTTTCATACTGCTATAAAGATACTACCCAAAACTAGGTAATTTGTAAACAAAGGAGGTTTAATTAACTCACAGTTCTGCATGGCTGGGAGGACTCAGGAAACTTACAATCATGGCAGAAGGGGAAGCAGGCAACGACCTTCTTCACGTGGTGGCAGGAGAGTTAGCAAGAGCAAGGAAAACTGCCTTACAAAACCATTAGATCTCGTGAGAACATATTCACTATGAGTAGAACAGCATGGGGGAAACTGCCCCCATGATCCAATCACCTCCTACCTGGTCCCACCCTCCACATGTGAGGATTATGGGGATTACAACGAGATTTGGGTGGGGACACAGAGCCAAACCATATCACCTAGCTTGGCCCAGTAGTCCCACCCAGGCTTTTACGCCAGTACTGATGGACCAACAAAGCAAAGAAGGTATAATCATGCCATCAACAGCAACCAAATCCAGGTTCTAGAGGAAGTATTTACAATATCCACTGTCAAAAGTTGGGGGCAGTAGCCTAAAAATCTGAATGTCTCCACTGTTCAATGGTGGTGGCAGGACTGTCTTTAATGGCTTGGTCCTGGTGACATAGTGTAATCTGGGTTCTGGCTGTCTTGATTTCCTGGCTGCTTATTCTCTCAACGTAGTTCTCCAGCCCCACCAGAGATTTTGAAGGATATTTAACATATTTTCAAAAATTCTTTTTCTGCTAAAATGAAGCAGAGACTTCTTTTTTTTTCCACTTATTGCAAGGAAAACTCTTGGCTAATTCACAGTGTATTTTACTCTCTCTGTATCTCTCAGTCTTTGTGAAATTATGCAAACCCTAAACATGTGAAGAACAATTCCAAGATCCAGTCACACATAGAAGTATATTATGTGCTATTTTATTTGCTGAAATATTTTCCTTTTCATATATTTATATAATAATGATCTCAACTATTTATCAAACATTCACTCTATGATTACTTCTTTTAGAAGTAATGATAAGTATCACATAACATTTGTAGAGGGATTTGTAGCTGACCAAGCATTTACATTTACATTTACATTTAATGTGCATTTGCATTTTCTCCTTTTAGTCACAGCCTGATAAAGCAGCCAATATAATGTCAGTGATCCCTGCCTTTTTTTTTTATTTTTTTTTCCAAATACCCAGTCTTCAAGAAGTAAACCCTGTCTTATTTCACTTATGAGCTATTCAATTAATGTGGCCCTTTGTAACATCAGCAACAACATGGCATAATTTCCATTTACTGAATTCTAAATATGTATTAGGTACAGTGCTAGGAGCTAAACACATACCTATATGTTTCTAATCCTCACAATAATTTTTAAAAGATAGTAGTATTATTTTCACATTTTAGATAAGGAACATGAGGCTCATAAAGATCAAAGAACTGACACCTTGAGATCTTGGGGAGAAAAGTAGCTTGTCTCCAACACATGATGCTCTCCCCTATTATCTTCCTCCCATCCTTCAAGTTGCGTTTTTTGCTTAGTAACTTGGTAAATGTTACTCGAAACATCTGGAAAAAACAGCTAAAGAAACCAAATGGCCCTTTGACAGTAGCACAGTAAAAACTTTTTAAAAATGCATTCAGAACTTAAAGTACAATAAAAATAAATAAATAAAAAATGCATTCAGTGATTCTCAGCTCTATATATCTCTCTGTAATCTCTTCACACTCTGTTGTAAATTTCCATGTAAAAATATTTCTGGTTTCCTATGGGAGCCTTTTTATAAGCAGATATGCCAAAGCCTTTTCAAGCACTGTATTGGAAACATTCAACATAAATATCCTGTCCTATAGGGAATATTTGCAAAGCCAAAAAAAAAAATGTCAATTGAGAATACAACTAAAATAATTCCCGGCAATATTTTGTGACTAATGATGACTTGTTAAAGAAGAGTATTAAGAGCCAGGCACGGTGGCTCACACCTGTAATCCCAGCACTTTGGGAGGCCGAGGTGGGCGGATCGCTTGAGGTCAGGCATTCAAGACCGAGGTGGCCAACATGGTGAAACCCCATCTCTACCAAAAAAATATAAAAAAATTAGCTGGGTGTGGTGATGCGTGCCTGTGATCCCAACTACTTGGGAGGCTGAGGCAGGAGAATCACTTGAACCTGGGAGACGGAGGTTGCAGTGAGCTGAGATGGTGCCACCGTACTCCAGCCTGGGCCATAGAGCAAGACTCCGTCTCAAAAAAAAAAAAAAAGACTATTAAGGAAATTGAAAGAATATTTTATCCCTTTTCTGGATTCACTTCCTAATTCTTTAGTCTTTCTTATATATTTTATCCTTCTTATCATCATTAAATCAAGGTATTAAAAAATTTTAAAACCCTTCACTCCCACAAACATCCTTTCAAGTGCAAAAAGACACTGAATGATCATCTTTTAATTAAATTGCATTAATTCTTAGGAAACGCTTCCTTCTGCATTAACACACAATACATGAACACACAGTCCCTCATCTGTGAGCTCTTGAGAAACATGTTTTCATTATCAATTTCCTCCCATGTAAAATCAGAATAATAACAATCCCTACTTCATAAGGTTGTTGTGAGGATTATATCATCTTTGTAAAGTACTTAGAACAACACTGACTAAACACATATCAAAGAAATACATACACACACATGTGCACATGCACAAACACTCACAGTGAGTTCCAGTTTTGTGCATCTTCTAACATTTAGGCTGGCTCAATATTCAAAAGTTAATGCTTCAAATATCTCTGCCTGTCACCGCCATTAAAAAAAAACAACAACTGTATTCCCTGTCTTCACGAAAGGGAATGCCATCTATCCAGTAGCCCAGGCCAGAAACTCAAAAATCATCCAGCTAATCTTTCTTCATTACCCCACATCCACTCAATCACTAAGCTCTGTTTCTCAAATCTAATCCTTCCACCATCTCAACAGCCTCTCCCATCATGAGTGGCACATTTACCTCCAACACATGGTCGCCTGGCCTCCAACCTTGCTGTAGCAATAAGAGTCATTGTGTCAATTCCCTGATGAAATCCCTTCAATAGCTTTTGGTTGGTTTTATTTATTTAATTTGAGACAGAATTTCACTCCTGTTGCCCAGGCTAGAGTGCAATGGTGTGATCCCAGCTCACTGCAAACCTCTGCTTCCCAGGTTCAAGTGATTCTCCTGACTCAGCCTCCCAAGTAGCTGGGATTACAGGCACACACCACCACGCCCAGCTAATTTTTGTATTTTTAGTAGAGGGGGTTTCACCATGTTGGCCAGGCTGGTCTCAAACTCCTGACCTCAGGTGATCCGCCCACCTCAGCCTCCCAAAGTGCTGGGATTACAAGTGTGAGCCACCATGCCCAGCAGCTTTTGGTTGGTTTTAGGAAAAAGATAAATTACTTTTTAAAACCCCTGATGTTGGTACCTCTCTACCTCCCATGCCTTATCTCTCACATAGTTCCATTCCCAACCTTCTATCCCAACCTCTTCCCGTGATTCAGCCAAACAGCACATGTATGTTTCTCAAATGTACCCTGTGCTCTCTCATCTGCAGACATTCACACATGTCATCTCCTTTGCCTGCAATGCTCTTCCTCCTTCTGCTTGCCTGGTGAACATACTCATTCCCTTTAGGTCACAACGTATATATCATTTCTTCCAGGAAGCTTCTGAGGATTCCCCTGGCTTATGGTAGCCATCCTTCCAGCAGCCTGTGCCGCCTGTATCCTCCCACACAGCACACTTCGGATAGCTTGCGTACGGCCCCATCTTCTCCACTACACAGCCAGCTTCAGGAAAGCTTGCCTTGTCTGATATATTCACCATTGCAAATCCAACTAACATAATGCCTGGCACATAAACTGGTGCTCATATCATTTTTTTGATGAAAGAATTTGTGATGTTAATTTTTTACCACCAAAACGTGAGAGCCATAAATTTGTGACTAGTGTCATTCCCTTGGGGTCCAAACCCTCCCACATGAAAGAAGGCTTAAAATAATAGCAGAGACCATAGATCAATTCATCTGCAGACTCCTCTTCTCCAATTGCTGCCAACAAAACCATCTTTGTAATCCTTTAGGATCACTTTGATGGAGTACTAGGAGAGTGCCATTATGATTTTATAATTCTGTCTGTGTACTCAGAGTAATTACATGGTGCCTGGGACACACAAGCTAAACTAACATTGTTACAGGTTAAAATGTGGACATCTAACCAAGATTGTCTATGAATGGATATATTTATAATAAGTGTTGGATGGGTCTTTTGACACCAAATTTGATGCACACATCAAAATTGATCCACTAACTTGATGCTATAAGATAGAGAGAGCAAAGGGAATTCCTAAAGAGATGGAAAATTATCATTTGAATATGATTATACATAAGGAAATGAATTGGTGAAGCGGTGGAGAGGAATAGAGTTTCGGAATAAATAAGAGTCACTAAGTAAAAATGCTGAAAATTCCCAGTAGACAATCACATTGCTTGGATTGCATTATATACATGTTCATGCAGAGATGAACATGTAGATGAATGTGCCCTGTGCTCTCTCATCTGCAGACGTTCACACATGCCATCTCCTTTGCCTGCAATGCTCTTCCTCCTTCTGTTTGCCTGGTGAACATACTCATTCCCTTTAGGTCACAATGTATACATCATTCCTTCCAGGAAGCTTCTGAGGATTCCCCTGGCTTATGGTAGCCTAATAGGTGAGGAAAGTCAAAGTTAATCAATATTATTGATAAAATTAATTAAAATAGAAATAACACAAGGGAATAGCAATCTGATTAGAAGAAGTACCGGCTAGCGGAAGGGCAATTTAATTCAATTTTCATATACTATTTGACTAAATTAAATATTAGTCAGTTGAGCCTTCATGCAAAACAAGCTATGCATTTGCAAAAGCCATACTAACAGAATGTATTTGCTGTAGTAAAAATATTTTTAATTGACACTTCTTTTTTTAATCCAGCTTTTAAAAACTAGCATGGAAGATCTAAAACTAGCTAATGCAAAATTTGTAATACTGGAAATCTAGTTATCCACTCGTTTCTAAGAAAACAAGCCATGAATATGGAGTTTTATCACTTAGAATATAATTAACAAAATGCAACTTGAATGATATTAGATGACTTATTTTCTAAAAAAAAAATTTTGTTTTTTTGAGACAATGTCTCACTCTGTCGCCCAGACTGGAGTGCAGTGGCAGGATCTTGGCTCACCGCAACCTCCACCTCCCCGGCTCAAGCAATTCTCCTACCTCAGCCTCCCGAGTAGCTGGGACTACAGGCACGTACCACTATGCCTGGCTAATTTTTGCATTTTTGGTAGAGATAGGGTTTCATCATGTTGGCCAGGCTGGTCTCAAACTCCTGACCTCAAACGATCCACCTGCCTTGGCCTCCCAAAGTGCTGGGATGACAGGCGTGAGCCATGGAACCTGGCCATTATCTAAAAATTTCTAAAAGTTGGCAGCCCAGTTACATATGGCTATGTAATTTGAAATAGCAAAGATGGCCATAGAGGTTCACAGATCTTTGAAACACAAACATACTCACTGCTAGAAAGAGGGAAAAAATACAAAGCAGCAGAGATTGCCATTTGAGATTTCCTAGAGAGAACAGTTCCAGGTTAAACATTAGACACTGCAAATATAAAAAGTCAATTTATTTGTCTCTCTCCCACGATCCTTCACCACTTAAAAGTTCTACCCCCAGCTAAGAGGTGGGCTGAAATCAACTTTATTTCAACAAACCAAACATCCAAACTATGTAATCATGGGATGACATCTGAGTTTGATCTGGCTGGCTGCTTATAAAGGAGGCTTTCACAATGATACATGGGAATTTTCATTGTTGACCAAGCTAGACACTAGGGCATACTGCCTGCATATTTCCTGCTGAAATCAGCCAAGTGCAAATAGAGACCTACCTTTTTTTAAAAAAAAAAAATGCCTCCATCCATCTGTTTTGAACTATACTGAAACTTATTTTATTTTACACATAAAGATAGGACTATTAGCCTCCTACTTTCGAGACATGGACCTTTTTAGTTGTTTTCTGAGTTCGGTCATAGATGTAGGCTGAATTACATGTATACTTTCCCACAAACCTTAACCAGTACCACATTTGAGAGGACAGCTGGTTATTTAGGGAACAGTCTGGGGCCAGGGACCTAGTAGATCTAAGAGTGGGATTCAAGCCCAAGTCCTTGGCCTCATTAGCACAGTGTTCTCACCAAACTACCCTTCCAAGAAAAGTCCAAAGATTTATTGCTGCTCTAGATCTTTGAAACAAAGTTTCCCAAAATCCAAAAATACTTCCCCAACAATCAGACATGTAAGAGGGCGCACGCATGTGTGCACGCGTACACACACACACACACACAAACACACAGAGAATTTGTTCTACATTAAAGAGAAATAAAATTTAAAGTGTTTAACCCAATAAGTTTCTATATCCTAATCAAATGTGAAAGCATCCTCACAGATGACTTCATATACTGGTTTCTTATTACTGACTCCTTTGGGCTTTACTTCCCTTATTCCTTTAATGCATCTTTGCTGGACATACAGTTAGTGGGGGAAAACTGAAACATCTCTTTAGGTGGTTGCTATGTCCGTCCAGGGTGCTATGCTACCTTCAGTTCTAAATATGAAAACCATACGGCAAAACAGGAATATTCCTCAAACCCTTTACTTTCACAGTGTTGCTTCAAATTGTGTTACTTTTTTGCTTAAACAATATTGACTGTAAGTCAGAAAATCACAGCATCGCATGTTTATTTGCATGGAAGAACTCTCTGAAACAGGAAATCAAGACAGGAGGTGTCAATACGGACTGCTGCCAGTCACTCCGGCAGTCTTCTTGCACCAGCCACTTCTCCGTGGAGTGTGGCAGCTGGGCAGCGCTCCTTCTGGGCTTCCACAGGAAGGCTCTGACCCCGAAAACCTTAGATTAGAGCGCATTTTGAAATTTAAATAAGCCTCAATTCACCTCTGCCATCTTGGCATACAACCGAAATGTGCAAGTCAGAAGAATGTATTTCTATTTAAAATAGATAGAAAGCAGGTATCACTCTTTCTCCTTCAGTAAGTTTTTAGTAGTCTCCAATTAAAAAAAAAAAAGGGTTTTCTTTCAAACCAACTCAAATTCACCAATCTTCACACAATATCTTAATGTTTTTTACCCCCATTTTGTTACCCAGCTATGATGTAGAGGGCTGATTACCACATTCTTTGTAAGTATTGAAGCCAATTATTAATTGGGTCTAAATAATACTTTTCTTCCCCTGGATTAATAATCTCTGATATTACTTTCCAACATTTTTACTCTTTTCATGTATCTTACCTTTTAAAACTCTTTAGAGAGTCCTCCTACAATTACCTTGTTGTCATTTCTGATTGGCACGTGAGTCTTTTTATATCTGCAGGCCTAGAATGTAGTCCACTGCCTGGCTCTTGGTAAATATTCTTTTTTTTTTTTTTTTTTTGAGACAGAGTCTCTTTCTGTCGCCCATACTGCAGTGGTGTGATCTCAGCTCACTGCAAGCTCCGTCTCCCGGGTTCACACCATTCTCCTGCCTCAGCCTCCGGCGTGGCAGAGATTACAGGCGTCTGCCACCATGCCCAGCTAATTTTTTGTGTTTTTTTTAGTAGAGACGGGTTTCACCGTGTTAGCCAGGATGGTCTCGATCTCCTGACTTCGTGATCCACCCACCTCGGCCTCCCAAAGTGCTGGGATTACAGGCGTCAGCCACCGTGCCCCGCCTAAATATTCTTGAGGAAATGTAAAATCATGCATGAGCAGCATTCAATAAAAAGTTGAATACAATTTATTTGTCTTCCCTGGCTAGACATTACTATTGATTTAGACACATTTTTCTATTATTTATACCATATGGAAATATACTTTCATCAAGACGAGTTCCTCTGATTTCACCAGAAAACTCAATAAGCTCATTCTAATAATTATCCTGAAATATAAATCTAAACATTGATTTTCTCACAAGTGCACAAGTATCTAAACTGCCATCAACCAAAAGCTTGATATACCTTGGCAGAATTTCAGATCATGCACTGTACTACACAGTCCTAAATTTCACCTTCTGTATTTCTGAATCTCATGCAATATAAGAACAAGCTCCTCTCAGTTCAATAGGTGTTGCTGTTCAATTGCCAAAAGGATCTTATTTTGGTCAGAATTTAAAAGAAAATCTGTATTGAGAATAGTTTGATATTTCAACTAAGTGGTATTTTATTTATTTTTAATTGACAAAATTGTATGTATTTATGGAGTACAACATAATTTTTTGATATATGGGCACGCTGTGGGATGATTAAATCAAGCTAGTTAACATATCTATCACCTCACATATTTATCACTTTTTGTAGTAGGAACATTTAAAAACTCATTTAGCAATTTTCAAATATACGGTATTATTAATTATAATCAACATGCTATGCAATAGATCTCCAGAACATATCCCTCCTGTCAAACTGAATCTTTGTACCCTTTCATAAACATCTCCCCATTCCCCACCCTGTCCTCATCCCAAGCGCCAGTAACCACCATTTTTTTTTCTTCTATGAGTTTGACTTTTTAGATTCCACATGTGAGCTTCATTGCTACTCAGCCATAAAAACAAAAGAAATTCTGTCATTTGCAAAAACACAGATGAGCCTGGAGAACATTATGCTAAGTGAAATAAGTCAGGCAGAGAAAAAACAAGTGGTATTTTACACATATTTAGTAATTTAATATTTTATTACTTTTCCTATTTTTTTCTGAAAAGGTTAATAATTCTTTTCTAAACATTTATTAACTTTCTCTTTGCTTAGAACAGCTTATCACTATAAATAAAAAACTATACATGCTCTAATATGCATATCTGCTAATTTCACAGTTATTAAGCTTCCTAACATCATGCCTAAATGCCAAAGAGAGGATGCCAGATATTTGGAACAAATGCCATGATACATGTTCAAAGCTAAAGTAAAATCACCAATCTTTTAGCTTTTGATCAGAGCTGATTGAGAGTTATTGATGAATATTTTTCATTAGACTGATATTTCACTGGTTGACAGATACACTTCTGTCTTTCTTAGTCTTGTTCAAACACACATACACGCATCCATACACATCCATACACACAGTTCAATGCTGACAAAAGGGTAAAACAAGAAAGTGTGAAAGAAAAATGAAATATAGCAGTTGTTCTTTAGCAGAAAACCTTGGTAAGGTCATGAATACTTGGGAGTCACCTTGGTCACTGATGTGAACTGGCTTTCCTTAAAAGAATGCTTCTTAAGTAGCAGTTATATCAGAGTGGTGGGGGAAAAGGTATAAAATAAAAGTTTGGGGAGGGGCTTCAATATTTTTGGAAGAATTTGCAAAAGTGTGTTTTATTTTCTTTGATTCTTTCATAAATTAATAAACCTGACTAACATAATCCGGAAAGTTTTCCTCAAGTTAACATAATCTGGAAAGTTTTCCTCAAGTTAAAGAAAGAAATATTTAGATTACCTCTTCAGTAGTTCGCTCTTTGAAGCCTCTTGGGTCTCAAAATTCCCAAGCTAAAGGTTAGTGAGTTAAACCACATAATCACCATGCCTTCCTGCAATAAGGTTAATAATTAATGCCTGGAATCCCAATTAATATCTAGAATCCATTTAATGTCTAGAATCCCGTTCCCAACCAAAGCCTTTAAGTAGGAAATCCTATAGTATGTTTCATTAGAGATTATGCCTAATGATTAAACTGAAATGTGAAATTTTAATAATGATATTCAAAATCTTAAGGACATTCACCTGAGTAACTGACCTGAAGTACAACCCGGGTTCCCACAAACTTTTCAGCAAGGCAAAGTTTTGCAGTTTCACTCTCTTCCTTTCTCTCTTCCTCTCCTGGTACTTCTAAAATTCTCCACCCCACTAAGAAGAAACAAGGTTGATCCACGTTCTCCCTGAGAGAATATACCTATCTCAATGTATTCAAGAGGATTCAGAAGGATGGCTTATCCAAGAAGAAGGCTGCTACTCTCTGGGAAGATTTTCACTGTGGTCTTACTTTTGAGGCAGCATTTCTCTGAAGTACAGATAGCACACTTATTCACTGATAGATCCCTTTGAATTAGGTGAGCTTGACCTTCTGCTCTCTCTTCTTGCTTATATTTCTCTTGTGACTGGTTATTGAGAGTTATTGATGGATATCAATAGCAGATGAGGAAGAACTGATAAAAGAAGAGGAAACCCAAAACAGACTACTAAATTTTTTAAATATAAATGTGGAAAAGAGAGTAAAAATTATCTTTACTGCAAGACTGGGCATGGTGGCTCACACCTGTAATCCCAGCACTTTGGGAGGCCGAGCAGGTGGATCTCTTGAGGTCAGGAGTTTGAGACCAGCCTGGCCAACATGGTGAAACCCCATCTCAACTAATAATACAAAAATTAGCCAGGCGTGGTGGCACACACTTGTAGTCCCAGCTACTCAGGAGGCTGAGGCATAAGAACTGCTTGAACTTGGGAGGGGAGGTTGCAGTGAACAGAGATTGCTCAAAAGAGACTCTGTCTAAAAAAAAAAAAAAAAAATGTATTTACTGCTGACCCTGAGAACATGGATTTACAGAAACAAAAATGAACTTCCAACTTGTTCTGTATTAGAAATTAATGGAAATGTGGAGTAGGGGTAGTACAGAAAAGAGACAGGAAGAGGGAAAAAAGAAAGAAGTCACCAAGAAGCATGGCCACAGGCTGGAGCCTGAATTGGCATATAAGGCCAAGGTATTTTTAAGAGTGGGGAAGTACAACATCATGTAGAGCTGTCAACACTTCTACGTGACTTAGAATATCCACTCTAGTTCTACAAACCATTGATAAATTTCACCATACACAGTCCGGGCGTGGTGGTTCACGCCTGTACTCCCAGCACTTTGGGAGGCCAAGGTGGGTGGATCACCTGAGGTCAGGAGTTCGAGACCAGCCTAGCCAACATGACAAACCCCCATCTCTACTAAATATATAAATTTAGCCGGGTGTAGTGGCAGGTGTCTGTAGTCCCAGCTACTGGAGGCTAAGGCATGGAGAATCGCTTGAACGCGGGAGGTAGATGTTGCAGTGAGCCGAGATCATACCATTGCACTCCAGCTTGGGTGACAGAGCGAGACTCCATCTCAAAAAAAAAAAAAAAGATTCACCACACATAAACTTGTATGGGTGAGGTATTCTTGTGGACATCAATGAAAGAATTTCATCTCTGGGTTGATGAGGTCTTAAACAGACACAAACTGTAAGAGAACAAGAGAATCCATAACTCAACCAATACTTTAGAAGCAGAAACTCAGAAGAAGAGGTGGGCATGAGATAATAATACCTGTGGAATTCACATGTATCTTGGGAAGAAAAAGGCTAAGCAATGGAGATTCAAGCCTACTTATCCTGATCATAAGAGAGGGACAACCCCAGCTATTATTCAGGTTACAATGAGTAGACTAAGTGTTTATAACTTTAGGAAAATAGAAAAATACTTTCCAGGAATTAGGTGTTTATTACTCTTCAAAAATTAATCCCATTATCCTCTGACTCATTATCAATAATAAAGTTTAAAAGCTATTTAGCCCCCTAAATACAGCTCTTGAATCAAAGAAATCTGCCTTACACCAGATTCTGCAACAAAGACCAACATTGGTAGAGTTAAAAATCAAGAGATACCACACCAGGAAGGCTTAAGATTAGTAAGCTCCATGGACAGAAACCAGGAGCTTGGTTCCCAGCTAACAACCACAACGCCTAGCACATAACAGGCACACAATAAATATAGTCAGCCCTCATATGGATAAGTTCTGCACCCACAGATTCAACCAACCACAGACAAAGAAAGAAAGAAAAAGAAAAAAACTCAACATTTAAAAATGACATAAAAAATACAGTACAACAACTATTTACATAGCATTTACATTGCACTGGGTATTACTAGTAATCTAGAGATGATTTAAAGTATACGGGGGGATGTGCATAGGTTATATGCAAATATGATGACATTTTATATAAAGACTTGAGCGTCCTTGGATTTTGGTGTCCTCAGGGGGTACTGGAAACAATCCCTAGGACTGAGTATACTGAAGGATAACTCTACTTGTTGCATGAATAGCATTCATTCAATATAGCTGCAAATTATCCTACAGGGGCAATAAATGTATCAAACAAAGATTTAACTATAACTAATTTTACCCCTGAAACAAAATCTAAATAGGTGGTGGAAAAAAAGGCTTTTAAATTACTTGAGACGTCCTATCCATCATGCAAAAATCGGAATAACCAGGCATGTGCAAGGCAAATGGACATCTACTTAAATTGGCCCAAAAGGAAGATCAAAACCATGGCAAATTTAAACAATTCCCAGTCTTCAGCGTGGTGGGTACGATACAGGATTAGCAGACCTCCTAGAGACCACAATCTAACAGACAACTCTGATGTATATGTTAAAGCCTAATCAGAAGTCTAACAGGAACAAGCCTGCAGTCTGACAAAATCAGATGTGTGGACTTGGTGTAGCAAGTGCCAGCACTTAAAGAATCCATAAAATGACAGTGACAAAGAGGCAGGAGGGTTTGTAGGTTTGTAGGGTTTGGAATCTCATTGAAGGATTCTGAAGAGCTAAGGGAAACAGAGATCAGTTCTAGATTGGTTTCTGTTTTTAAGGTGAAATTAAAAGAATCAGGGATTAACCAGGGGTTGTATGAGATAAGAGAAGTTTATCCAATAAAGATCTCCGTAAAAGATGGGAATAGCAAAGCAAGTCTGAGAGCATCAGCAGTAAGAAAGCAGTCATCACTCAAAGAAGGGATCCTTGTGGCATTTTACAGCCCTGTGCCACCATGGGAGAAACAATGTTTCCTGTTAATTTTATAGTTGGCTTTAAATGTGTCTATCCTCTAAGCCTGGTTAATAGCAAAGCGACCTTTTCCTCTTTTCCATGCAAGCTGATTTTCACTCTTTCTGCTAGAGACTGATTTTGACTCTTACAGATATAATTATTAAATAATACCCTCTTAATCAAGTTGTAGAAAAAGACTTTCTCAAAACTTTGATCTAAGAGAAGCAGGCTAAAAAACAAAAGGGTCTATTATATTTTAAACCATTTCAAACTGGCTGACCCACAACCCTAATCCAATCTGCACTTCCTCAGTCCTCTGAGCACACCTCTAGCACAGCCACCTGCCACTAGATAATCATAGCTAGTTTACTTCTCTGTCTCTTCTCCTACACGCTGAACTCCCAAAGAGCAAGAGCAGTGAAGTATCCATTTTATGCCTAGTGCCTAGCACAGTTCCCAGCCCATCTAAGTGCTCCAAAGTCAAGCTGCCTGCTCTTCCCCTCTCTATATAACATGTACCAAAGCCCCTTACACAGTAAAACAGATTTGTACTCTAAATATCTATTTAAGAATGTCATTAATTCCACCTTGAATGGTTATGGAAAAAAAAGAATGTCATTATTTGAAGGATGTACTACATGGATGAGACATGAGGTGCAGGAATGAAGAGTGAGATCTACAATGCCAGGTCAAAGCAGAAGGACGCTTCCATTTGAAGGGTCCACAAATGGCTTTGCTGCAACATGATAAAGCCAGAAGCACTTGAACTAAATGGCTCAATGCAAACTATATTTACTAAATCGAATCACTTATGATGTAGTACTAGAGATGCTCATCTGTCTTTTCAGCAAGACTATAAATTCCTGGATGTGAGAGGTCATGCATGTCTTAATCATTTTGCTTACTCTGCCCACTGCATTGTATAGGCATTCAATAACATGGAAGCAGAGAGGACAAGGTAGGAAAACAAGAAGAGAGGAAGCAGAAATCACATTCAGTAAAGCAGAAGGGTAGGGGCAAGAGTAAGTGCTGGTAAAGGCATCACACATGCAGAATCAGAGGTCTCCAACTGCATGAGGACAGAGGACTCCCACAGGCTGCTTAAGGTAAAGAGGAAAGAAAGGAGCTGGTAAATCAACTTAGGACTTAGAAGATATAATGAGATGTGAAACTGGACTGAGAGGTGGGACACGAGGAAGCAAAGAGAGGATTGGGAAGTCATAAATACAAGGAGATGAGTTACCACGGTCAGAAGCTAAGAAAACTGTCTTCATTAAACCACCACTGACACAGGGAAAGTGGGAGGAAAAATGAAAATATAGCTATGCAAAATGACTCAGGAGCACAAAAAGAGTACAAGGGCAATCCAGGAGATCTGTTTATTTAGATATTAGTAAAAGCAGGACCTGGGTGTAGAGAGTCAGGGATAGGCTGCTCTGAGCCCATATGGTGCCCTGACTCTGAGGTGGGTGCAAACAACCACAGAGTCACCTTATTCCTCTTTCTTTTATTCTTCTGTTTCTTTATTCCCCCCCTCCACCCCATTACTTCCTGCTGTGCAAAGTGTTCACCAAATAGGACCCTATGCTTCTTTTGGGTTAGGTCCATTACAGTTCTGCCTTTCCCCAAACCCATCATGAGGCCATAAAGAGGAAGAGGAATAGCATTGGCTGTCCTTAAGTATCTCTTCAAAGATGAGCCTCATGGAACAAGCAAGCAGTGACACAAACCACAAAAGCATTTCCAATGTCAAGGTGACACGCACATTCTAGTTAGCATGACCTGAAGTCAATAAGCAGGTGCCATCTTGTCTAAATTATTAACTACGTAAAAGCAACAAATCGTACCCATGGTCTTGGGTGAGCTGCTCTGGAAAAGGAGAAGGAATAACTCCCAGCACTCACTGAAAGGGTGTCCCAGCCACAGTGGGTAGGACCCAGTGCCACACACTCTGCATGACTCCACTGAAATGCAAAGGTCTTTCCGTATAAAATGTACTCGGAATAATTAGAATTAGTATGTTTTAGGCAACCAGAAAAACTGAATTGTGTATACTGGGGTGGTGGCTTTTATTATGCAGGCCCATCACTGAAAACTCAAAATTACCTTAGATTTGAAGGAAATGCCCCCCATTTTGGTGAGTAAGTTATTTTACTCATCCCTCATAATGACACATTTTTGAATTTTTTTGTGCTACTACGGCACTGAAACTCCCCCTTGAAACAACTCTTAACCCTCCAATTTCATGAAGTATTCATGTTCTAAATCCACTTCAAAAATAATTCTCTATTGATCTCCCTTTATATATCATCATACTCCAAAGAATGCTCATCCTTAATAGCACTTAACAAGATGTGCAATCTTTTCTCAACACATTAATGTTGAAAGGAAATACCCACCTAAGATTTTTAAAGATCTATAATTTTTGTGAAATGCCAGTGTTCTACCAAGTCTGTTCTCAAATTTTGAGCATAGATCATCCTCCAACTTATCAACTTGTTGAACTCCAAAAGTTTGACTATAAATCAGTTGTGGGAAAGAGAAAGGTAGTTTCCCATACTAAAAATCACACAGTATAATTAGGTTCTCAGGGCAGCCTGCAAAACCCTTTTCCACTCGTGCTCTACCTAAAACAGCCGTAAAAATACCATAGAATTCAGAGTCAAAGTGATATTTCCAGAAGAAAAATGCTTTCATAGTTCCCTTTTGAGATGCCAAGAACCCAAAAACCTTTCTTTCTGGCAATGAAAGTAGGGGCTGCCTTTGCTTAAAGCAGACTTCGGAGGGTGAAGGTCATGGTGCGAACTTTGGGGAGGAAGGTATCTCCGGACTGGACATGTGAAGTGAGGGAAGTGAACACACTGCTTGTCCAGACCTGGAGGAAACTTTAGGACAGGAGGGCAGAGTGGGAGAGAGGACTCTAGCGAACAAGTGGGAAAGCTGGGCATGAGTGAGTGGAAGATGCGGGAAAGAGCATGGACAAGCAGTTTCTGAACACCTTTTCCCATCTCCTTTGCATTTCACAATTTCTTCTACTTCTCTCTTTCCATCTCCTTTAGAAGGGTTTATGGGTAAGGACTGAGAAGAAATAAAAGGCCACAGCAGGGCAGCAAGAGGAAAGGAGTAAGTGGGAGGGAGTCACCAGTAGGAAGCAGGATGAAAGAGATGCAGTCTTTCATTTGGAGACAAGGGGTAGGTTTTTCACACGTAAGGTGTGCATCCATAAATAAGGATCTTGTACGTTGGCTCATGTGTAAGTGCAAAATAAAGAGAAACAATGGTTACTGTCCCCAGAGTGGAAGAACAATAAGCAAATTAAATGAACTGGAGTTTCTGTGAATGCTTCTGTTATTAAAAATACTATTTTAAGGCCGGGCTTGGTGGCTCATGCCAGTAATCCCAGCACTTTGGGAGGCCAAGGCGGGCGGATCATGAGGTCAGGAGTTCAAGACCAGCCTGACCAACATGCTGAAACCCCGTCTCTACGAAAAACAAAAAAATTAGCCAGGTGTGGTGGCACGTGCCTGTAATCCCAGCTACTCAGGAGGCTGAGGCAGGAGAATCGCTTGAACCCAGGAGGTGGAGGTTGCAGTGAGCAGAGATCGAGCCACCGCACTCCAGCCTGGGTGACAGAAGGAGACTCTGTCTCAAAAAAAAATTTTTAAGAAAAAAGTATATTCGATAAATCTATTGCACACCTGTTGTCTTTTACTAGGGATAATGTCTTCAGCAAAGACACTGGAATCCAGAGTAAATATACTGTGCTCACATTTTTTGGGAATTCACACATCTCAAATTCTATTGCGGAAGTCCAGGTTTCTTCACCAATTTCATGCAAGGTAGTATACTTTAAACAGGTGTGTATCCTTTCATCAGAATCACATCCAGAACAAATTCACAACACTGCCCTTTATTACTACTCTACTTGAGACAGATATCAACTGGTGGTCATTCTTTAGCTATATCATAAGCACAACCTGAAAATTGTATACCTTTGTCTACTTTAAGCTACAAAGCCTATCACTTTCATGACTAATCAATTTGATGCACTGAAAATACAAGCCAAAATATTAATTATGTTAAATGATGTCTAGGAAGGGTACCTCTTTCTACAGATTATTTGAATAATGAATTTAACCTCATATTCTTCAAATACTGTACAATTAGAATTTTTTTCTTACGCAATATTTTTTCTAGAGGGGCCTATTTGGTCCTATTAGGCACAAACATGATGTGAGAGGAAATGGTGAGTGTTGAGGAGAGTCCCTCTGGGGCTCTGGACTACAAGTGAGAAAAACTACTTTTCCTGTTGGCCATTTCTTCATTGGCAGCACTTACCCATTGGAAGCACTTGTTTATTTGGGGTCTGAATGGGAAGAGTGGCTGTCTGGGCTGGTGAACAGAGGCCTATTCTGGATCTAACTACAATTTTCCCTGTCTCAGGCTGTGGCCCCAACTTTGTTTTTAATCTATTTTTTCATTCACAAACTAAAGAATACATCCTACAGAATACCTAAAACTCCACCAGGGTTTCAGAAGCTACGTGGAATGCGGTATTGTGAATATTTCACAAGCTCCTTTTCCAACCTTCACATAAGCTTTCACGAACTATGCTTAACTCGTACTTCGATAGAAGCTAAAACACAGGTGTTTTCCTGACATCACAAAGTGTCCAACGTGACATCTACTCATCTCCTTTGAAAGCCTCAGGGGCAGTTAGGGTGACCCTGGCTACATCAAACACTGAGTTATCAGAGGCACATTAGGATGAGGATGTAGCTTTGGTAAAGATTTATTTAACAACGCTCAGAATCTTCTCACTTGACAGGGAACCTTCCCATGGATTTCAATCAGAGAACATGTAGCTAGAAAAGAGAAAAATATGTTTTGTCTAATCTTGACATATCCTGCACATCTTAGAACATCTACTCAGTCTTTTCATTTCTGACAATGATTCAAAGAAAGAATTATCTTTGCCTTAAAACATATAATGTTCCATTTCTTTACATTAGAGAACTCATCAAAGTAGAATGCCGTCCAAATCTCTAAGACACACCATAAGAAACAAATGGCACCGTTATTTATTTGAATTTTCAAAATAATATTTGCATTACCTCTGTATTAACAACTTCCATTGGTCTTTTCTTGATTTCTCCTATGTCCAAGTAACTGAGGAAAAAACAAACAAACAATAAGAGTTGCTTTTATAGACTTTAAGTCAGTAATTTATTTTTAAAAATCATAAAAAAATAAAGCAACTCATAGGAAATTCTCAACCTTAAAGCAAAAACAAATAGCTACTAATGAAAAGCAATTACAATAGTAAAAACTGTTTGCAGTGTCACCAACCAGAGCTGACATATGTCTACCCTAAACTTCAAGAGAAGGAAAGTCTTAGAAATACATACATCTATTAGAGAACATTTTTCCCTCTTAATAGTTAGCTGCTTACTATATACACTATATTCTTACAGATTTGATTTTTTAAAAGAGTGGCTTATGTGCAAAGCTGCTTAACTGTTCCATTAAATACAGGCTTTAGGTCAAAGGAAGTACTGATAGCGTGCATTAGGGTAACAACTGGGAAAGGCTGAGAAATTATTGTCTCTATGAGAGCACCTTAATGATACAAAAACACTCACTCATGTGGGATGACTTTGGTAATTGGTTCAGCTAAGAAACAGATGGGTGGACTAGTTAACCTCTGGAGACCCCTATTATTCCATTACTATTTGCTCTAGATACTAACAGTGATCATTCTTTAGCTGTTACATAAGCACAACCTGAAAACTGTATACCTTTGTCAACTTCACGTGTAATATCACTGTGATGTGGTTCCAGTTTTAAATGGTCCCTAAACTGTGCTTCATACATAAAATGTGCTAAATAAACATTTTAATATTAAAAAGTATAAATCTAACATATAATTTATAATGATAGATCAATCCTTTACCCCAACTACTACAATTGCCAACTTGTCCCAAAAAAAGCTTATGTTAGAATTAATTTTGGCTATTGAAATGTTTTTATTGTTGCTGTTTGCCTTTTTGGATAAAATACTTTAGTTAATTCATATCTCTGGAAATTGTCATACAATGCCCCTATATAAAAGTAGTCATATTTTTAAAACAGTGCAAACACTCCGTCTTAGCAATAAAATGGGTCTTTTGTGGACCTGCAGGGGCTGAGTTTTGAAATAATACCAAAATATTCTGTCATGTGCAGGAAAGTGGTTTCAGATCCACAAGATTAATGCTGCAGAGTCAACTTCCAACAATGCACAGGGAAAGTTTTGGGGGAAATACTCTCTAGAATCCTCTGCTGTAAAATAAAGGTTGTGAATGTATGGTCTCACATTTGAAATAAATAAGGGTTTAATAGCTACCTGATGTTTAGTTATCGTTTCAAAAATATTAGAAAAATCTAAGTGAAAGCAATTCAAGCAGCGATTTGATCAGTTCCATTTGAAAAAGATGTTGCTGTCTTTCCCAACATTTAGGGTCTAAATGAAAGCCCACGAATTGTCCTCAATATCGTTTGGGCTTTCTTTTGTTCTGACAGTTTCTCCATTCTTTACATAAACTTATAAGTGCTAAGTTTCAAATATATTCAACATTCAAGTATTCTTGGCTTCTATCATTATAACCGTAGATACTACTTCTTTAACACAAATAAAATAGTCATCTGTCAGCATGGAAACCTAACCATGGACACTGTTATAACAAATTCAGTTTTTTGTGTATGAACTGAAAGCAAAAATAACATGCAAATCTCTTAGAGAGACTTGAGTACACTTTTTTATTTGGTGTGGAACTGTACCTTTTTTTTTTAATCTTGTGAGTTGGTAGGATCAAATAAACAAAAGAACATGAACTATAAAAGTGAGTCTACAATTTTCAGCCGTTCAGAGATTCTGAACCAGACTTTCATTTCCACGAAATTGCTTTAGACGGAAATATTTAATAAAAAATAAAGTATGTAACAAAAGGAACTGGTCATAGAGGTGTCTTATATTTATGTAACACTTTGGTGTTTACAAAACACACATCTATAGCATTTACTTTTTATCACAGCCCTGTGTGGTACAAATGATTATGCACCTTTTCTGTATTAAGAAACTGATTAGCTGAGTCAAGCGACTTGCCCAAGGACACAGAGCTGATGAGCAACTCAGTCTTCAGTCTCCTGGTTTTAAGTTTCCTTTAAGCATGCAATTTCATTTAGCCCTTTTTTACGAAGTTTAACAAAGCATGCTTAAGAAGCTTCAGGGGAGGGAAAAATAAATCCAAATATATCCCTCACTTTCCATGAAAAGAATGTCTGACGTAACAAAAAGTATAATAGAATACCTAGAACTCAATTTAAACAAATATAGGAGAAGAAGGATTACATTCAAGAATTTTAGTGATATTTTGAAAAATATTTCTATGTAGTTATAAGACTTTATTTGAATTTTAATTATTAAGAATCCAATAATGCTTATGAATTCATAAGCTTAGATTTATGGTCAAGGCTTTTTTCTATCCTGGGGCCCAAGATGAATTTCAATTAAAATGTTCTATTAAACTATGGAATACAGAGTTACCATGTGATCCAGCAATTTCACTCTTAGGTATACACCAAAGAGAAATGAAAACTTGTACACAAATATTCATAGATGCATTATTCATAATAGTTAAAATGTGAAACAACCCAAATATACATCAAACTGATAAATGGATAAGCATGGATATAAAAGGTAATATACCCAAATCATGGAATGTTATTCAACAATAAAAAGAATGAAGTATTGATGTATGATACAACATGGATGAACCTTGAAAATGTTACAGTAAGTGAAATAAGCCAGACATAAAGACCATATACCGTATGATTCCATTTATATGATATGTCCAGAATAGACAAATCCATAGATTCAGAAAATAGATTAGTGGTTTCCAGATGACAGGGGACAGAGGAAACTGGGAGGTACAAATGTTTTGGCGGGAGGGGTGGAAATGAACTACAATTAGTTGGTGGTGATGGTTGCACAACTCTGAATACACTGAAAGCCAATGAAATGGTTGGACTTCATGCCATGAGAAATCTATCTCAATAAAGCTGTAAAAAAAAAATGGAATGTAAAATTCTACCTGTCCTATAATGACCACCCCAACCAACTCTCAACTCACAATTCCCACATAACTTTATTTTTCTATGCACATATCCCTTTGTAGCTTGCATTAAAATTGTTAGTGTGCAGGTAGTCCAGTTAGACTGAAAGCTCCTAAAGACAAGGAATCATGCCTTGCTCATCTTTGTTCCCTGAACTGACGGTTTCTTAATTCACTGAACACTCACTATGAGTGAGCTCAAGAGCTGGGAATAAGGACCCCTGCCCTTGAAGGTCTAATCACGTTGCTGGAGACAGACAGTCGACAAATACAGTCAGCCAGTAAACTCTTCCTGCATTATGCTAACAGCATAAACATGCAGGGGGTGGGAGCAGGGTCACAAAAGTGAGTGTTGTCAATTCTACTTGGAATGAAAGGTTGAAATAATTTAAACAGTACGGGAAATGCAGAGCAATTTTCTCCTCTGGTGACAATATAGTGTCCAACACTTGGAAGTGATTTTTAAGAATGTTTATTTAAATTAAAAGGATGGATTTCCAAGGAAAAAAAATAAGGAAAAGGAAAGAAAAAACTGAACAGAAAACGCAAAAGTATCAGTTTGGTCACTAACCTTTGCAAGGATACCTTTTTATTTTCTTTAAGATTCCTGTTGTTTATACACAGATTTTAAGTTTACTCCTACTGCTGACCCAAGTGAAATTCCTTCTCCAGTCACAGTGTCAACCTCTACCCCCCAACTGCAACGAGAGTTTTGAGGGGCATCAATCACACCGAGAAGTCACAGCCCCTCAACCACTGAGGTGTGGGGGGGTAGGGATCTGCATTTCTTCATATCAACCCCACACTATAGGGCACCTAAATGGGTGGGCGGTGGGGGAGACCGACTCACTTGAGTTTCTTGAAGGCTTCCTGGCCTCCAGCCACGTAATTGCCCCCGCTCTGGATCTGGTCTAGCTTCCGGATTCGGTGGCCAGTCCGCGGGGTGTAGATGTTCCTGACGGCCCCAAAGGGTGCCTGAACGCCGCCGGTCACCTCCTTCAGGAAGACTTCGAAGCTGGACACCTTCTTCTCATGGATGACGACGCGGCGCCCCGCGTAGAAGGGGTCCCCGTTGCGGTACACAAGCACGCTCTTCACGACGGGCTGAGACAGGTGGCTGGACCTGGCGCTGCTGCCGCTCATCTTCCCCGCTGGCCGCCGCCTCAGCTCGCTGCTTCGCGTCGGGAGGCACCTCCGCTGTCCCAGCGGCCTCACCGCACCCAGGGCGCGGGATCGCCTCCTGAAACGAACGAGAAACTGACGAATCCACAGGTGAAAGAGAAGTAACGGCCGTGCGCCTAGGCGTCCACCCAGAGGAGACACTAGGAGCTTGCAGGACTCGGAGTAGACGCTCAAGTTTTTCACCGTGGCGTGCACAGCCAATCAGGACCCGCAGTGCGCGCACCACACCAGGTTCACCTGCTACGGGCAGAATCAAGGTGGACAGCTTCTGAGCAGGAGCCGGAAACGCGCGGGGCCTTCAAACAGGCACGCCTAGTGAGGGCAGGAGAGAGGAGGACGCACACACACACACACACACAAATATGGTGAAACCCAATTTCTTACATCATATCTGTGCTACCCTTTCCAAACAGCCTAATTTTTCTTTTCTCTCTTCTTGCACCTTTACCCCTCAATCTCCTGCTTGCTCCCAAATTAAAGCAATTAAGTTCCTGGATGTAGTTGCCCAGGTTTTTCTTTGCTGGAAGATAAATGTGCAAAGCCAGATGCGGTGGCTTACGCCTGCAAATTCCAGTACTTTGAGGGGCCCAGGCGGGAGGGCTGCCTAAGACCAGGAGTTCTAGACCAGCCTGGGAAACACAGGGAAAGCCCCCGTCTCTATAACGCGCCTGTGATCCCCTGAGGCAAGGAGTTTGAGACCAGCCTGACCCGGTCTCTACAATTAAAAAAAAAAAAAAAAAAAAAAAGTAGGTGGGCAGGGTATTCGCCTGTGGACCCAGCTATCTCGGAGGCTGAGGCGGGAGGATTGTTTGAGCCCAGGAGGTCGAGGCTGCAGTAACCTATGATTTTGCCACTGCACTCCAGCCTGGGCGACACAGCAAGACCCTGTCTTAGAAAATAAAATATATATTTTTTTTATATATATATTTTATATATTTTATTTTATATATATTTTATTTATTTATTTATATATTATATATTTTTATATATAATATATAAAATATATATTTTATATATTATATATAAATATATATATTATATTTATATATATATTTATATATTATATATAATATATATAATATATATGTATTATATATATTTATATATATAATATATTATATATTATATATATTATATATTATATATTTTATATATTATATATTATATATTATATATTATATATTTTATACATTATATATTATATATTATATATTTTATATATTATATATTTTATATTTTATATTTTATATATATTATATATTTTATATATCATATATATTATATATCATATATTTTTATATATTATATATTTTATATATTATATATTATATATATTATATATTTTATATATATTATATATTTTATATATTTTATATATTTTATATATATTTTATATATTTTATATATTATATATATTTTATATATTATATATTTTATATATTTTATATATTTTATATATTATATATAATATATATTTTATATTTTATATATATTATATATTTTATATTTTTTATATATATTATATATTTTATATTTTTATATATATTATATATTATATATATTTTATGTATATTATATATTATATATATTTTATATATTATATATTATATATATTTTATATATTATATATTATATATATTTATATATACTATATAGTATATATATTTATATATACTATATAATATATATTTTATATATAATATATTATATATATTTTATATATTATATATATTTTATATATATTTTTTATATATTTTATATATATTATATATTTTTATATATATATTTTATATATATTATATATATTCAGAGAGAGAAAGAGAGAATCCGGGTACCGTGACTCATGCCTGTAACCCCAGCACTTTGGGAAACTGAGGCAGGAGGCTCACTTGAGCCCGGGAGTTTGAGACCAACCTGAGCAGCACAGCAAGACCCCATCCCGGAAGGAGGGAGGGAAGGAAGGAAGGGAAAAATAACATTTAAGTGAATGAATGAATGAATGAGAAACAGAGCGAAGACTCGCGTGTCTAGGACCCCTAACCCCCTCCCCGATGATCAGCGCCGCCTGGCGGCGAAGCTCGGGTGCGCATCACGTGAAGACAGCAGGCAGCGCGCAAGCGGGGCCCTGGTTGGGGAGGCGGGCCCAGGAGGTGCCCTCCGCCGTAGTACCTACCGACACTCGCGTGCTGGAGAGGGGAGGGGAGCTCGGGCGCCGGCCGCGCGGGGGCGGGGCGGTGCGGCTCGGGTGGCACAGTGGTGAACTCTGCGGCGGCTGCGCGCCGCTCACGCTGTTCCTCCAGCTGCTGTTACCTCTGCGGGCCTCTCTCACCCAAGGGGAACGGAGTTGTTATTTCCCGCTGTTTCCATAGCAACCGCAGCCTCGCGCGGGGAGCGAGTCAGTGAACCAGGCCTGGCTTGCGCCTGGCTCCTTGGGATATGCTGGCTGCGTGGGGCAGAGGCGGAAGAACAGGGGTTTGGAGGAAGAGGGAGAAACAGGTGACATGATCATGCGCTCATTCATCATGCGCTCATTCAGTAAATGGACGCCTGCTGTGTGCAAGGCCCTGTGCTAGTTGGGGCCACGGCGGTGAAAAGGAAAACCTACAAAATTTTGAGTGCCTACCCTGTGCCAAGCTTTACGCCAGGGAAAGGATTTTTTCACTGCCGCAAGAAGGCTAAATGTCTGACTGGCTGTCCAAGAGCCCACATCTGTGCTATTTGTGTAGATTGTTAGCTCTGTCTGAGGAATAACAGGGAGAGGAGTTGTGAGAATAGTAACAGCCCCAGTAAAGAGTCGCTTTGTCCAGTCCAGTCTGGGACATACATATTGTGGCACCAGGAAAATGTTTAAAGAGTTGAAATTTTGCAGCTCATCTCTGCCAGTGTTTCCTTCATTCCTCCTAAGACTTTTCTACCATGTGTCATGTCCAAATTACTGGGTGTTCCTAACTCATCATGTACGAATAAAAAGAACTGCCATTAATTGAACACTATAACCATGGACCAGGCATTATGTAAGGCACTTTATGTAGATTATCTAATATTCACAATAACCTTCAGAGGTAAATATTATTCTTTCCTCAGATGAGGAAACTGAAGGGTAGAGAAATCAAAGACATTTACCTCAGGTCACACACACAGGAATTCAAACCCATTCTAAGGATTAGAAAACGAAAGAGAGAGAGAGAGTTCAAACCCAGTTCTGTCTTATTCCACAAGCTCCATAACCAGTCATATCACTGTGAAAGATGAATGTGTGGGACATTGCAATCTGGAGAGAAACTTTTTTTTTCCTTCGAGATTTCTGTTCTGAAGAAATATTTTTATTAAAGCCATGTAATACATTAATGCTTTGAAAGTTAACAGTTTTCAAACGCAGGAACAAAAAACCAAATACCCGCATGTTCTCACATATAAGTAGGAGTTAAATGAGGAGAACTCACGGACACAAAGAAGGGAACAACAGATACTGGGGCCTACTTGAGGGTGGAGCGTGGGAGGAGGGAGAGGAGCAGAAAAAATAACTGTTGAGTATCAGGCTTAGTACCTGGGTGATGAAATAATCTGTACAACAAACCTCCGTGACACGAGTTACCTATATAACAAATCTGCACATGTACCCCTGAACCTAAAATGAAAGTTAAAAAAAAAAAAAGTTAACAAATTTCAAAAGAAGGCCAAAGAGAACAATACAGGGAGGAAATAGACAAGGGAAATTTTGTGAGCTGCTTGTGGAGAATGCACAGGTTGAGGGATGGATGGGGAAAATACCTGTGAAAATGTGCTACCACATAGGTGAGTAAGACAGAATACTTGTTATGTGGAAATGGAAGGCAATCAATTAAGTAGCCCCCTCCCCAAACAACCTAAAATTCCCTATCATCTATATTAGCCCAGTGTAAAATGAAAATGTGGCCTCTTATTCAAAAATTAAGAATTTTATGTTAGCAACAGCAGAGCATTAAACCAATCATGGGGTCCTTCTTGATGTGGGGACCCTGACGCCAGCCCATGAAGCTGCCCGCATCAAGTCTATGCCTCCCACTGCGGTATCTCCAACCCGGATGTGTCTCCTGAGCTTAGATTCATTTATCCAGATGTCTCTTGGATATGATGTGGTGATAAGTGTTTAACTGCTGGCTTTTAGGAGGGAAGAGAAGGCCTTAATTCATAGCATTTGCCAATCTCTGTAGTTTACTCCAAATATGGCCAATTTCCAGATGCCAGTCTAACATCACTGAAGCCATGAAATGTGCAGTAGCAAGTCATTGTATGGTATTTCCACCATGCAGGCACAGCAGACTTGTGTAACTTTAAGAGCACAGATAGTAGTAAAATGTAGATGGAGATGAGTTTTGAGTATTTATTATCTTTGTTTTCAATGTAATTTATTTAATTGTATATTTATACAATTATTTTTTATTTAATTGCATATTTATACAATTTTTATTTAATTGTATATTTATACAATTATTTTTTATTTAATTGTATGTTTATACAATTATTTTTTATTTAATTGTATGTTGATACAATTATTTTTTATTTAATTGTATGTTGATACAATTATTTTTTATTTAATTGTATGTTTATACAATTATTTTTTATTTAATTGTATATTTATACAATTATTTTTTATTTAATTGTATATTTATACAATTATTTTTTATTTAATTGTATATTTATACAATTTTTTTATTTAATTGTATATTTATACAATTATTTTTTATTTAATTGTATATTTATACAATTATTTTTTATTTAATCGTATATTTATAAAATTACTTTTTAACAATGCCCATGTTTACAATTCCTGAGAATTTAACAGTTGCCTCACACGCCAGAACAAGGCAGTTCCAGGCACACAATTCTCCTGACAGCTTCTCTAGACCATCTAAAAGGCAGCCTAGACTCGAAACGTTCACGGGATCTCAAGTTTTCCTCAAAATCACTTTTCCTATGTTTCCTGTCTCCACAAATGGACCCTCATCTACTCATTTGCTCAAAGCTAGAACATATACATTTCTCTTCTTCACAGAACACATTTAACTGTGGCAGAGGAACAACAAAAACAGTCAGATATTTGCAATCTCTCTCCCTGCTCCAGATGCTTGCTGAATTGGTTTTGGAGCTCTTCTCTCTTGTGCAAAGTCCGAACACTGAGCAAAGTGAGAAGGCTTTAAGAAGCCAGAAAGGTTAGATAAACCCTGATCACGAAGAGCTGAGGTAGAATGAGGAGCGGAATGCTAAGGAATGAGGAGCTTCAGATGGATGCAAGGGAATGTTTGAGAACACACATAGGAAAGGAGGGGAGAGTTTTTGTATTTTAGCTTCTTCCTAAGTATATGAAAGGCATTGAGAATGAGAGAGATGGCCAAAGAAGATTCTTAAAGAAGTGTTGCTGTGCATTAAAAATAATACCACCAGCAGGGCACGGTGGCTCAAGCCTGTAATCCCAGCACTTTGAGATGCTGAGGCAGGTGGATTGCTTGAGCCCAGCAGTTTGAGACCAGCCTGGCCAACATGGCAAAACCCCATCTCTAAAAAAACAAAAAACTAAAAAAATTATCAGGGCATAGTGGCATGCTCCTGTAGTCCCAGCTACTCAGGAGACTGAGGTGGGAGAATCATCAGAGCCTGGGAAGTTGAGGCTGCAGTGAGCCATGCTCATGCCGTTACACTGCAGCCTGGGTAACAGAATAAGACCCTGTCTCAAAAAATCAAAAAGAAAAATAATAATACCAACAAGGCATTTGCTGTTTCCTCAAGAGCCTAGATCTCTGAAATGCTTTCAATTATATATTTCTGCTTAAGCAATATTTATTTTGATGTAATACTGTGCTAAAACCAGACCACATTGCACCCTAGGTTTATAAGGGCTCTTCAACTAATCACCAAGTTCTATCAATTCTATCTCTCAAATATTTTTTAAATCCATCCACTTATCTCCAAACCCATTTCCACATTTTGAATTCAAGGCATCATCATCCCCTAAGAGGTAACCCTGTCTCCAGTTTGCTTCCCTATTATCCATTCTCCACAGAACAGTCATCCTGAAAGGTCGCTGAAAACACAGATCTATCCATTTCACTTTCCAGCTTAAAATTCTTCAAATCCTTATCATTTCTCTTACAGTGAAATCCAATATCATCAACTTTGATGACAAAGCCATAAATATACTACTCTTGTTGCTTTAGTTTCCATCTCTTCTCACGCAAATCTTCCTATGGCTCTCCAAAGTGAAGACTTGTACCATCGCTTCCTTTAAAATCCCTTTGGATGTACTTTACAGCCCCTTATCCCCCCATTCCTATTTATTTGGCTCCTTCCAACTCCCTCTATAGATCAAGTTCCAACTTAAATGTCAGTTCCCCAGGAAATCTTCTCTACCCCACTCCCCAGATCAGGATAAACCCCCAACATATTACATATTTTTTCTCTATAGGTTTTATCAATTATAAGTATAAATTTTTAAATGTTTATTTATTTTTAAAAGATGGGATCTCACTATGTTGCCCAGGCTGGAGAGCAGTGGTTACTCAAAGGCATGAGCATAACATACTGCAGCCTTGACCTCATAGGCTCAGGTGATCCTCCCACCTCAGCCTCCCAAGTAGGTAGGACTACAGGTACAAGTCACCATGCCTGGCTACGTAATTACAAATCTTCATATAATTATATGTTTAATTGTAAAGCTTTATATAATTACATGTTTAATCTTTGTAGAGTTAAATGTTTATATGTATAAATTCCCTAAGGAAAAGGATTGTGTTCATTTTATTCATCAATGTCTTACTAGTACCTAGCACAGAGGCTGGAACATAGTAAGTATTAAATAATTATTTCATGAATGCATAAACAAAAGGAAAATATATTAAGTTTAAAAATTAACCTAAAACTTCAAAAACTGGAAAATGCTCCTGTAGAAGGAAACATATTTTCAGATCAGCAAAAAAAAAAAAAGTACAGTCCTTGACAACCGAAGAGATTCTAAGACTAATTGCTTAGCTTCCACAGAAAATGCACAGCCACGTGCAGAGGTGTGCACCTACACAGGAAACCAAGCTCTCTTAGCCAGTATTGAGTTTTAATATCCTTTCAAGGCAACAGAGATATGTATTAAATGTGAGACATATTCTGCTAGTTTTTCCTTAAAAAGTGTCACCTTTACAATTGGTTTTCACATCTTAGCCTCAAAAAGAACAGGAACTTGAGGGCCTTGAGACTGTTTCTTGGACCTACACATGGGTAACGGTGACTCTCTGACAAGCCTCTTGTCAGGTGAATTCAATTAGTTCTGGTAATGGCTAACCTCTCCTTCAAATCCACGTGCTAGGTGGCCTACCCCAGTTGGCTATATTAACTGGCTAACTCATTGGCCAATATTGACTATAAGGGGTATCATCCTTAACTCCTATCCAGAACCAAATCCTGTAGCTTCCATTTGCCTAACATACCTTAATCCTTCCTCTACTGCTCATCCTCATTGCCTCACCTAGGTTTAGAGCTTTGTTTGTTTGTTTTGGAACAGAGATTTGCTCGTCACCCAGGTTGGAGTGCAACGGCATGATCTCGGCTTACTGCAACCTCTGCCTCTCGGGTTCAAGCAGTTCTCCTGCCTCAGCTTCCTGAGTAGCTGGGATTACAGGTGCCTGGCACCATGCCAATCTAATTTTTGTATTTTTAGTAGAGACAGGGTTTCACCATGTTGGCCAAGCTGGTCTCAAACTCCTGACCTCAGGTGATCCACCTGCCTCGGCCTCCCAAAATGCTGGGATTACAGGCGTAAGCCACCACATCCAGCCTAAAAATGCTTGTTCCATACATTGCCATGTAACTAACGAGTTAAGAACAATAAAAAGGCTTGCTTTAGCAGCACATATACTAAAACTGGAATGATACAGATAAGATTAGCATAAGTTCCTGTGTAAGGATGACATGCAAATAAATGAAGCATTCCAAATTTTTTTCCAAAAGAAAAAAAAGAAAAGAATAATAAAAAGTAATAGATTGTTGTTGTTGTTTTTGTTGTTGTTGTTGTTGTTTTGAGACGGAGAGTCTCACTCTGTCACCCAGGCTGGAAAGCAGTGGCGTGATCTCGGCTCACTGCAACCTCCGCCTCCTGGGTTCAAGCAATTCTTCCACCTCAGCCTCCCGAGTAGCTGGGATGACAGGTGCACGCCACCAAGCCTGGCTAATTTTTGTATTTTTAGTAGAGACGGGCTTTCACCATGTTGGCCAGGCTGGTCTCAAACTCCTGACCTCAGGTGATCATCCTGCTTCAGCCTCCCAAAGTGCTTGGATTATAGGTGTAAGCCACTTCTCCCAGCCAGAAGTAATCATTTACTACTTTCTTTATTTCCACTTAGAATGTGAGATGAGTAGAAACAATCTCCTAAAACCAGAAACATTAAACTTTATTTTATATAAAATCATAAGTGGATCCTGAAGAAAACCATAAAGTGAATTCTGAAGAAAACCATAGTTGTTTATCTTCAAATTCTACATAAACCAAATACCGTATTTCTCCAAGTTACAATTTTATTTCTCTGAAAAACATATACAATTTTATGTTGACGGATTTGATAGCAGTGAAAAAACTTTCAGTTTACTAGAATGAGACCTGCAAACCCCTATAAAGTAGCAAGTTTAGAGGCCGAGATGAAGGAAAGTTGGGAAAACTCAAACCAAGAGCTTCTATTTTCTCTGTGCTATAGAAGAAGGTATCTTCCATGGGTCTTCTAGCAGTTAGTATCATGGTAAACATTAAGTGTTTAATAAATGTTTGTTAAATGAATTAATCTGAGCATGAAGGGTGGTGTGGACATGCAGGAAGAAGGGATGCACCTTGAGGAGCGTTGAACAGCTGCTGTGATGTGTCCAGTGTTGTATTAGAAACCATTATGGAGTATATATGCTCATATGTGGTTTCTGCCCTTAGTGCTTTTTAAAGAGAATATTGGTAGACTTTCATTTCTGACAACATGGTGAGCTAAATATCTTGGATCACTCTCCTTCTAAAGCAATCCAAAATGCTGGATCTTTTTTTATAAAATCTAAATCTTTTTTTTTTTCTTTAGAAACAGGGCCTCCCTCTGTCACCCAGGTTGTGGCATGATCATAGCTCACTGCAACTTCTAGGCTTAAGCAATCCTCCTGCCCCAGCCTCCTTAGTAGCTAGGATTACAGGTGTGCACCACTACAACCGGCTAATTTTTTTAAATGTTGTGGAGGGATGGGGGTCTCTCTGTGTTGCCCAGGCTGGTCTTGAACTCCTGGTCTCAAGCAATCCCCCCATCTTGGCCTCTCAAAGTGCTGGAATTACAGCCATGAGACACCATGCCTGGCTAAATGTCTAAACCTTTTTAAATGCATTGCCAATTCGGCAAGAATGAAAAGAATTCAGAAAAGCCAAAACTTGGGTAATAACAGAAATCCTGGGAAGTAAGCAAGCACTAAAATCAGCTTTAAGTATACCTGCCCATGCCCTGGTGACCTGGAACTGTTATTTTGATGGCTACACAGGGACAGAGACACAAGAGATAGGCCTAGGGCCTCCCAAGGTGAAGATTCAGAGAGAAGTTCCCCATGCAAATATGGAACCTCAAAGAGTTAGACCATAAATGTAATGGTGAATAAGAAATTAGCCCTCTTTGCAGAGCAATTACGGCAAGAAGATATGCTTATTTTCCCATTTGTGCTAAAGGCCGAGGTGGGAGGAAGGGATCACAGAATTTCATCCTGATGCTTCATAATTACATCAGTTGACCCCTAGATAGTTATGGAACCTAATTAACTCTGTCTTTGTGATCTACAAAATGTGAGGCAAAGAATTAAATGTAAAGTGATCCTGGATTGGAATTGTTCTCAGATGGCTGACAGAAACCAACACAAATTCTCTCTGGAGGAACACAGCTTCTACTCAATTTACAGATAATCTCCATATATAATGTTCCAAGAAACATGAATATACAGTAAAAAAACCTAAAACTTATAAGAAAACAAATGATAAATGGGAATCTGAAGGAACAAGAGACAGAAGAATCAGACCTACAAAAATTTCAGATACAGGAATTATCACAGGCAGAATGTAAAATAATTATGTTTACTATATTTAAAGAAAAAAAGCGATTGAAAGTATAAGAACAAAAGACTTTTAAAATGACCAAAGGTTTTTTTAAAAAATTGTGAAGCAGAATCTCTAGAATTGAAAAACATAATTAAAATTTAAAACTCAATGAAGACTTTAAATAGCAGATTAGTCACATCCAAAGAGAGAATTATTAAACTAAAACAGTATATTCAGATAAGTTATCCTTGCATCTCATTTCTGGACTTCAGTTAAAAAAAAAGAAAAAAATAACAAATAAGTTATCCAGAAGACAGGACAGAGAGAGAATAGATGAAAAATATGAAAGAAGGGTTAGGAGCTAAAGTAAGACTATTTACTATATCTTTAATCAAAATTCCAGAAGGAGACACAAAGAGAATGAAGCAGAGGCATTAACTAAAGTTTTCTGTAATTATTGAAAGGTTCAAATATTCATATTCAGGGAGTCAAATGAATCTTAAGAAGAAAAAAAAACAAAGAATAACCACCTTAGGATATCGTAGTGATTCTGCGATACAAAATAGGCACATAACAAAAAATCAAAAGAAATTAGTGGGAAAACACGTATTACCCACAAAGAAAAGACAATTCAATTAATGACTGATTTCTCAAAAGGAACATTACAAACCAGAAAACAGTGGACTAAGATCTTCAATGTGTTTTGAAAATAGTTGTCAATATGGAATTTGTGCCTGGCAAAATTATCTTTCTAAAGAATGAGTACAAAATGAGAGCGTTTACCACCAACAGAAGTTCATTAAAGGAAATTTTAAGAACTTGGCTCAGACAGAAAAAAAAAAAATTGACGAATGATAGTCTGAGGGGCAAGAAGGAATGGTGAATGAAGACACTGGTAACTATGTGATAAATATTTTAAATGACTACAGGAAACAATAATGACACTGTCTGATTGTGGAATGTATGATTCATATAGAACTAGAATACTAGAAAATAATAGAATGTAAGCCAGGCGTGGCTGTAATCCCAAGATTTTGGGAGGCTGAGGCGGGCGGATCATTTGAAGTCAAGAGTTCAAGACAAGCTTGGCCAACATGGCGAAACCCCGTCTCTACTAAAAATACAAAAATTAGCTGGGTGCAGTGGCGCGTGCCTGTAATCCCAGCTACTCAGTAGGCTGAGGCAGGAGAATTGCTTGAACCCGGGAGGTGGAGGTTGCAGTGAGCCAAGATCATGCCACTGCACTCCAGCCTGGGAGAAAGAGTAAGACTCTGTCTCAAAAAAAAAAAAAAAAAAAACCAAAAAGAGAATAACAGAAATAAATGGGGAAAAGAGTAATCAAAATGTAAGCATTATAAGCCCCTTTTGTTTGTTTTTGTGGAGTAAGATAAATATAATAACTTGTGATATTGTTATGTATGCATGTTAAAATGTATAGGGTAACCATTGTTTTAAAAAATAGACATTCTGAGCCCGGGCTCAGTGGCTTATGCCTGTAATCCCAGCACTTTGAGAGGCTGAGGCAGGCAGATCACCTGAGGTCAGGAGCTCAAGACCAGCCTGGCCAACATGGTGATACCCCGTCTTTACTAAAAGTACAAAAAATTAGCCATGCATGGTGGTGCACACCTGTAATCCCAGCTACTCAGGAGGCTGAGGCAAGAGAATCGCTTGAACCTGGGAGGTGGAGGTTGCAGTGAGCCGAGATCGCGCCGCTGCACTCAGCCTGGGTGACAGAGCGGGACTCCGTCTCAAAAAAAAAAATAGACATACTGAGTGTAACGGCCAAACTGATAGATCAGGGAAAATGAAATAAAGAAAAAGAGTATTCATCTAAAAGAAAGAGTTTTTAAACAGCATGACACAAAGAAAGCACAAAATTATGTGATAAAAATCTAATTAAGGCTAGGAGCAGTGGCTCATGCCTATATTCCAGCACTTTGGGAGGCTGAGGTGGGAAGATCACTTAAGCTTAGGAGTTTGAGACTAGCCTGGGCAATGTGGCAAGACTCTGTCTCTACCAAAATTACAAAAAAAATAGCCGGGCATGGTGGTGCATGCCTGTGGTCCCAGCTACTCAGGAGGCTGAGGTGGGAGGATCTCTTGAGCAGGGGACTGGGGGAGGCTGCAGTGAGCTGAGATCACACCACTGCCCTGCAGCCTGAGTGGCAGAGCAAGACCCTGTCTCAAAAAGAAAAAAAAAATCTAATTAGGTCATTAATCACAATAAATAAATGGGTTAAATGCATCAAGTGAAAGAAAAAGGTTGTCATACGGAAGGAAAACCCCAGCTCTGTCCTGTTTACAAGGGACACACCAAATACTAATGGATATAGAGGCTACTGTTTCACATCCACTAGGATGGCTATAATAGTTTAAAAGAAAAAAATAAGTCTTGGTGGGAATGTGGAGAAATTTGAACCCTCATACATTACTGGTGGGAATGTAAAATGGCGCAGCCTCTTTGGAAACAGTTGGCAACTCCTCAAAAAGAGATAGGATATCATATACCCAGCTATTCCATTCCTAAGCATATACCCAAGAGAATTAAAAACATATGTTCACATACAGGCCAGGCACAGTGGCTCATGCCTGTAATCCCAGCACTTTGGGAGGCCAAGGCAGGAGGATCACTTGAGGTCAGGAGTCCAAGACCAGCCTGGCCAACATTGTGAAACCCCATCCCTACAAAAAATACAAAAAAATTAGCCAGGTGTGGTGGCACGCACCTGTAGTTCCAGCTACTTGAGGGGCTGAGGCAAGAGGATTGCTCGGGCCTGGGAGATCAAGGCTGTAGCAAGCTGTTTTTATGCAACTGCACTCTAGCCCCTGTGGCAAAGAGAGACCCTGTCTCAAAAAAATAAAAATAAAAACGTAGATTCGCATACAAAAAAACTGTGTATAACATGTTAAAAAACATGTTGACATATGTTATACATGAATGTTCATAGAAGCATTATTCATAATAGCCAAAAAGTAGAAACAACTCATGTGTCCATCAATTGATGAATGGTTAGAGCACAAAATGCGGTAAATCCATGCCATGGAATATTAGTCAGCCATAAATACAGAAGGAAAAAAACCCTACAAACTGGAAGGTGATATTAGCAAACTGTACAACCAATTAAGGACTATTACTGAGGATATATAAAGAACACGCCTGTAATCCCAGCACTATGGGAGGCCGAGGCAGGTGGATCACCTGAGGTCAGGAGTTCAAGACCAGTCTAGCCAACATAGTGAAACCCTGTCTCTACTAAAAATACAAAAAATTAGCTGGGTGTGGCGGTGTGTGCCTGCAATCCCACCTACTCAGGAGGCTGAGGCGGGAGAATCGTGTGAACCCAGGAGGCGGAGGTTGCAGTGAGCCGAGATCGCGCCATTGCACTCCAGCCTGGGCGACAGTGTGACACTCCATCTCAAAAAAAAAAAAAAAAAGAAAAGAAAAGAAAAAAAAGAACTAGGAGGCTGGATGCCGTGGCTCACACCTGTAATCCCAGCACTTTGGGAAGCCAAGGCAGGTGGATTGTTTGAGCTCAGGAATTCAAGAGCAGCCTGGGCAACAAGGTGAAACCCTGTCTCTACAAAAAAATACAGAAAAAATTAGCCGGGTGTGGTGGCACATGCCTGTAGCCTAGGCTACTTGGGAAGCTGAGGTGGGAGGCTCACTTGAGACTGGGAGGCAGAGGTTGCAGTGTGCTGAGACTGCTACTGCACTCCGGCCTGGGTGACAGAGTGAGACCTCATCTGAAAAAAAAATTGACAAATGGGATCTAATTAAACTAAAGAGCTTCTGCACAGCAAAAGATACTACCATCAGAGTGAACAGGCAACCTACAGAATGGGAGAAAATTTTCGCAACCTACTCATCTGACAAAGGGCTAATATCCAGAATCTACAACGAACTCAAACAAATTTACAAGAAAAAAACAAACAACCATCAAAAAGTGGGCGAAGGATATGAACAGACACTTCTCAAAAGAAGACATTTATGCAGCCAAAAGACACATGAAAAAATGCTCATCATCACTGGCCATCAGAGAAACACAAATCAAAACTGCAATGAGATACCATCTCACACCAGTTAGAATTGCGATCATTAAAAAGGAAACAACAGGTGCTGGAGAGGATGTGGAGAAATAGGAACACTTTTACACTGTTGGTGGGACTATAAACTAGTTCAACCATTGTGGAAGTCAGTGTGGCAATTCCTCAGGGATCTAGAACTAGAAATACCATTTGACCCAGCCATCCCATTGCTGGGTATATACCCAAAGGATTATAGGCCGGGCGCGGTGGCTCACGCCTGTAATCCCAGCACTTTGGGAGGCCGAGGCGGGTGGATCACGAGGTCAGGAGATTGAGACCATCCTGGCTAACACGGTGAAACCCCTCTCTACTAAAAACACAAAAAATTAGCCAGGCATGGTGCGGGCGTCTGTAGTCCCAGCTACTCGGGAGGCTGAGGCAGGAGAATGGCGTGAACCCGGGAGGCGGAGCTTGTAGTGAGCCGAGATGGCGCCACTGCACTCCAGCCTCGGAGAGAAAGCAAGTCTCCGTCTCAAAAAAAAAAAAGGTGTAAATCATGCTGCTATAAAGACACATGCACAGGTATGTTTATAGCGGCACTATTCACAATAGCAAAGACTTAGAACCAACCCAAATGTCCAACAATGACAGACTGGATTAAGAAAATGTGGCACATATACACCATGGAATACTGTGCAGCCATAAAAAATGATGAGTTCATGTCCCTTGTAGGGACATGGATGAAGCTGGAAACCATCATTCTCAGCAAACTATCGCAAGGACAAAAAACCAAACACCGCATGTTCTCACTCATAGATGGGAACTGAACAATGAGAACACTTGGACACAGGAAGGGGAACATCACACACCGGGGCCAGTCGTGGGGTGGGGAGAGGGGGGAGGGATAGCATTAGGAGATATACCTAATGTTAAAAGACAAGTTAATGGGTGCAGCACACCAACATGGCACATGTATACATATGTAACAAACCTGCACGTTGTGCACATGTACCCTAAAACTTAAAGTATAATAAAAAAATAAAACAAAAAAAAGAAAAAAACATTTGAATAGGCTCTTAACAAAAGAAGTAATCTAAATAACCAATAAACATATGAAAAGATGTTCACTTCATTAGAAATCAGAGAAATTCAAACTAAAACCTCCAATATTTGCCACAGGATTGACAAAAATTAAGAAATAACAAACCTAGTTCATCAAGAATGCAGAAAAACAGGAACTCTCATCCACCACTGGTGAAACTATAAATAGGGACAACCACATTGGAAATTATTTGGCATGTCCTATAAAGTTGAATATGTGTGCACCCTCAATCCCAACAATTCTTCTACTTTGTACATATCCTAGGGAAACTCCTGCACATGTGCATCAGGAGACATCTACAACAATGTTTGTAGAAGCATTCACATAAATGGAAAAAAACAATCCTGATGTGGCACCACCATAGAACGGATTAATAAATAATGATACACTAATGCAATGGAATACCATGCAGCAGTGAAAATCAACTCAGCAGCATGCGTCAACATGGAAGACTCTTACAAACACAATGTTGAACCAATTAAGCAAGACACAGAAGAGTTCACATACTATAATCCCACTAGTATAAAATTCAAATGCCCACAGAACTAAATAAGTCACTGTTTAAGGATCCAAAGTGGTGAGTAAGGAACAGTTATAGATACGCATTCAGGATAGTGGTGACCCATCGGGATGTAGACTGGGGAATAAAGGGGGTGGGACCTAGCGGGAGCACATGGGGTTACTGCAGGAAAATGGTAATCTCTCATTCTTGAGCCAGGGGGAGTGGTACGTCTTTGTATTATTGTTAATGCTTTATGCTGTTCACATACGTTTACAAATATTCCTGTTACGTATTATTTAGTAACAATTTTTTTCTTCAAAAAGAAGATGAATAAGCTAATTCTCATTTAGAAGGAAGAAAGTGGGAGGGAGGAAAAAAGGAAGGAGAGGAAGGACTGGGCGCGGTGGCTCACGCCTGTAATCCCAGCACTTTGGGAGTCCGATGCGGGCAGATCACAAGGTCAGGAGATCGAGACCATCCTGGCTAACACAGTGAAACCCCGTCTCTACTAAAAATACAAAAAATTAGCCGGGCGTGGTGGCGGGCGCCTGTAGTTCCAGCTACTCGGGAGGCTGAGGCGGGAGAATGGCATGAACCCAGGAGGCGGAGCTTGCAGTGAGCCAAGACTGGGCTACTGAACTCCAGCCTGGGCGACAGAGTGAGACTCCATTTCAAAAAAAAAAAAAAAAAGGAAGGAGAGGAAGAAGGGGAGAAGAGTGCATAAGTTGGAATCTAGATGTTTGTTGGTATCCAGCAAAGAAGAGAGTAATGGGAGCAATAACAACAATTGGAAAGGTAGCCAGGAGAGGTGGCTCACACCTGTAATCCCAGTACTTCGGGAGGCCAAGGCAGGTGGATCAATCACTTGAGGTCAGGAGTTCAAGACCAGCCTGGCCAATATGGCAAAACCCCATCTCTACTAAAAACAAAAATACAAAAATATTAGCCAGGCATGGTGGCTCACATCTGTAATCCCAGCTACTTGGGATGCTGAGGCATGAGAATTGCTTGAACCTGGGAGGTGGAGGTTGCAGTGAACCAGATCAGGCCACTGCACTCCAGCCTGGGAGACACAGCAAGACTCCATCCAAAAAAAAAAAAAAAAAAAAAATGGAAGGGCCCCTCAGAGGAGGTGGGGTCTGGAGCTGGGCCTTAAGAGTTGACTGGATGTGAGAGAGTGATGAGATGAACAGGAAATAAAAGCAGTCCTAGTGAGAGAAAGATGAGCAAAGACAATATGGAGGGATAAGCATGGGAAAATCCAGCAGGCAAATAGCGGGTCTCTGACTGAGACGCAGCTCAGGGACAGTGAGGAGGCCTGTGGTTTCAGGGGGAGCCCAGGGTGAAGGACAGCAACACACAGATCGCTCAGCCCCATCGGGAGAACGCTGAAAGCCAGAATACTCAGTGAGGCTGCCTGCGAGGAGCCCCAGCTTGTGGTGACCAGTGTCCCCTCTGAGGAGTGAGAGGGAGACCCTGACCCCACAGGGGTGCTAGAGCCACCTGAGTTCCTTAGCTGTCTTGGGAATCCAAGTCTCACCTTCCTACTCTATCAGAAATACCCTGTGGTGAAAAGAGAAGGCCCCACTCTTCATCTGCTGCAGCTTAATTCTGTGGAATCTAGACTTCCCTGTGAATAAAGAGAATGCAGGCTTCCTACCACCCTCTCCCCTGCTGTGATTCTGCACCTGCCCTGAGATTTCCCTGGAGCTCCCCTCCCTGTGGAATGAGGTGAAAAACCCTGAAAACCATATGCCCAGAGGCCCCGTTAGAGTGCACAGTGGCTTCGGGATGCGGCTGTGTCCCGAGAGGGATCTCTTGCTGAGAGCCTATGAGGCCGGGTCACTCATATGGGGTGCTGCTCAGGATGGGCCCCAGTGTCACATCTGGGTAAGTGGAACAAGTCAATCATGGTGGGTTCTGTGTAAACTCCCCCCCCCAACCCCGCTTCTTACATATTTAGGGGCAATGAAAGCTTTCAGTGGTAGACTAGGAGATACGTATATATATATAGTCATAAATATTGTTATTCTCTCTGCATAGAAGGCTCAAATGCCAGGTTTTTATATAATTGGGCCCTTCTTGTTATTCAGATCTCAGCTGAACATTTACCTTATGAGAAAGACCTTCCCTCACCACTCCATAGAAATTAGCCTCTGGTCACTGTCTGTCACAGCTCTCTGTTGTAGGTGCTGGTCATAGCACTCATCACTCTACAATGTTCAAGACAGTAGGACATTGTCTATTTTGTCGCTGTTCTATCTGAAGTGATTAGAACAGTGCCTAGCATATAGGTGGTACTTGATGAATACATTAATAATGTGTATGAGTGTAAAAGGAGAGAGATGAAAAGGGAGAGTAAGAGGAAGAAGGAAGGGAGGCAGAGAAGGAGGGAGGGAGAGAAGGAGGGAGGGAGGCATCCTAGCTGGAGTCTCAGCTGTATCTATCACTGGGATTCACAGATATATGAGCATGCCTGACAGACTGTTAGGTGGACCCATCAGAAATGTATTTTTATGAGAAACTAAGGCATCTCCTGGAAAAAAAAAAACAAAAAACAAAAAAACCAGATCCTGAAGTAAAAGGAAGTAGAGAAGTAAAATTGGTCCCAGTCACAAAGCCTAGGTCATGGGAGACGAGCTTAAATGTGATGTAAGCCCAGAATCACATTTGTCAGTTTCGGTCTCCTTGAACTCATGGAGAATGGATGTGGCTACAAGTAAAACCTGAAATACGTATTCAATATAAATTCTATGACGCACTGAACACAAACAGCTCTTCTTTTGTACTGTATGTAAAATGTAACATGGAAGAGGGAGGGGGAGGTGAGAGTCATTCTGGTGCAGGGAGCAGAGTCGTCTTGGCAGGGCTCCCTGGGCCCCTGAGGACTCTAGCATAACCAAGGCAATGGTGCTGGCAAGAGACAGCGTCATCCCATAGCGGTAACAGTGCCCAGGGGCCAGCACTTGGCTGCACGAGCAGTAGAGGCAGAAGCAGGAAATAGCACCAAAGGGTGCTAGAGTGGAGAATGAGGAACATGGAGAAGCAGTACAGACTTAAGAGCTCCTTCCCTGGGACATCCTAGAAATAACTGGGGAAATTTGGACGGAGAAGTCTATGGGATGCACATGTACTTTTCATATGGAAGCAAGAACCTGGCAAGCTATGCTTATTAATTTTTGCCCATTTTACCTCCAGTATGAAAATATAGGGGTTTGAGACATGAAAGTGAGGAAGACAGGTATATGCAAAAAAAAAAAAAAAAAAAAATCCTAATAATGCTAGAAAAAAAAAGAAACAATTTTAAATATCAATGTTGTTTTTTTAATAAAAAAAAAAAAAGAAAGAAACTCCGCATTAGAGAGTTTTACCCAGAAATGCTGAGATGCAACCACATACCTACTTTACAATTTCCTTCACAAACACGCCACCTTGGAGATCCCATTCTGAGGGATCTGAATAATGAGATTCTTCAACCAAAAGCCACTTGTAAACTACAAAAATCCTCGGAGAGATTCACCAATGCCCCAGGCCTTCTGGAGGCATTTAACTAGCCATCTGGAGGATTCTCCTGTCTCTAGACAATTATTTCACAGCAAGGAAGAAAAAATTGCCTGAGGTCTTCAACCACAGCCAAATTCACTGGAGTCAATAAATGTGTCAGATGGACTACGTAGCTGCCACAGTCCGCTGGGAACAAAACTTTACTCTTGAAAGGACTGCACTTTTCCTATGCCAGATAGCATGTAGATGTGAACAAAAATATATATTCCAGAGCCAGAGTTCTTTTTTCAGGACTTTTTTCAGTTTCACCTCTGAAACTGACTTGCTCAATATTTATTGGTAATATTAGACTTTTACTATGAGAGAGAAATTAAGAAAAAAAGCTGACTAGAGATTCATTATATTTCAAAACAAATACACATTCCAACCCATTCATCAAACTATTTAAGCCTTTTAACTAAGTAAACATTTGTATCTATTTCATAAAGATGGTCTCAAAATTGATTTTAAATTGCTTCACCGAAAATGTCATTATACTTCAAAAAAGACTGGTTGTGTTGTTTTATTTTTACGTGATACTCAAAACCTGATTTTGAATCTTGGTTTCATCACTTAAGCTGTATCACCAATAGAAAAGTTACTTAATTTTTGTAAGCCTTAGTGTCCTTATCCATAAAACTGGCATATAGGATTAAAAGAATGTATAGAGCATAGGCCGGGCACAATGACTTACACCTGTAATCCCAGCACTTTGGGAGGCCGAGGGGGGTGGATCACCTGAGGTCAGGAGTTCGAGACCAGCCTGGCCAGTATGGTGAAACCCCGTTTCTCCTAAAAATACAAAAAATCAGCCAGGCATGGTGGCAGGTGCCTGTAATCCCAGCTACTCAGGAGGCTGAGGCAGGAGAATTGCTTGAACCCGGGAGGCGGAGGTTGCAGTGAGCCGAGATCATGCCACAGCACTCTGGCCTGGGTAAAAAGAGCAAAATTCCATCTCAGAAAAAAGGTGTACTGCTTAGAGAAGTGCCCAGCACATTGTATGCACCAAAAAGTGTTATCTCTTATTTTTTAAGGTAAATCTTTCTTCTTTCTTGTCCAAATAGTATGGTAAATTCTAAATATTATGTAAACAGAAATTGACCAGACCCAGTAAAAATACAGCAGAGCAGGAAGAAAAAGGACCCTGCCTGGAGTTTAGTCAGTGCCTCACTACCTGAAATAGGCACTGTGGGTGCTCTGTCCAGATCCACTGGCTTCCATTCGGCACTTGTGTGTGTTTCCCCTCCCGCTTCTGTGTGCCATGCCCGTGACTCTTCTTTGCATACTGTCTTCAGACTACTGGAGCAGCATCATCCAAACTGGCAGAGAGCAGAGAGTGTCTGATGATTTCTCTCCCTCCCCACCACTCTCCCTACCACCACCCCACTCCTACCTCTGTCCCTTCTGCTGGGACCGACTATTGTGAGAGTATGAAAGCCCAGCACCCTTGCTTTAGGTCAGACTAATTTGGAGGCATGATATATACTTCAGAGCTCCCATGTGGAATAAAGTTGAAGCTGCACTCGGTGGGATGTTGCCTTACCTGATGTCCTACCAATTACTCAGGAAACACTTGCAGAATAAATCACTGTGTACAAATCCTTGCCTCAAGATCTGCTTCTGGGAAACTCAACCCAAGACCCACAAGTGAAATTACTCAAAGAAAAGTTTCAATATTACATCTACTTTCAGCTGTCCTGCAGGCATATAAATTCAGCCTAGCAGCTTCTAATTCCTCCCACTGAGGCAGAAATCATTTTAAAAACCAACCTTGCTACAGGGCACAGTGGTGCATTCCTGTAGTCTCAGCTACCTGAAGCTGAGGTGGGAGGATTGCTTGAGCCCAGGAGTTCAAGGCTGCAGTGAGCTATGAGTGTGCCACTGCACTCCAGCCTGGGCAACAAAGGAGACCCTGTCTCATTTGGAAAAAAAAAAAAAAAAAAAAAGGCCAATCTAGCCATATGCAGAAAGCTGAAACTGGATCCCTTCCTTACACCATACACAAAAATTAACTCAAGATGGATTAAAGACTTAAAGGTAAGATCTAAAACCATAAAAACCCTAGAAGAAAACCTAGGCAATACCATTCAGGACATAGGCATGGGCAAAGACTTCATGACTAAAAAACCAAAAGCAATGGCAACAAAAGCCAAAATAGAAATCTAATTCAACTAAAAAGCTTCTGCACAGCAAAAGAAGCTATCATCAGAGTGAACAGGCAACCTACAGAATGCGAGAAAATTTTTGCAATCTATCCATCTGACAAAGGGCTAATATCCAGAATCTACAGAAAACTTAAACAAATTTACAAGAAAAAAAACAAACAACCCCATCAAAAAGTGGGCAAAGGATATGAACAGACACTTCTCAAAAAAAGACATTTATACAGCCAACAGACATATGAAAAAATGCTGATCATCACTGGTCATCAGAGAAATGCAAATCAAAACCACAGTGAGATACCATCTCATGCCAGTTAGAATGGCAATCATTAAAAAGTCAGGAACAACAGATGCTGGAGAGGATGTGGAGAAATAGGAATGCTTTTACACTGTTGGTGGAAGTGTAAATTAGTTCAACCATTGTGGAAGACAGCGTGGTGATTCCTCAAAGATCTAGAACTAGAAATACCATTTGACCCAGCGATCCCATTACTGGGTATATACCCAAAGGATTATAAATCATGTTACTATAAAGACACATGTACACGAATGTTTATTGGGCCACTATTCACAATAGCAAAGACTTGGAACCAACCCAAATGTCCATCAGTGATAGACTGGATAAAGGAAATGTGGCACATATACACCATGGAATACTATGCAGCCATAAAAAATGATGAGTTCATGTCCTTTGCAGAGACATGGATAAAGCTGGAAACCATCATTCTCAGCAAAATATAACAAGGACAAAAAACCAAACACCGCATGTTCTCACTCATAAGTAGGAGTTGAACAACGAGAACACATGGACACAGGGAAGGGACCATCACACACTGGGGCCTGTTGGGGGGTGGGGGGCTGGGGGAGGGATAGCATTAGGAGAAATACCTAATGTAAATGATGGGTTGATGGGTGCAGCAAACCAACATGGCACATGTATACCTATGTAACAAACCTGCACATTGTGCACGTGTATCCTAGAACTTAAAGTATAATAATAATAATAAAAGTCAACCAAGGTTAGGATGTCAACATATGAATGTTGTGGGGAGACACAAATTAGCCTATAATATCCATTATTTGTAATGCCAGAAGTACCATTTCTAACCAATCACCACCCCCCTTTATTTTGCATATTGTTTGTTCTAAAAAGTGCCTGGTTTACATATATTAGTTATGCCCATTTACTTCCTTTCTTTGAAAGTGGATAGACCCACAGGTCTTAAAGTGGACTGAAGATGAAGAAAGCAAGTGGCGAATGAAGAAATGTCTAAACATCAAAGTATCAAGGAAGGAGATTTTACGAGAGAGTTCCGTTGCATGAGCTACCAGAGAAGGATGTGGCAGGAGTTGGCACTACAATGATCATCAACTCATTCACCCTTTGATGTGTTTCAGTGTATCTATTGGCAATATACATAATTTTTATCATAGATTTGTTCTTATACATGCTAGTTTCTGGAAGCTGAAGAATAAAGTAATACACTATAGTTACAGAAAATCAGAACCCCCGGGAGAATTGATCAATTATGAGGAGTGAGGACCAAACCAAAGAGATGGGCTTTGGCTTATTTTTGCCTCAGCTTTATTAAGGTATAATTGACAAATAAAAATTGTAGTCCGAGTGCAGTAGCTCATACCTGTAATCCCAGAACTGTGGGAGGCCCAGGGCTTGAGCCCAGGAATTCAAGACCAGCTTGGACAACACAGTGGGAACCCATCTCTACAAAAATTAAAAAACTAACCAGGTGTGGTGGTGTGGGCCTATAGTCCCAAGCTACTTGGGAGGCTGAGGTGGGAGGATCACTTGAGTCCAAGGTTGAGGCTTTAGCGAGCCATGATCACACCACTGCACTGCAGCCTGGGTGACAGAGTGAAGTCTTGTCTCAAGAAAAAAAAAAAAAAGAATTAGAAAAACACGTTAAAAAATTGTATGCATTTAAGGTATACAACATGATGATATGATATACATATACATTATGAAATAAGCACAATCAAGTTAATTAGCACATCTCTCATTTCACATAATTAGCATTTGTATGTGTGGTGAGAACACTTAATGTCTATTGTCTTAGCAAATTTCAAGTAGTATATCAGATAATATTATTAACCATAGTCACCACAATGTACCTTAGATCCCCAGAACTCACTCATCTGTTAACTGAAAAAGCCAGACACAGTGAGATCAATACTGTAAGATCTCCCTCATATGTAGAATCTTTAAAAAGAGAGAGGAGAGATAGAGAGACAGAGACAGAGACAGAGATTGGTTTTTTAAATGATTTCTGCCTCAGCGGCAGGCTTAAGATGCTGCTAAGCTGGCCTGGCTGCAGAACAGCAGAAGTAGACGCACTATTAAAACTTTTCTTTGAGTAATTCTAATTGCGGCACAATTTACTCTCTTACCAGGAGTTTGTTGTGATTCTTTACACAGATTCTTAGAGTCTTTACACAGAAAATATATTTAAAAGCGGGGTGCCATGGCTCATGCCTGTAATTCCAGCAGTTTGGGAGGCTGAGGCAGGAGCAACACTTCAGCTCAGGAGTTAGAGAGCAGCCTGGGCAACACAATAAGATCTCATCACTATTGGAAAAGAAAGGAAGGAAAGAAAGGAAGGAAGGAAGGAAGGAAGGAAGGAAGGAAGGAAGGAAGGAAGGAAGGAAGGAGAAATAAAAGAAAGAAAGAGATAAAGAAAAAAGAAAGAAAGAAGGAGAAAGAAAAGAGAGAAAGAGAAAGAAAGAAAGAAAGAAGAAGAAGGAAAGAAAGAAGGAAGGAAGGAAGGAAGGAAGGAAGGAAGGAAGGAAGGAAGGAAGGAAGGCAGGCAAGCTATTTAAATAAAGCAATTTCTCCTCCATGGTGATTTCACAGTCCAGCCATGGGGAGAAAAAACTTTCATAAAACTGGGCAAGCTAAGCTCAAAATCCTTTCAATACTCCAGGCAATTTTTCATGTCCTTCACTTACAATTAAATTATTTTTGTCACTCTCAATGGGAGCAAGACCCTCTAAGATTAGGAGTTAATAAAATTGTTGCTCATTTTCTTCTGCTTGACTCTACAGACTCCGGCAAATACCTCAGGAATGATATCAGGTGCTAGTTACTGCATCAAACTAAGTTTTGTTTTTCTGTTTCTCAGCTCTCAATTATTTATATGCATAATCACTAAGTAAACAGGTATAAAAATTTCATGTACATTAGTCAGAAGCAATGTTTAAAAAAATCAATAAAGCCAAAATATATTAGGCAGTCAATGCCTTTTTTCCCCCTAAAGAATTGAAGTCTATGATTTGGCTTGCTGCCCATACAAATTATTATCAGATTTCATTAAAGCAAAAATTTAAGTAGTGTACATCTGAGTTTGCTGGTTTTTTGTTGTTACTTTTGCTAAACTGTGCTAATCCTTCTGTAATTTAAGGTTTGAGCAATAGAACAATGAAATGAAACTGGATTCACCCTGTTTCAAATTTTCCAGGGGCTTCTTTCGTATTTTCACACTACTGACAGGCTAAATTTCTCCTCTGACCTTAATTCTACACAACCTCAGAACAAAGTATTCTTTTCTTTTTTTCTCTTCAAAAGACTCTCACTATCCTTTAATACCAACAATTGTGTTTAGATGGCCAAGTGTCTGACTCCATCTCATCAAAAGGCTGCTGCTGGTATAGTCCAGTTTGGACTATCAGTTTTTTAGTCAGTAACTTTCATGGATTTTTTTTTAGTTCATGGACAGTTACTGAGGTCAAACAGTACTATCTCTTACTACTCAGAGGTTTTTGTTTTATTATAGGGTAAAATGTCTTAAGTCACCGTGAATTATAATAGCAGACTCATGAAAGAAAACTACCCCCTAGGCTGGGCATGGTGGCTCATGCTTGTAATCCCAGCACTTTGGGAGGCCGAGGCAGTGGGATCACCTGAGGTCGGGAGTTGGAGACCAGCCTGACCAACATGGAGAAACCCCGTCTCTACTGAAAATACAAAATTACCTGGGCGTGGTGGCGCATGCCTGTAATTCCAGCTACTCAGGAGGCTAAGGCAGGAGAATTGCTTGAACCTGGAAGGCAGAGGTTGCGGTGAGCCAAGATGGCACCATTGCACTCCAGCCTGGGCAACAAGAGCGAAACTCTGTCTCAAAAAAAAAAAAAAAAAAGTAAGAAAACTACCCCCTGCTGCGAACAACTAAGAGAGAAGTTAACCATTACAAAGTAACAATTGTGCAGGAAATTATGTCACTGATACAGAAGTTACTGGTTAACTGGAGTCCAGTTTCTGGAATTAATGGAAAGGGCTACTTTAATGAACTATGATGTTCTGATGTCAAAGGTTGAAAATTTTAATTAAAAAATTTTGTATCAGTTGATAAGACTGTGAGCAGCAGAGGAGATAATATTATTAAGGATAGACATCCTAATATTTTCTACTCACATATATTGGGTTCCAGCTTACTCAAAAACTACAGAAGATTCAGTAATTGCCCAATATAGCATTTTTCAACCCCTCAGTTTGGGAATCTTTTTGATCATTTCCCAGTGACATTTTCAGATAATACAATGAAACCATACTGCATGTAGATTTTAAAAGCACATTTTGAAGCATCTTTATGAATAAAAAAGTTTTAAGAACATTTAACTTAAAAATGCAGTAAAATGTTACTCAGCACACCCTGAACCCTACCTAAATGTAATTTTTCAACCATGATCAACTCCATTTTAATCTGAGGGAGACAAATGGCAAAACGAATATCAGGAATTTACTTAAACCAGAGGAGGAGAAGAGAAAGGAAGAAACAGGCCGGGCGCAGTGGCTCACGCCTGTAATCCCAGCACTTTGGGAGGCCGAGGTGGGTGGATCACGAGGTCAGGAGATCGAGACCATCCTGGCTAGCACGGTGAAACCCCTTCTCTACTAAAAATACAAAAAATTAGCCGGGAGCGGTGGCGGGCGCCTGTAGTCCCAGCTACTCGGGAGGCTGAGGCGGGAGAATGCCGTGAACCCGGGAGGCGGAGCTTGCAGTGAGCGGAGATCGCGCCACTGCACTCCAGCCTGGGTGACAGAGCGAGACTCCGTCTCAAAAAAAAAAAAAAAAAAAAGAAACAAATCACCACACTTCATTTTTTCCCAGATGCACTTTTTTTTAATTGTTATTATACTTTAAGTTCTGGGGTACACGTGCAGAACATGCAGTTTTATTACATAGGTATGTGCGTCCCATGGTGGTTTGCTGCACCCATCAACCCATCACTTACATTAGGTATTTCTCCTAATGCCATCCCTCCTCTACACTCCCACCCCGACAGGCCCCAGTGTGTGATGTTTCCCTCCCTGTGTCCATGTGTTCTCACTGTTCGACTCCCACTTATAAGTGAAAACACGTGGTGTTTGGTTTTCTGTTCCTGTGTTAGTTTGCTGAGAATGATGGTTTTCAGCTTCATCCATGTCCCTGCAAAGGACATGAACTCATCCTTTTTTATGGCTGCATAGTATTCCATGGTGTATATGTGCCACATTTTCTTTATCCAGTCTATCAATGATGGACATTTGGGTTGGTTCCAAGTCTTTGCTATTGTGAATAGTGCCACAGTAAACATATGTGTGCATGTGTCTTTATAGTAGAATGATTTATAATCCTGTGGATATATATCCAGTAATGAGATTGCTGGGTCAAATGGTATTTCTAGTTCTAGATCCTTGAGAAAACACCACACCATCCTCCACAATGGTTGAACTAATTTACACTCCCACCAACAGTGTAAAAACATTTCTGTTTCTCCACATCCTCTCTAGCACCAAGATGCACATTTTTTTCCACATCTTTAAATCTCTGAAATAAGGATGTGCCTTACAGTCAATGAACTCTTACAAGTAATTGTCCTGGCCAGGTGGTGGTCACGGCATAGGTGATTGCATGAGCAAATCAGAACTTCATCATACTGTTCACATTGTCATCACTTTAGATGAGATGTGTGCATGGTTATTATCTCAGATGTTAAGTTTAACTGACTTTTACAATGATTTTTGATGTTGTTGTTGTTTTGTTTTGTTTTGTTTTTAGCGGTAGCAAAGTTTATTGTGAAGAGCGAAAGGACAAAGCTTCCCCACGGCACAGAAGGGGACCCGAGCAGGTTACCTGATATTTTTTAAGATTACAACACGATTTAGAATTGAAATAAAGTTTTAGAAATGCCTTAACTAAAATTTTGCTTGCATTTCTCTGTTAACGTAAGAGAATGTTATATTATAAAAATATATGTCCAAAAAAGAGAAATAAGAAAAAAATCTATGTATAAGTAAGTCTAAAAGAATACTTGGCCAGGTGCAGTGGTTCATGCCTATAAATCCAGCACTTTGGGGAGGTTGACGTGAGAAGCTTACTTGAGGTCAAGAGTTTGTGGCCAGCCTGAGTAACACATTGAGACCCCTATCTCTACAAAACATTTAAAAATTAGCCAAGCGTGATGCTGTGTACCTGCAGCCCTAGATACTTGAAAGGCTGAGGTGAAAGGATCAATTGAGCCCAGGAGTTCAAAGTTACAGTGAACTATGATTGCACAACTGCACTCCAGCCAGGTTGACAAAGTAAAACCCTGTCTCTTGAAAAAAAAAGAATACTTTCAGTAAGTATAAAATTTTTGAAAATCTATGTCATAAGAAGGCACTGTGTCATCATTTAATCAGAAAATTTTTTCTTTGTTAAGGGTACATTAAAAAATGGCACATCTTGTAATCACAGTTACCTTAGACTATAGGGAGTCATCCCAGGCTGTAGATCGCAAATCTCTCCTACAGAATTACATGTACAACTGGATGCTGCCACCACTTGGCCTTTCCTAAAAAGTCTATGCTCAGCCGGGCTTAGTGCTCATGCTTGTAATCCCAGCCCTTTGAGAGGTCGAGGCGGGCAGATCATTTGAGGGCAGGAGTTCGAGACCAGCCTGGCTAACATGGTGAAACTCCATCTCTACTAAAATAAAAAATTTGCTGGGCAGGGTGGTGCGTGCCTATTATCCCAGCTACTTGGGAGGCTGAGGCAGGAGAATTGCTTAAACCTGGGAGGTGGAGGTTGCAGTGAGCAGAGGTCGCAGTGAGCTGAGATCGTGCCACTGCACTCCAGCCTGGGCAACAGAGCGAGACTCCATCTCAAAAAAAAAGAGTCCAGTTGCCATCAACATTTCTTCACCTTCGAAATCACGAAGTTTCCCAGTAGAGGAAGAAACAAAGCTGGTAGCTGTCTTCTTAGGATCTAGCCATCTTCCTTTACAGATGCTCTTCAATTTACAATGGGGTTTTGTCCTGATAAACTTACTGTAAATGCAAAATATTCTAAGTGAAAATGCACTTAATACACCTAACCTAGCAAACATCACAGCTTAGCCTAGCTTGAACACATTCAGAAGATTTACATTAGTCTACAGTTGGGCAAAATCATCTCACACAAAGCTTATTTATAATAAAGTGTCGAATACCTCATGTAATTTATTGAATACTGTACTGAAAGAGAAAAACAGAATGGTTGTATAGGTACTCTTTTTCTTTTCTTTCCTTTTTTTGAGATGGAGTCTCACTCTGAAGCCCAGGCTGGAGTGCAATGGCGCAATCTCAGCTCACTGCAACTTCTGCCTCCCGGGTTCAAGCGATTCTCCTGCCTCAGCCTCCCGTGCAGCTAGGATTACAGGCACCCACCATCATGCCCAGCTAATTTTTTTATTTCGTAGAGACAGTGTTTCACCATGTATGCCAGGCTGGTCTTGAACACCTGACCTAGGTGATCCCCCTGCCTAGGCCTCCCAAAGTGCTGGGATTGCAGGCATGAGCCACCTTGCCTGGCCGTCCTATGGGTACCCAGAGTATGGTATCTACTGAATGCGTGTTGCCTTTACAGCATCATAAGTCGAATCACTGTAAGCTGGGAACCGTCTGCACTCTCATCAACCACTTCGATTGTAAGATATTATGGAAACTAAAAGTGAGTTTATCTGACATGAGAACTAATTCTAGGGTATTCACCAATAAAAAATTATATTTATAAACATAGCCCAGATCACCAAAGAATCACTATTTACTGTTGCAGAAAAGAATAATACAGTTTAGAAACACTCCCAATCAGAAGGGTTGAAAGAAACATGGGCTTCAGGTTAGCCGATGAACAGTTAGCTAGACTATTCATCAACTAAACCTGAAACCCATGCCCTGCACTTGCTGGCTCCCTGAAGTTCTGCCATCTCGTATCAAAATTTGGATACTTTGAGACCCTCCCTTAGACATAGCATTATATTAAAATGTACATTTAGCAACATCATTTAAAAGAAATTTTTAAAAATTAAAAGGTGCAGATACCTCTCCATCAGTTTTAAAACTTCACTGCCGGCCAGGCACAGTGTCTTACGCCTATAATCCCAGCACTTTAGGAGGCTGCGGCAGGCGGATCACCTGACGTCAAGAGTTCGAGACCAGCCTAGCTAACATAGTGAAACCTTGTCTCTTCTAAAAATACAAAAATTAGCTGGGCATGGCAGCGGGCGCCTGTAATCCCAGCTACTCAGGAGGCTGAGGCAGGAGAATTGCTTGAACCCAGGAGACAGAGGTTGCAGTGAGCCGGGATTATGCCATTGCACTCCGGCCTGAGTGACAGAGCAAGACTCCATCTCAAAACAAAAACAAAAACAAAAACAAAAAACAAACAACAACACACACACACACACACACACACACACTTACTTCACTGCCATGTCTGGTAAACTGGATAAAGTCAGAATCTTTCCCAACCTTCTCAGAAAAGTGAAATCAAATTCTTCTCAAATCATTCTAGATGAGACATGTCTGGGCCTGGCTTCACATTGATCATGTAGGCAGAAGGCAGCAGAAAGTACAGAGGCATATCCTGTAGTGAACCGGGTTTCTAAATAGATAAAATGGTGAAATTTAATAAATGGTACACCATGTCTTACAAAGTTTTACTCTATTTAATTCTAGCTCCCAAAACTAAATTATGTTAAAGTCATTTCTCATGAAATTTGCTATATCATTCTTGGCTGTTATCCAGAGCCAATTCAAGCATATTACAATATGAAGTGTGTGTACATTTATTTTTTAGCACAGAACAAATGTACACTTGTTAAGATCCACTATATTTACAAGCCAGAATCTCAAACATTTTGACAGAAGTTAAATGCTTATAAAAAGAAAAAAATGGGCTGGACATGGTGGCTCATGCCTGTAATCCCGGCACTTTCTGAGGCTGAGGTGGGTGGATCACCTGAGGTCAGGAGCTTAAGGCCAGCCTGGCCAACATGGTGAAAACCCGTCTCTACTAAAAATACAAAAAATTAGCTGGGCATGGTGGTGGGCACCTGTAATCCCAGCTACTCCGCAGGCTGAGGCAGGAGAACTGCTTGAACCTGGGAGGCAGAGGTTGCAGTGAGCCGAGATTGCGCCACTGCACTCCAGCCTGGGTGACAAGAGAGAAACTCCGTTTCAAAAAAAAAAAGAAAAAGAAAAAAATGCTACCTTACATTCAACACCTTCTCAATATACCCATCAATCTCATATAAAGGTAGAGGCTGCACCAATTATCAACTGTCACCATATGCCACGCATTTTCTTCAAAGTAGAGAATGTTAGTTTTAATACTCTTATTCTGAGAAATTATTTTAAAATAGCTATGTGATGCAGCAATCTTTCACCTTGAGGTACTATCTTACAGTACTGATTTCAAAAATGGTAACTAAAAAAAAGAAATTCAGTGTCAGGCAGCATGAGCTTAGATTATAAGAAAGGAGATGTGTTCAGAGTACTGATGTAAAATCTAGTTATATTTCTGATTTCTAGATAGGAATTAACTCTCTCTGACAATCTTATATTAAAATACAAGCACGTATTAAAATAGGTAAGAATAGCCGGGCGCGGTGGCTCACGCCTGTAATCCTAGCACTTTGGGAGGCCGAGGCGGGCGGATCACAAGGTCAGGAGATCGAGACCATCCTGGCTAACACGGTGAAACCCCGTCTCTACTAAAAATACAAAAATTAGCCGGGCGTGGCGGCGCGTGCCTGTAGTCCCAGCTACTCAGGAGGCTGAGGCAGGAGAATGGCGTGAACCCGGGAGGCGGAGCTTGCCGTGAGCTGAGATCGCGCCACTGCACTCCAGCCTGGGTAACAGAGCGACACTCCGTCTCAAAAAAAAAAAAAAAAAAAAAAAAAAAAATAGTTAAGAATAAACAAGCAAGCTTAGGAATAGTGCTCCCTCCTGTGGCCAAACTTCTTGAAAATCATGGGAAAAGGCATCTCCTGGAATCCTCAGATAGGTCATGGACACAGACCTCAGAGAAGCCCACCTGCCATTGTAGGTGCTGTTTTTAAAAAGGAAAATGGGCCAGGGGACTCATGCCTGCAGTCCCAGCACTTTGGGAGGCCTAGGTGAGCGGATCACAAGGTCAGGAGTTCGAGACCAGCCTGGCCAACGTGGTGAAACCCCATCTCTACTAATAATACAAAAATTAGCCAGGCATGGTGGCGGGTACCTGTAATCCCAGCTGCTCAGGAAGCTGAGGCAGGAGAATCACTTGAGCCCGGGAGGTGGAGGTTGCAGTAAGCCGAGATCCCACCATTGCACTCAGGCCTGGGCGACAGAGCAAGACTCCATCTCAAAAAAAAAAAAAAAGCTCACAAAGTTGGGATTTCATTTTGTGGTAATGGACACAATAAAACAGAACACATTTGAAGTCATAAAAGCCTAAAGAAAAATAAATTTAACTTAGTGCTGGAGTCTACTAACCGTTTTACAAATTTTAATATCTACCATATGTGAAGAAGATGTCTATGAACATTTAAAGGGATATAACTTCTAAAACAAAAGAAATGGTTTTGGGGAGGCCAGGTGCAGTGGTTCACGCCTGTAATCCCGGCACTCTGGGGGGCTGAGGTGGGCAGAACATTTGAGGTTAGGGGTTGGAGACCAGCCTGACCAACATGGTGAAACCCCATCTCTACTAAAAATACAAAAAACTAGCCAGGTGTGGTGGCACACATCTGTAATCTCAGCTACTCAGGAGGCTGAGGCACGAGAATCGCTTGAACCCAGGAGGCAGAGGTTGCAGTGAGACGAGATTGCACCACTTCACTCTAGCCTGAGTGGCAGAGTGAGACTCCATCTAAAAATTAAAAAAAGAAAAAGAAAAAAAAAGAAATGGAATGGTCTTGGGGTTTGTAGATCCTACTCCTTATTATAAAACACAGTGGTTCTCAACCAGAACCACTCCGAAGATAATAGCAATGTCTAGACACATTTCTGGTTGTCACAACTCTGGGAAGGGGTGCTACTGGGACCTAGTGAGTAAAGGTCAGAAATATTGTTAAACAACCTGCAATGCACAGATCACCTCTCATCCCCAGAAAGAATTATCTCGACCAAAATGTCAATAGAACTGAGGTTGAGAAATCCTGATATAAGAATATTCTACAATCATTTTCATGTGCAATCTACAAGCCATAAACTTTATAAATAGTATTTATTAAATTCAAAGCCAAATACATTTTCACTAAAACTCCAGCAATAAAATCAGAAATTCAGGAAATATGATTCTCATGAACTCAGTCTCATGTCTGATTACATTCTTTTAGGCTATTTTGTCTTATGATATACTTACAATGTTTAGCCGTTGTCTTTCAAAGTAGAAAATACAGGCCACATGAGGTGGCTCACACCTATAATCCCAGCACTTTGGGAGGCCGAGGTGGATGGATCACCTGAGGTCCGAAGTTCAAGACCAGCCTGACCAACATGGCAAAACCCTGTCTCTACTAAAAACCCCAAAATTAGCCAAGTGTGGTGGCACATGCCTGTAATCCCGGTACTCAGGAGGCTGAGGCAGGAGAATCATTTGAACCCGGGAGGCGTAGGTTGCAGTGAGTGGAGAGTGTGCCATTGCACTCCAGCCTGGGCAACAAGAGTAAAACTCCATCTCAAAAAAAAAAAAAAAAAAGAAAATACATTTCAGTGTTTTGGTCGATAGGAAGCATGAGATATAAATTCATATATGTATTATTGTCCCGTGGAGAAATGCTAAGAGAGTAAAATTGTTTAAATTAACTCCAGGTGGGTCTAAATGTTTTCATTAGAAAATATGCCTGCTAGCAAAAGTGCTTTGAGAGCAGGAGCAAAGAGAGAACAGATTAACAGACACATTGTCATCCCTCCAGCAACCAAGGAAAAGCAATTATTTTAGGACTGAGATCCCCAGCCTGGGATCCTTGTATCCTTAGGCTCGTGAAAATAAGAAGAGTCTGAAAGCTATTTTCACCATGTCAAAAATCATCTGATAACAATGGAACATTTATCTATAATAAAATAGATTAGTCTCACTAAAATGAAAAAATCAGTGTGTAGACACTTACTACATGGAAGTTCATTTCATCTAATGTAACGTGGCCGGAATTTCTATACCCTCTACAAAAAAAAAAAATACAAACAGTTCTTTAGGTTTAAACAAAAGGTTGCAAACTACTGGCCTGAAGAAACCAAGCCTTTAAGGTGAATAAGTGTGGAAAAGTAAAACCATAATACAATATTGCATCGACTTTGTTTCTCCAGTTTGCTACTTGCAATCTTCATACAGTGTTTGGTATATGATTACAAATGCAAATATTCTGGCTTAAGCCAGAACTTTAAAAAGGAGTAGAACCTCCCCCAAGTTCAGAATGGTGGTGATGGCAGTCAGAAAGCCCCAAGGGAAACAGCAGAGGGACTGTGAGACCAGACTTCTAAAACCATGACAGAGAACCATCCTCCCACATCAAAGCTGAGGATCTGCGTTGGTTTTTATGAAGGAGGCCCATGGGTTGTTTCATTATGGAACTTAATGAAAATTAGAGTGATGGTAACTTCTAACCCCTTTATTACAACCAGCCTAACCATCACTACTCCACCAAGAGAGCCAAAAGCATTGTGGTCTTGGGGTAACTTTACTATTTTATTTGGGCTTACCACCAATTAGGTAATACAGATGGTCTCTGACTTATGGTGGTTTGACTGATGATTTTGCAACTTTATGATGCTGCCAAAGTGATACACAACCAGTAGAAACCATCCTTTGGATTTTGAATGTTGGTCTTTTCCTGGGCTTGTGCTATGCTGTACAATATTCTCTCATGAAGGTGGGCAGCAGAAATGAGTAGAGCTCCCAGTCAGCCAGGTGATCACCAGGATAAGCACCCAATACTCTACAGTGTACTGTGTTGTCCAGTGATTGTGCCCAACCCTAGGCTAATGCACGGGTTCTGAGAATGTTTAAGGTAGGCTAGGCTAAGCTATGATGTTTGGTAGATTAGATATATTAAACACATTTTTGACTTATTATGTATATAGATATATCTCTAGTGACCAGGCGCAGTGGCTCACGCCTGTAATCCCAACACTTTGGGAGGCTGAGACAGGTGTATCACCTGAGCTCAGGAGTTTGAAACCAGTCTGGGCAACAGGATGAAACCTTGTCCCTACTAAAAATACAAAAAATTAGCCGGGTGTGGTGGCACATGCCTGTAATCCCAGCTACTTGGGAGGCTGAGGCACAAGAATCACTTGAATCTAGGAGGTGGAGGTTGCAGTGAGCTGAGATCATGCTACTGTACTCCAGCCAGGGTGACACAGTGAGACTTTGTCTCAAAAAAACAAAACAAAAGATACATCTATAGATAGATATAGATATGTAGATATAGCTATAGATAGACATATAGAGATATAGAGATCAATAGACATATCTAAATGTGTGTAAGTGTATCTATCTATCTATCTATCTATCTATCTATCTATCTATACATATATGTACTTTTTTGGGGTTTTTTTTGAGACAGGACCTTGCTCTGTCACCCAGGCTGGAGTGCTGTGGTACAAGCTTGGCTCACTGCATCCTCAGCTTCCTGGCCTCAAGGGATCCTCCCTCCTCAACCTCTTGAGTAGCTGAGACTACAGGCATGCCACCACACTCAGTAAATTTTATTTTTTATTTTTTGAAAAAGGGTCTCACTATGTTGCCCAGGCTGCTCTCAAACTCCTGGTCTCAAGTAATCCTCCCACCTCAGCCTTCCAAAGTTCTGGAATTACAGGAATAAGCCACTATGCCTGGCCAGATATTTTCAATTTACAATGGGTTTGTCTGGATGTAACTCCATCACAAATTGAGGAGCACCTGGACATACTAAGAGGTGACAAAGGGCCTGCCCTCCTCAATCTCCTTTGATGGCTCCTCCTCCACCTCCGCGGTGTTGTTTGGTGTGCCTTGGGGACTGTCCTGGGCCCCGTTCTCCTCTCTTTCCCTAGGGAATCCCCTGCGTTCCCATGGCCTCCCTTATTATCTATATGCCAAAACTCCTACATTTCTATATCTAGCCTAGACTTACTTTCTTCGCAGGTCTAGACCAATGTACCCAACTGTTGTTTTTTTGTTTTGTTTTGCTTTTGTTTTTGTTTTTTGTTTTTAATTTGCTTGTTTGTTTGAGATGGAGTCTTTGTTGCCCAGGCTGGAGTGTAGTGGCATGATCTCAGCTCACTGCAACCTCTGCCTTCCAGGTTCAAGCAATTCTCCTGCCTCAGCCTCCGGAGTAGCTAGGATTGCAGGTGCCTGCCACCATGCCCAGCTAATTTTTGCATTTTTTGTAGAGACAAGGTTTCCCCATGTTGGCCAGACTGGTCTCAAACTGCTGACCTCAACTGATCCACTCGCCTAGGCCTCTCAAAGTGCTAGGATTACAGATGTTAGCCACCATGCCCAGCCCAGCTGTTTATTCTGTTGGATATTTATGTGGCAATGTTGAACTCACCATGCTCAAAATGGAACTCCCAATCTAAACCATCACTTCCTCCAGGGTTCCCCGATTCAGCACACAGCATCATAATTCAGCATCTTGCTCCTGCTAGAATGATATAATAGGTTTCATCTTTATTTTCTGTTATGAACTGAATTGTGTTCTCCTAAAATCCATATGGTGAAACCCTAACCCCCAGTATCTCAGAATGTAACTGAATTTGGAGATAAGGCCTTTAAAGAGGTAAAGGCCTTATCTCCAAATGGGGTTAACTTTATTAGGGTAGGCAAAATGACTCTATTAGGGTGAGCCCTAATCCAATCTAACTGGTGTCCTTAAAAGAAGAGATTAGGACATGAAGAGATACCAGGGATGTATGCACAGAGAAAACCATGTGAGGACACAGAGAGAATATTGACATCTACAAGCCGAGGAGAGAGGTCTCAAAAGAAACCAACCCTTGATTTTTTAACCTTGATCTTGGACTACTAACTCCCAGAGCTGTGAGAAAATTAATTTATGTTGTTTATACCACCCAGTCTGGGATATTTTGTTATGGCAGCCCTAGCAACCTAATACATCTTCCTCTTATTAATCACCAAGTCCTACCCACTCTACTTCCTAAATATCTCTTTAGTCTAACTTCACCATATCCATTGCACCTGCCCTATCCCAAGCGCTGTCAAATATTTTATGGATGCCTGCTACATGCAGCCTTTCAAAGATCTCTCTGCTTTCACTCTCCCCTCTCTACAATCCAGCCTCCAAAAGGAGGCCAGAGCAATCATTTTAAAATGAATGTAGAATCTTTGCCCCTGGTTTAAAACCCTTCAAGAGTTCCCCATGTCTCAAAGAATGAAATCAAATCTCCTTGCCATGGCTGACAAAGCACGAGACCAGCATGACCTAGTCCCTGCCTACCCCTCTGGCCTTATCTAGAATCACTCCAGCTCCTCACCCACCTTGCTCCAGGCACAACTACCTCCAAAAGCACTAGTCTGCCCACACATTTTTCCCCTGGCTGGAAATTTTTCTTAGTTTCTCCTCTTCATCTGGCTCAGTGTGCCTCACACTGTGGATTAGGTTCCCATCCAGAACCGTTTCATCTCAGAAATGTTGCAGTATGAATATCCTACTCTGACCATAGTCTCCTTAAGGCTTTACACCCACGATGATTATATTCTCCCAGCAGACTCCTCCTGGCTGCTCTTCCTTCTCTACGCAATCAAGATTGTGTAACTGATCATCTGAAACCACTATGACTAGGACTTGGAACATGCAGGACTCATGGGGTGTAATCATAGAAGCCACTTTATTTTTGTCACTTGCAGTCTCTTTAATCTTGCTGAGTGGGGCTAGTCCTTCTCCTGCTTCTTGATAACTTGGGCAGGTTCCATGACTTTTCTGGTCCTTCAGTCCTGTGTTCTACTCTAGTAACTAAGTTACTCAACTCACTAACTTAAAACGTCCAGTCCATATGGTAATTTCAATTCAGTAATTTACAATGTAAGACCTAATATACTAATCAACACTTCAATCCTCATTCAAAGAAAGACTTGGCCCCTCTTTCCTTGTTGGGCTTGGAGAAATTTTGGTGTAGATAGAGATCCTGTGCCAGCTCCCCTATCCCTTGCTGCCACCTTTCTTACTCCATGGCTGCTGTTTCTGACTCTGCTGGGGTGGTAAGGCAAAGTAAGATGAACCAGAAGCTTTCATTGGAAGAAGGCATCATGCCCTCCAGGCAGGGCAGATTATTTTATTTTTTTTATTTTGTTTTTTTATTTTATTTTATTTTATTTTATTTTATTTTATTTATTTTATATTATGTTGTTTTTGAGACAGAGTTTCGCTCTTGTCGCCCAGGCTGGAGTACAATGGCACGATCTTGTCTCACTGCAACCTCCACCTCCCGGGTTCAAGCAATTCTCCTGCCTCAGCCTCCCAAGTAGCTGGGATTACAGGCATGCACCACCATACCCAGCTAATTTTGTATTTTTAGTACAGACGGGATTTCACCATGTTGCCCAGGCTGGTCTCGAACTCTAGACCTCAGGTGATACACCCACCTCGGCCTCCCAAAGTGCTGGGATTACAGGCATGAGCCACCGTGCCCAGCTGGGGCAGATTTTAAAGTGGACTCTCCTTGTGCACAGGTTCACATTGTAAGGAGGTTCTCCAGAGGACTTCTCTTCCGCCCCCACCCCAGGCCCATCTGGTTGCCATTCCCTTGATAAGGGCGGTGCCACTTCGGATCACTTTGAGCTCTGCCCCTTCTTGCCTCTAAGGCCAGATTCCTCACTCCCTGATATGCTGCTCTTTGGGGAAGGATTCTTTTTAAAACAATCCCAGGCTGATATTCTTGTCACATCTGCACTTCAGGCTTTATGTACCTTTAGAGAAAACACAGTTACTTTCCTGATGCAAAGCGTCTATTGCTTGCTCAGGTGTGAGTCTATAAACTCTTCAAGCTCCTAGAGTGGGTCTTAAGAAGCTCCTCTCACTGGGCTTGAAGTTAGTGGGCAAGCACCTCCCTCTACACCTTCTTCCTGATAGTGGAGAGTGGGGAAGTGGGGATCAAGAAAGATAGCTTTTTAGCTCAATGTGCCATGAAGCCAAGAAGGTAAGGAAAGAGATTAAGAAATGTTGAGGCTAGATTGTTATTATATAGATGCAGGCGTCTTCTGGGATTCTGCTATGGCTTGGGATAAAAGGGAAGACAGTGATCCAGGTGTGATACCCTGATGGGTTCTTCCTGCCTGCTGCACAGCCATAATCAATTCACTGAGACTGAGGCATTGCAGTAAAACAAGAGTTTAATTGATGCAAGGTCAGCCACACCAGAGATGAGGTTATTACTTGACCCAGTCTCCCTGAAGGCTCAGAGTCTAGGGTTTTTATGGACAATTTGGTGGGCAGGGGGCTAAGGAACAGGTGCTGCTGATTGGTTGGGGATGAAATCACAGGGGCTGGAAAATGGTCCTCATGCACTGAGTTCTCCTCTAGGTGGAACCACAGGACAGGCTGAGTCATAAGTCATGAATTTGAGTGGGGTCAGTCTGAAAAACATCTCAAAGGGCCAATCTTAGGTTCTACAGTGATGATGTTATCTATAGGAGCAATTGAGAAAGCACAAATCTTGTGATCTCTGGCCACACGACTCCTGAACAGTAAGGGATTATAGAACATATGCCCACATTTTAGCAGAACTCAGACTCCTTCCATAATCCTAATCTTGGGCCTTTCACTAGTCTCATGAAGGTGGTTTCAGCCCCGAAACAAGCAGGAAGGGGGTAGTTTTAGGGTAGGACTATTATCCTTGCTTCAAAGTTAAGCTATAAACCAAATTCCTCCATGGTTAGTTTGGCCTATACCTAAGAACAACCAAGGACAGCTTGGAGGTCAGAAGCAAGATGGAGTCAACTACATCAGATATCTCTTACTGTGATAATCTTTGCAAAGTGGTTTCACAGGTCCCTTTTCCTGTTACTCTATTAAAGCTGCTCCTATGAAGATCACCAATAAGTTCCATAGTGTCATGTCCAATATAGACAATTCTCATTTCTTATTTTACCCATCAGAAAATTTTGACATAACTTATCACTTCTTCATTCATGCAACAGTAGGGACCAAGAGAAACTTCCCCTTCAGCCACTGAAAGTTTGCTAAAAAAATCAACCCACAAAAGGCAGATTGATTGGAGACAAGGCAAATTGTATAAATGTGTACACAGGGAGAATCACAGGGTGATTACACAACCTCCAACAGGGTTAAGAAGCTTATATACCACCCTGGCAAAATAGGCTATGGGAGGGAGTAGAAGAGGAATTCTATTGAGGGGATTACTAGGGAGAATGAATGGATCAGGGAACAGAGATGAACATGAACATTACCCTGTCAAAGGGTGTGTTCAAGCATGGTTACATTCTTGGTTTTTCAGGGAGGAGAAGAGACAGTTGTTTCTTTTAATGGGTCTGGATCTTAGGTTAAAAAAAAACGTTAACTTCATCTTTGGAAGACTCAGTTGGCAGGGGGTGGTGCCAGCGAGACCTTGAGGCTTCTTCAGTTTAACATGTCAAAACATATTTTGGGGTAGCAGTTTCTGAACCCCAACTAAATAACTTTCTTTACTTGGCTTCTAGGATTCCACCCTCTGATTCTATTTCTTTCTTTGTCACTCCTCATACTCTTCTGCTGGATCTATCTCATCTTCTTAACAATTCAATATGAGAGGATCTAGAGCTCAATTGTATGATGACTTTTTCTCTGACTCACTTCTTGGGAGACTTTTTTTTTTTTTTGAGATGGAGTTTTGCTTTCCCCCAGGCTGGAGTGAAGTGGGGCAATCTTGGCCCACTGCAACCTCTGCCCCCCGGGTTCAAGCGATTCTCCTGCCTCAGCCTCCCGAGTAGCCAGGATTATAGGCGCCTGCCACCATACCCCAATAATTTTTATATTTTTAGTAGAGACGGGGTTTCGCCACGTTAGCCAGGCTGGTTTCAAACTCCAGACCTCAGGTGATCCACCAGCCTCGGACTCCCAAAGTGCTAGGATTACAGGGGTGAACCACTGTGCTCGGCCTTCTTGGGAGATCTCTTCCAATCTTGTGGCTTTAAATATTCTATACAGTCTCAAATGTAACTATCTATCTCCAACACCTTCCCTGAATTCCAGGCTGCTTACTTGACATCTACACTCAGATATCTGTCTAGGACATCTCTCGAAGTTAACATTCAAAACCAAATGCCATGCCATAGTTTTTGTTGTTCTTGTTTTTGTTGTTGTTCTTGTTGTTGTTGTTGAGACGGGAGTTTCACTCTTGTTGCCCAGGCTGGAGTGCAATAGTGCGATCTTGGCTCACCGCACCCTCCACCTCCGGGTTCAAGTGATTCTCCTGCCTCGGCCCCCTCAGTAGCTGGGATTACAGACATGCACCGCCACAGCCAGCTAATTTCGTATTTTTAGTAGAGATGGGGTTTCTCCACGTTGGTCAGGCTGGTCTCGATCTCCCAACCTCAGGTGATCCGCACACCTTGGCTTCCCAAAGTGCTGGGATTACAGGTTTGAGCCACAGTTTTCAATTAAAAACTTCTCCTTTCTGGCCAGGCATGGTGGCTCACGCCTGTAATCCCAGCACTTTGGGAGGCCAATGCGGGTGGATCACAAGGTCAGGAGATCGAGACCATCCTGGCTAACACGGTGAAACCCCATCTCTGCTAAAAATACAAAAAATTAGCTGGGCGTGGTGTCAGGCGCCTGTAGTCCCAGCTACTTGGGAGGCTGAGGCAGGAGAATGGCGTGAACCCGGGAGGCGGAGCTTGCAGTGAGCAGAGATCACACCACTGCACTCCAGTCTGGGCGACAGAGCGAGACTTCGTCACAAAAAACAAAACAAACAAAAAAAAAACTGCTCCTTTCCAAAATTCCCTATCTCAGTAAATAGCACCAGCAAGGCCCTGCTGTTCGGGATACACATTTTGGAGCAACATCTATGCCTCTCTTTCTCTTATATCCCATCTGCAAATGTTGTCAACTCAGCCTTCAATATATGGTACCAAGCCCAACTCATCTTCCCCTCTCCACCATCCCCACCTTAGCCCAAACCATCATCACCATCTCTCTGCTTCCAATTGCCTCTCTGTAGTCTCTTTCCCACACAGCAAGAGTGACCCATTTAAACATAAATCAGATTGTTACCTCTGCTCATTACCTCTCTGCTCGAAGTCCTCCAATGGTTCCCACCCTTCTCAGAAAAATCTTTGCCACGAATTACGAGGCTGTACGTCTGGACAGGTTCCAGAGTTTTCCTTAGACTTTGCAAAAGTTATCTTAGAGCTGTCTCATTGTGCTGGGTGCAAATTTTGTTTTAAAGAGAAAGTTATCACATATTTTCTCAAAGAAGCATCTCTGAAGGCATGTAATATGTTTGAAATACTTATCTCATCATTAAAGCTTTAGTAAAATGAAAAATCTACCAGCCATGTTCTCTATACTCAGCGATTTTCCAGACTTCAACGCCCTGGAAGCAATGATTAAAGTTTTTCTTTGCCTTCAATTATCTGAAGGGTTGGGCTGCCCCTCCACACCTGTGGGCATTTCTCATCAGGTAGAATGAGAGACTTGGAAAAGAAAGAGACACACAGACAAAGTATAGAGAAAGAAAAATGGGCCCGGGGGACTGGCGCTCAGCATACAGAGGACCCGCGCCGGCACCGGCCTCTGAGTTCCCCTAGTATTTATTGATCATTATCAGGTGTTTCCTGGAGAGGGGGATGTGGCAGGACAATAGGATGATAGTGGAGAGAAGGTCAGCAGGTAAACACGTGAACAAATGTCTCTGCATCATAAACAAGGTAAAGAAAAAAGTGCTGTGCTTTTGATGTGCATATACATAAACATCTCAATGCCTTAAAGAGCAGTATTGCTGCCAGCATGTCCCACCTCCAGCCCTACGGCGGTTTTCCCCTATCTCAGTAGATGGAATATACAATCGGGCTTTACACTGAGACATTCCATTGCCCAGGGACAAGCAGGAGACAGATGCCTTACTCTTATCTCAAATGCAAAGAGGCGTTCCTTCCTCTTTCACTAATCCTCCTCAGCACAGACCCTTTACGGGTGTCGGGCTGGGGGACGGTCAGGTCTTTCCCCTCCCACGAGGCCATATTTCAGACTATCACATGGGGAGAAACCTTGGACAATACCTGGCTTTCCCAGGCAGAGGTCCCTGCGACCTTCTGCAGTGTTTTGTGTCTCTGGGTACTTGAGATTAGGGAGTGGTGATGACTCTTAACAAGCATGCTGCCTTCGAGCATTTGTTTAACAAAGCACATCCTGCACAGCCCTTAATCATTTAACTCTGAGGTGACATAGCACATGTTTCAGGGAGCACAGGGTTGGGGGTAGGGTTACAGATTAACAGCATCTCAAGGCAGAAGAATTGTTCTTAGTACAGAACAAAATGGAGTCTCTTATGTCTACTTCTTTCTACACAGACACAGTAACAATCTGATCTCTCTTTCTTTTCCCCACATTATCAAGTCAAACATCCTCTCTTCTGTGAAGGCTTCTCTTTGTGCACTGCCCTCCTACTCCATCCCCAGTCCCAGTACCCTGCAGAATAAAATGTTTCTATCTCTGTCTCCTTAGCTTTGTGTCCATACATAGATATTGAAAGGAAGTCTGTGGAACTTGTGTCTGCCTTGTATTACTACTGTGGAAGGGACAATAAATTTATTAACTCATATTTTTAAAATATGCATACATACTGTATTTAACCTAAGACTTTTTTCATATTTTAAAGACTGGAATTGAGATATGTCTTTCAATCTACATGTTTAGAAAGCATAACTTATCAGTTTTTTTTTCTTTCTTGGTGGTACATAAAATAATGGTACCTTAAAATTGATGCTATCTTACATTTTATTAAATATGGAATAGAAATCTTATGTGTCTGTGCTCCTCATTCTTTATAGCAAAAGTTTAATACATGACATCATTCCATATGACAGTTGATTATTTTTGCCACTACTGGGGCTCAAACCATAATACCCCAAAATATGATGTTTTGGCATGCTGAGTCTTTGGGGTTTGTTTGTTTTGAGATGGGAGTCTCACTCTGTCGTACAGGCTGGAATGCAGTACAGGCTGGAATGCAATGGCATGATCTGGGCTCGCTGCAACCTCCACCTCCTGGATTCCAGCAATTCTTATGCCTCAGCCTTACAAGTAGCTGGGATTACAGGCACCTGCAACCACACCCGGCTAATTTTTGTATTTTTAGTAGAGACGGGTTTTGCCATGTTGGCCAGGCTGGTCCTGAACTCCTAACCTCAAGTGGTCCACAACATTGGCCTCCCAAAGTGCTTGGCTCCCAAAGTGCTGGATTACAGGCATGAGGCACCACGCCCGGTGGCATGTTGAGTCTTTGAATTAAAGGAAATTAAAAGGGTCTCAGAAAGAAGCCTAAAAATCAAGGCCTCTCTCTCTCACCTTCCCCCTTCCTTTTGTCTCTCTGATACTCTTACTTTTTCCAAGCACCTGAAGGGGCTCTCTTTTCCTGCACAGCCAGATAAGGAATTTCCTTATCTGACAGAGAAAACTCTTTTCCAAAGAAATGCAATTGTCTTAAAACCCGTTCCTTAGGAATCGCATTAAATAATCAGAAGAGATTAATCACCCAGAGAAGAGACAAAAACTGAAAGTCATAGCCACACTGAGACTTTTCATAGATACTTCTGAGGGTAGCTCCAAGAGATTACCTGGGAAACTTTACCTGTATAATAGGACAATTTTTGTTCAGAGTGAAGTTTCACAGCTTGTCCACAAGCGATTGTTTGTACTTCTGTCCCACTGAATGTCCAAGGAGAATCATTTGCAAACCACTGTCTGGCTTTCGGGCCCATTCATACCTATCTCCCTCTACTCAACAAAGAAGGGTATACAAGCATCTGGACCTTAATTGAGTTATTGAGTAATCACTCTTCTGTGATTTTTCCCTATGCACGTTAAGCAAATTTTGTATGCCTTTTTCTCCTGCTAATCTGTCTACTTAGTTCATTCCAGCAACTTTCAGAGGGCAAAAGTAGGAGCTTTCCCTCTTGCTCCCTACACCACGTTAAATTTAAATATAAATTAAATGATGTGGGAATGGGTAACCTGCTCATTTCCAAACTGCAATTTTCATAGGTATGAAAATTCTCCACAAACTACAAAACCATGACACTCCAAGCGCCCAAGAACCTAGGTTGGACAGCTCACTTAGTGCAGGTAAACGTGCTCCACCCATCTCCCAGCCCGCCTGCCCCCTCACTTAGGTACAGGTGCAGGTACAGGTAGGCAAGCAAACGTCTATTGGCTGTGGACTTAACAGGCTCGCCCACAGGTACCTTCCGAGCATGCGTGGGGAAGTAGCACGCAGGCGCGGCACGCCCCGCGCATGCCTGGTGCACAGAGTCTGCAGGTCGGGCGGTAGCGACAGGTCAGAGCTGCGGCCTGAGCAGCCAGCGTCCGGCATGAAGGTCTGGGGTCTGGCTGCTGCCTGCTTCTTGCTCCAGCACCATGGAATGCCTGCGCAGTTTACCCTGCCTCCTGCCCCGCGCGATGAGACTTCCCCGGCGGACGCTGTGTGCCCTGGCCTTGGACGTGACCTCTGTGGGTCCTCCCGTTGCTGCCTGCGGCCGCCGAGCCAACCTGATTGGAAGGAGCCGAGCGGCGCAGCTTTGCGGGCCCGACCGGCTCCGCGTGGCAGGTACTGCCCTTCCCCGGCAACAGCCTTGGGACGCTGGTCTTGCAGTGACCTTAGACTGCTGCCCCAGCCGTCCGGCGCGGCGCGCCTGTTGCTCCGCGCCCTCCGCAGGCCTCGGCCTCCCGCGTGTCCTGTGAGCTTGCACAGGCCCGCGGGCCGAGCTGCGTCCCACTCGCTCAGAATGCGACCTTGCTATGTGCGCTGTGCCCTGCCGGGGTCCCAGCGGCCAACCCTCTGCCTTCTCCTCCACCGCCCTTGCTGCAGATTATGTAACCATAGGAACAACCTAGGAATCGTTTACAGACCGTGATCACGTTAGTTAACACCCGCTTAAGTGCTCTTGTAAGAGGTTTTTTCTGTGTTGTTTTTGAGACAGGGTCTTACTATGTTGCCCAGGCTGGACTCAAACTCCTTGCCTCGAGCCATCCTAACGCATTAGCCTCGCAAAGCGCTGGGATTACAGGCGTGAGCCACCACACCTGGCCGAGAGGTGTTTTTAAACAAGGATTTCATCTGTTCGGAAGTCATAAGTATAAATTAATACTTCCCTGTTTTCTGTTTCTTCGTTATGGACACATTTATACAGTTGTCCAGTTGCACGGAGATTGGGGACGCACCTAGAAGTGAGGCTAAAGACTGAGTTGTTTCTGAGAACGACTTACTTTCAACTACAGTACTCTATAAGTAAACAGCCAGGGAGATCGGATTGAGAAAAAAAAATCTTATTTGCTGTTTATTTTTTCACCAAATGTTGAAGCATGGTGAAAAGTTAAGATTTTCACAAATGTGAGTGCAAATATTTGAGGAATAAAAGGTATTGAAATGAATGACTTTATTAAGAACATAGCAGTGTCCTCAAATATGTTTTCTCAATTGTGCTCTCAAAAGCCTCCCAAAGTAACTCCTCGTCAGCACCTCATTCTCCACTTATTGGAGAGGCTAAGTTGGGTTACATGCTCTGCACCCTCAATTGATAATGCTTGGGAATCCAGTTTCAGCAAGTTGGAGGAAACTTTTAGGACAAGCATTGACGTTCACAATCTCAATCCCGGTTACACTCTAATTTGTGACATTAAAACATTGAAAGGCATTTGTAATCAGCAAATGCCTTTTACCTTTATTCATCTTACCCTTATAGTGATAATTTGTATTTTGTAAAAGGGAAATGAAACTTCAGATACTAACAAATTACAACAATCATTACGTGTATGTAGTAGAAAAAAGATCAGAAATAGGTTTTTTTTTCTACAGTCTCTGGAATCAGTGTAATTACTTTGGAAGCACAAAACAGTGTCCTCTGTCAGTCATTAAATGTACTTGATTATACTTCACCGCTCACTTCGACTCAGTCTAATCACGTTTTAAATAGACAATTTTAAAATAAAGATTTGTCATTTCAGCTCAGTGGGGGTATTTCATAAGTATTCACTATAAAGGATATCTGTAGAAAAGAAGTAAAATCATAGGTTTCATAATTTATGAGCCAGTCAACTGGAATGCTTGAAAGATCAGGTGGTACTTAGGACCTATGTTTTCTAAAATGTATCTACTACCAAATGTGCATGAAGAGTCTTTTAAATTATGCGAAAAGGAAGACCAGACATTTTCTTAAATCTCAGAACACGATGTTGCACATTTGTTCATCCAACTCTGAGATATCAGTAATAATTAGAAAGGTAAAAGGGTGATTGGAATCCATCAGTTATTTTAATGCCTCACCTAAGCCATTAGTTTTAAAAATCATTCCCTGCCAAACCTAAGATAGTCACTAACAGATGTTAAAATTAAGAAGAGTATTTCTTCTTTTCTTATAGGAAAAATATTTAAAAATAATAAAATAGTCTGAAGGCCTCCACATACTTTGAGAGTTGTATTTTAGCTCTATGTGAAAACCAATCATGTGACCACAGGAATTCTCTTAATTTATTCTTCAGGTGAAGTGCACCGGTTTAGAACCTCTGACGTCTCTCAAGCCACTTTAGCCAGTGTAGCCCCAGTATTTACTGTGGTGAGTATGTACAGTACATTGGAAATCGTACAGAAAGTGCTTCCCATACATAAGTTAACTCGTTGGACTGTTGGCCAAGATACTACTTATTTTGAGCTTTATAATCATCATAGCTACATGTCGTGGCTGTTGTGCCTGGCCAGTGACCTAAGTGCCTGCTAGATTTGCTTAACAATGATCTTGAACCTTTGCTAATGACTGCAGCTCCCCTTTTAATACTAGAACAGGTCAATCACAATTCAGAGCCATAAAGAGGCTTGAACCTATGTTCTGCAAGATAATACGCAGGCAGAAGCATTTTGAAGGCAGCAGAGAGTAGTATTTAAAAATGCATGCTTTGAAAGGTCATGATCTCTAACTTTTCTCTGAAATGGTTCGGGGGTGGGGATGAGGGGGGAAATGAATGAATAAGATAATGTATCACACGTATTTTTAGAGAAAGAAGGCTGTTGGGGCAAAATGTTAACAAAGGTGACTCTAGGTGAAAGCTCTATGGGAATTGGTTGTAATATTCTTGCAACTTCTTTGTAGGCTTTTTTTTTTTTTCCAAAAAAAAAAAAAGTCTTGATAAAAAGGTGTGCCGGCCGGGCGTGGTGGCTCACGCCTGTAATTCCAACACTTTGGGAGGCCGAGGTGGGCAGATCATGAGGTCAGGAGATTGAGACCATCCTGGCTAACACAGTGAAACCCCATCTCTACTAAAAATACAAAAAATTAGCCAGGCCTGGTGGTGGGCGCCTGTAGTCCCAGCTACTTGGGAGGCTGAGGCAGGAGAATGGCATGAACCCAGGAGGCGGAGCTTGCAGTGAGCCTGGATCATGCCACTGCACTCCAGCCTGGCAGACAGAGTGAGACTCCATCTCAAAAAAAAAAAAAAAAAGGTGTGCCTATTCTGAGCCAGACTTCCTAAATTCCAATCTCACTCTGCCTCTTATTGACTAGGTGGCCTTGGACAAGTTACAATAACATCTTTGTGCCTTAGTTTTCTCATCTGAAAACTGAGCATAACCTACCATATAGAATTGTTATGAGGATTAAATTAACTCATATATAGAAAGCCCTTAAACTAGTGCCTCACATATAGTAAGCCTCAAATATATTTCATTAGGATTATTTAGGCTTGTTAACATAAGAGCTTTTCTTTATAAACTATATAAAATTAAATAACCCCCAGAATTGCGTTTAAAAGTTACCACTGTTATTCATTGTTCTGGAAGAGTTGGCCAATTTAGTTAAGAATACAAAATCAGGGCCAGGCACGGTGGCTCACGCCTGTAATCCCAACACTTTGGGAGGCTGAGGTGGGCATATCATTTGAGGTCAGGAGTTTTAGACCAGCCTGACCAACATGGTGAAACCCCGTCTCTACTAAAAAACAAAAAAATTAGCCAGGCGTGGTGGTGCACGCCTGTAGTCCCAGCTACTCAGGAGGCTGAGGCAGGAGAATCGCTTGAACCTGGGAGGTGGAGGTTGCAGTGAGCCAAGATTGCACCACTGCACTCCAGCCTGGGCAACAGAGCAAGACTCTGTCTCAAAAAAAGAATACAAAGTCAAACGTGAAATACTGAAAGTTAGTTCTTTGCAGGTGAAATAATTGCAAAGAACACTTAAGAAATTCATAAAGCTATGGAATCTGAGAAAGAAAAATTTAATTTGTGCTGTTTGAAATAGTTTAGAAAGTGAGCTGGTTACAAAGTAAATATTTTTTTCTTTATAATTTGTATGATTTAAAAAATTTTTTTAAGTTCCATTAAAGAAAAAAAGGGTACATATAAATATTGAGATGCAAAAATATTCAGCATATGTTGCTAATTTGGAAGGAGGGAGACTGCAAAGCAGTATGTATAAGTATGTTTTATTAGGAAAATGTTTGGAAGGATATTCAGTGAAATATTGACATGGTTTTCTCTAAAATTTGTCATTTCAGGTGATTAATATAGTTTTATGTTACGTATATTTATTTTCAAATTTTCTGCAGTGGGTTTATGTATTTGTGAAATATAAGGCTGAAAGCTAGACTATTACACAAATATAAAGCTTTCTTTGATATAAATTTTCCTTTAATGTTCTATGGAACTTATATATTCATATTAATTTTATTTTTGCTGATGAGAAGCAAGATAAAATATATATATTGTGAGTTTTTATTGTGTGATTAACACAGCATGTATATTTCCATGGTAGTAACCCAAGACCTATATTGTACTTAAACCTGTATGTTGGAGTGTCTTTCTGAAATGTGTCTGTCGTAGTAAGTAGTACAGCTCAGCACATAGTGATTCATTAAATGTTTCACAGCTTCAAACTTGACTGTGGATAAACATCACTGAAAGATAGTCCCCTACTTTGCAGGAAATAGGTGCATTTTCTGTATCAAATCCTCTCTTCAAACTATCAGAAGGGGTTCTGTAAATCTTTATTGATTCTGCAACACCCACCAAAGAGACTTTGGCCTCATGTAGACATTTAGATTCACAAGGCGGGCCATACTTGGTCCCAGTCTACTCAGAAGGATAAGGGACAGGAGAAACAACAGGGTAGTGTTAGGTGTTTCCTCTTCAAAAGAAGTCTTTGCAGCCATCCAGGGGCTTCTCTGGTCCTCTGAGTGATCGCTCAGTGACAAGGAGATAAGATTCTCAAAGGTGGATGTGAGATTCATCTTGGCTCGAATCCCCATGCCCCGTAGTGACAGTATCCCTTGTAACCATCGCAGGGGCACAGTGTCCAGGATTCTGGCTGGGAACATGGCCACAAGAGCCACCACAATCAGGAAAGGGCAAAGAGAGCTATTGCTTTTCACCTGATAACTGTAATTTGTTCGTCTTCCCAGTCCAGTGCAGTCTACCAGTCAATGGTCATTTTTACCATAAGGATTGTTACCTAGTAACAACACAACTGATACTCCTTTATCAACTTTCTAGAGGAACCAAGATAGAAAGTTAAACCCAGGTCTGATTTTTCCTATCAAAGGAAAAAAGGATTTTAAAAAAACCCTTAACTCATAACTGGATTTAATCTAAAGAAGGTCAGTAATGGTTTATATTTGCATTTCAACATTTTGGGGATATTACTTACAATACCATAAATTCTTAACTAAATTAGCAATACCATAAGTAGCATTCTAATTTGAAAGAAAATCATAATTTGTTTTATTCTCTATTTTCAGACAAAATTTGACAAACAGGGAAACGTTACTTCTTTTGGTGAGTGATTAGCATTCTAAATCATTTTTTAAACATTTAATGAGTGAATCTGATAGAAATCAAGAAATTGTAGTATTTTGAGTAAAATATTCTTTGCATATACAGGTGTGTTGAAAGAGATCTTTCTTCAGCATTTGTCCATCAGTCTTAATTGGAGCTGGCAATACTCAGACTGTGTGTATTCTCCCAGAATTGTTTTCTTCTAGCAGGAGCCACTTTTTGCTCTAACAGGCTATTGAAGGAATATTTGGGAGAGCAGAGGCTGGTGTAGAACTGGAGCCCAGAGACACACTCTTTTTCTCTTTTGTCTCTCTTGTTGGCGTCCCTTTCACTGCCCTCATTCATTCTCCTGAAGCATGTTTAAGGCAGAGTCACATAATACCACTGACATTGCAGTGGGTGACAAAAGATGAACAGGGCCATGTCACTGCATGGCAGCCACATGGAACTCTGCTGCTGATGGCTCTCTGTGGACAGCTACTTTAAAAAGTGAGACTAGGCATTACTTTACAGTGTGACTTCAGATGTGAGTTTCACATCTCCCTTGAGAATGAATCAGTCTCAGGTAATAAATTCAGCTTTTCTCATTTTTGTATTAGTCTAAGAACAAAGAAAATCAAGCTTATCTGTTCACATATATAAAATACTGAAGATGATGTTGTAGTAAAAATAGAAAATATAGTTGTGTACAGTTTATATTTAAGAGAGATAACCTGTCTCTAGAGCTGGACATTTATAGGTTCTAATGATGCATAGTTGTGGTTTCTGTATTAGTCTCAAGGGTCTTCTAAGTAGTGAGAAAGTTATGAGGTATAGATAAGAAAATCATTAGTTTGACTCTATTTAGCCCGAGTATGTTTTCTAGGTAAAAATGGATATTAAAAGACTTAATTTTAGTTTTTGTTTCTGGTAGTAACCAAAAATTGTCTTGATGGTGGTGGGAGGACTGCTCTGATGGAAAAATCTAAGCCATTTAATGTATTTGGTTTAGCCCTCTCTGTTTATTTCTTTTATAGAAAGGAAGAAAACTGAATTATACCAAGAGTTAGGTCTTCAAGCCAGAGATTTGAGATTTCAGCATGTAATGAGTATCACAGTCAGAAACAATAGGATTATCATGAGAATGGAGGTAAAATATTTTATTTTCATCTATGTTTCTCCAATACAATCTTATAAAAGTTACCTTCTAACTATCTTGATTAGTATCTAGGTTAAAAGTAATTTTGGAATAGAAATAGCTACCTGAAACATAGGATGTTTTATAGCTTAATATGCTATTATGAGTAGAACTCATTTTATATGGATTATATGCACATGTTCAATAGGCATAACACTGCTGTGTTTTAAGTTGGAAAAGCTCTGACTGTGGTGTTCATTCTCACTGTTGGGATTTACTCTCTAGTTCTGGAAACTATAAGACAATCCTGATTTATAATAGATATATATCCAATTGTGTACAGTTACATGTAATTATAGTATAACCTGAGCTACCAAAAATGTATTCTGGCTTTCTAAATAGCACAGGAATAGACATTAAATTTTATAGCCTTAATTTTTTTTTTGAGATGGAGTTTTGCTCTTGTTGCCCAGGCTGGCACGATCTTGGCTCACTGCAACCTCCACCTCCCAGGTTCAAGCAATTCTCCTGCCTCAGCCTTCTGAGTAGCTGGGATTACAGGCATAAGCCACCAAACCCAGCTAATTTTGTATTTTTAGTAGACATGGGGTTTCTCCATGTTGGTCAGGCTGCTCTGAAACTCCCGACCTCAGGTGATCCACCTGCCTCTGCCTCCCAAAGTGCTGGGATTACAGGCATGAGCCACCGTGCCTGGCCAGTTTAAATTTTTTTAATGGAAAACTTTCTGAAATATATTGTATTTTCCCTTACCTATTCAGAGCATGCCAAATAATAATTTGACTTTCTTTAGTGATTCAGAGTTAATGTGGGTTTCAGTTATTTTGGTGGGCTAATGTTTAGGTTCAAAAATAGATGAATGGTATTGGCCCTGTAGTGGGTATGAGACTTTCTTCAAAGAGTCTTTGATGGCAGATTTTTGTTCATTTTTCTAGAACTAATCAAAATAATAAAAAATGGGCCAGTATTGGTAGCATGTGCCTTTAGTCCCAGCTACTCAGGAGGCTGAAGTGGGAGGGTCACCAGAGACCAGGAGTTTGTGACCAGCCTAAGCAACATAGCAAGATCCCATCTCTAAAAATAAATAAGTAAATAAAAAATACTTTATCAAAAATGAAGCAGTCTTCTCCCATGTGATTTTCTTCAGAAATATTCTCTACTCTTGGAATCAGTAGCTAGCATTCTTCAAAACAGTGTCTCTTTCATGGAGAGACAGACAGGTATGTGAAAAAGCAAATTCAGCAGAATGATAATTGTGTAATCTAACTGGTGGGTATATGGTGTTCACTGCAATCTTTCAACTTTTCTGTATAAAAATTTTCATGAGGCTAGGTTGTGGTGGCTCACATCTGTAATCCCAGCACTTTGGGAGGCCGAGAGGGGTGGATCACCTGAGGTCAGGAGTTCGAGACCAGCCTGACCAACATGGTGAAACCCCGTCTCTACTAAAAAATACAAAAATTAGCCAGGCATGGTGGCGGGTGCCTGTAATTCCAGCTACTCAGGAGGCTGAGGTAGGAGAATAGCTTGAACCCTGAAGGTGGAGGTTGCAGTGAGCCGAGATTGCCCCACTGCACTCCAGCCTGGGTGACAGAGCAAGACTTCCATCTCAAAAAAAAAAAAGAAAAAAAAATTCATGATAGAATGTTGGAAAAATGTAAAAATAGAAAATTATCTCTAATTTCTATATCACTGATAAAGTGGCTACCTTTATCTACTTTTAACATACAAGATAACCAGTCTTTTTAGAAAAAATTCTAATTTCATATTGTTCTAAATTAGAGTAGTAAGGCTATGTTTCATCTTAATTTCAGATTTTGTTTATATGCTTTAGTGGTGTTTTAAAAAGGAAACTTCCATTTGTGCCAAACTAATTATGATTAAACTAAATCTTTTCTAAAAGTCTGCTCAATACCTGACTTTTAGGAAGACCTTATCTTGTTCCCTTTATTTATTTATTTATTTTTTCCAAAAAAGAAAGACGGAGTCTCGCTCTGTCGCCAGGCTGGAGTGCAGTGGCACAATCTCAGCTCACTGCAAACTCCGCCTCCCAGGTTCAAGCGATTCTCCTGCCTCAGCCTCTGAAGTAGCTGGGACTACAGGTGTGGGCCACCACGCCTAACTGATTTTTGTATTTTTAGTAGAGACGGGGTTTCACCATGTTGGCCAGGATGGTCTCGATCTCTTGACCTCATGATCCACCTTCCTCAGCCTCCAAAAGTGCTGGGATTACAGGCATGAGCCACCATGCCCGGCTTTCTGGGGGTATTTTTTGGTGTTTTTTTTTTTGTTTTTGTTTTTTTTTCATGATTACCCCAGAAGTCTTAGTAAATATATAATTTATGTGAATAATTCCAGTTTTATTGAGAGTGAGTTAGCAGTATCAAGACATATATTTTTTAAGTTTCTTTTCTTTTGAAAAAAAAAACCTTGATTTTTTTGAAAAACAAAAATGAACACTGATTTGGTTTAGTCTTAATCCACAATTAGTAAAGTATTAAACCAAATTTTATGAATGTTCTTTTTTCCTACAGCTCTACAATTTGCATATATATATGTATGTATACATATATATGTATATACATGCATGTGTGTATATACACTCACATATTTATATGTTTTGGTTTTTTTTTTTTTAACAGTATTTGAAAGCTGTGATAACTCCAGAGTGTCTTCTGATATTAGATTATCGTAATTTAAACTTAGAGCAATGGCTGTTCCGGGAACTCCCTTCACAGTTGTCTGGAGAGGGTCAACTCGTTACATACCCTTTACCTTTTGAGTTTAGAGCTATAGAAGCACTCCTGCAATATTGGGTAAGTCTGTTTTTATTTAGCTTCTTGGGTTTATTCTGATTTTGAAATGTCATTGAGTGGGAAGACAAGTTGGGGTATTGTTTCAATGGCATGTCCCCTGACCACATCCTGCCCCGAAACAAGTCGTCTCTAAGGATCCTACATGGAGATATCACTTAATTCTTAAATGTTATGACCCAGTCAAATAGAACTAAAGACTCTATGTATATTATAAAAATGCTTGACATGTGATAATTATTTTATTAAATCATTTCATCAAGTCATTTTTTGATTTGTTTGTACAATCCTTTGTTTGAGCCAGGTAAATGATGCATCTTTTTGAGACCTAGATTGACATAGGAATCACGCACAGTTCTTCCAGTGACTCCTCCTTTAAATTAAGAGTCCTTAGATGTCTGAGACTCCTGTCAGGCTCTAAACAAGGGTGGTTCTCTGCTTCCCTGACCCCACAAATCTTTCATTATCTTTTCTTCCTCCTGTTAAGTCAGGATGGTACTGTTCAGGAACTGGCTACATGCAAGAGTTGGTGCTGGGAGCATACTAACCAGAGTGGGAGGAGGAGAGAGGGTAGAGAGGACATGAGGTGCATTGGGTTGGGTGAACCTGGCACACTTTTCTTTTGTCTGCCTTGCTCTGAAAGAATAGATGGCTACACTTCCTGCTTGGGGTAATTAATGAGCACCAGCTAGCACCAGCCAGTGAGATGATAAGTAGTGGGAGCCCAGTTACCAAGCAGGGGGAAAGCAGAAGAGAGAAAGAAGATGTAAACAGTGGTAAGTCATGGGCTCCACAGGCTGGGTAAGCTCTCAGGAGCTCATGCTGTTAGGAGAAAGACAGGGATCTTAAAGGGAGCAGGAGGGGAAGGAGAGAGGCTAGGCTGGCATGGGTCTCCGGCCTAGAGATTGGCTGTGGGGAGAATAGAGAGGGAGTTCAGGATGTCTGCTGGGATACACATTCTTCTTCCTTTAAATGGGGTCCCAGGAAGATTTCCTTACGAAACAACACTACATAGAAGCAAGACCAGCCACCTCTCAAAAGGGATAAGTTTTCGAACAAGGGAAAGCTCCCCAAACCCACCTAAGGGACCAAGACATACCATGAGTAGATATGCCTCACAAATACCCTATCTGTGACCCTCAGCAGCCTCCCCAACCACTACAAAAGTCCACACCTTGCTGAGCAGAGGGTTTGATATCTCTTAGATTAAAAGATGTGGTCTGCCTATTTGGCTGTCCAGTCTTCCCTCCCACCCAAGGACTTCTTAACCCGGAAGCAGTTCCTCTGGAGACGAAATAAACAACATGTCTGCAGAGGCACTGTGACTCTGGACTTGTTTCCAAATAAAAAAATCTGTTTCACAGTAATTGTGCTTCTGAGATAAAGACTATATGCTGTAATTTACGTCATCAGTTTTACCGCTTGATTTAGTTAGTATATGCTATTTGCCAACTGGCATGGAAGTGTTTCAGTATTTTAACAACTATATAGCAGGATTAGTGCATACCTGCCGAATATCAAATATCAAACCATACTTGTGTTAACCTAAATAGTCTATTTTTGACTTTACTCTGATATGTTTATGTTTTAAAGCTCAAGTTTTTATTTTCAAAGAGCTTTGTAGGAATTTTGAACCATATTCTGTTTACAGAGAACACAGGTATTACTGAAAGCTTGTGTTTTAATAATAGCAGATTTTATTTTACTTGATCCCTCATTACTTCATAATGAATGTCTATAGGAGAAAGACTTTTTTTTTTAAATTTTTTTAGTATTTATTGATCATTCTTGGGTGTTTCTCGGAGAGGGGGATTTGGCAGGGTCATAGGACAATAGTGGAGGGAAGGTCAGCAGATAAACATGTGAACAAGGGTCTCTGGTTTTCCTAGGAAGAGGACCCTGCCGCCTTCCGCAGTGTTTGTGTCCCTGGGTACTTGAGATTAGGGAGTGGTGATGACTCTTAACGAGCATGCTGCCTTCAAGCATCTGTTTAACAAAGCACATCTTGCACCGCCCTTAATCCATTTAACCCTGAGTGGACACAGCACATGTTTCAGAGAGCACAGGGTTGGGGGTAAGGTTATAGATTAACAGCATCCCAAGGCAGAAGAATTTTTCTTAGTACAGAACAAAATGGAGTCTCCTATGTCTACTTCTTTCTACACAGACACAGTAACAATCTGATCTCTCTTTCTTTTCTCCACATTTCCCCCTTTTCTATTCGACAAAACCGCCATCATCATCGTGGCCCGTTCTCAATGAGCTGTTGGGTACACCTCCCAGACGGGGTGGCGGCTGGGCAGAGGGGCTCATCACTTCCCAGACGGGGCGGCCGGGCAGAGGTGCCCCTCACCTCCCGGACGGGGCGGCTGGCCGGGCGGGAGGAGAAAGACTCTTACGAGAGTTAGCTCCTTGTCAACCAAATCTGTGCCTAAAGATAACATCATACATAGTTCTTTGAACCCAGAGGATCTAGTTTTTGAATCATCTGGAATAGGCATTCTAGAATTATCTATGTTCTGAAATGTTACCAGCATTTCAAGCTACTACAGATTTCTGTATTTAATCAGAGGATTCACTGATCCTGAATATTCTAAAAAGATTGTTTTAATTCTTATGAAAGGTCATGTTGTTATCTAGATCAACACCCTTCAGGGGAAACTTAGCATTTTGCAGCCACTGATCCTTGAGACCTTGGATGCTTTGGTGGACCCCAAACATTCTTCTGTAGACAGAAGCAAACTGCACATTTTACTACAGAATGGCAAAAGGTAAATATGGATGATGTATCACATTGGGAGTTGGAGACAAATATCTTAAAATCAATTATTAACATTTTGTTTCATAACTTTTTTTAAAGTATGAAAGTAGCCTAGGTGGGAAGTTGAGCTAAAAGGGGCACACAATCTACTGTTTGTTGAAAAGATACTTTGCATGAAATGTCATGTAAGGCTCTTTTCCGTATGTGATCTCATCTCATCACCCATTCAATAGTTGATATTGTCTTCATTTTGAAGATGAGAAAATTGAGGTTTGAGTAACTTGCCTAAATTTATATGGCTAGTAAATGGCAGATCTAAATCCAAATTCAAAGTCCATGTTGTTCTTTTTCTTTAAAATCATAATGCATTCCAGAATTTAATAACAATATTATATATGTATCATAAATAGAATAAACATGCTCTCAGGAGTTATACTCCCGAAATCCCTTCAAGAATTAACATTTAAAATTCCTGAATCAGTAGTTTCTTATCCAAAAATGTTGGAGTGTTTTTATCAGTTAAGAGTAACTAGTCTGTTCTATATTATCACTGCCATGTTGATTAATAAAATTCCCAAACCAAAAATCTTAAATTCACAAGCGATTTATGTTTCTGAGATAAGTAATGTATGATGAAATTTATATCACTGATAATTTTACCAATTAATTTAGATCTGGTTTGGGTTTTTTGTGGGTGTTTTTGAGACAGGGTTTCACTCCGTTGCCCAGGCTGGAGTGCAGTGGTGCAGTCTCAGCTCACTGCAGCCTTGGTTTGGGTTTTTTGTGGGTGTTTTTGAGACGGGGTTTCACTCCGTTGCCCAGGCTGGAGTGCAGTGGTGCAGTCTCAGCTCACTGCAGCCTTAACCTTCAGCAATCCTCCCACCTCCACCACCCAAGTAGCTGGGACTGCAGGCACATGCCACCATGCCCAGCTAATTTTCTAAATTTTTTTGTAGAGACAAGATCTCACTGTTGTCCAGGAGGGTCTCAAACTCCTGAGCTCAAGCAATCCTCCTGCCTTGGCCTCCTAAAGTGCTAGGATTACAGGCGTGACACCATGCCTGGCCAAATTGATTCTTAATTTGCCTGGTAAATACTCAACTTTTTTTTTTTTTTTAAATAAGTCATTGTTTAGCATGAATGTATAAGATAATATATTTGATAAGATACTCTAAAAACACTATTATGAAATGTTCTTATAAGTTTATTCTATTGATCATTTTTGTGTATCTATTTCTTATAGTCTATCAGAGTTAGAAACAGATATTAAAATTTTCAAAGAGTCAATTTTGGAGATCTTGGATGAGGAAGAGTTGCTAGAAGAGCTCTGTGTATCAAAATGGAGTGACCCACAAGTCTTGTAAGTATATAATTATACTTTGTTATTTATTTCCTTAGAGTAAATCTTTTGCCTTTTCCACTTCAAGGTGATTTTTCATACAGAATGTAACATTTTTCTGGACTACAGAATATAGAGATTTTTCATCCCCAGTTTCCCTTTTTTCCTGTGCAGTATCGTATCTAATTCAATGTAATTCTATGAGTATGCATACTGCATACCCAACACTGCTGACATGTGGTGAATATAAACACACAGTTACCTTTATATTCAAGGGACTGACCACCAGATTGGCATATACATCTACCAAAATAACTTACCTAGGAAGCAGAGTGGGAGAGAAATTTACATGGGGGAGGGAAAAGATGGGGTAAATACACGAGTAACACATTAACATGGATTATGTAAGTTCAGTCTAATGAAAATGTTAATCTTATAAACCTTTTATCTTTTATGAATTTAGAAATTGTTTATGCTTCTTGTGCACACTCCAGCTAAATGTTTACTTTTAAATACCCAAATATTTTGTTATTGTCTTTCTAGAGCAGTATCAGAAATTAATACACCTTTGTAATGAGTTTAGTTTCCACAGTCTGTACAGATTTTCTTACAGCACTTTGAAAAATTGGTTATTTATATCCTGATAAGGAAATAATAAGATAAAGGGGGCTATATAACATTTGGTAGATAGCCGATAGGTATGGTAGCAGAAACTGTTTGCTTTGCTTAGGCCAATCTGTCAATCTGTCTCTAATATGCTTTATGATACAGGTACCTCTTCAGAGTACTTCATTCCCCCTTACCCTTCTTGGTAGGGTAGGGGAGCAAAGTTATTACTGATATCATTCAAAAACATTTTCTTTATATGAAATCACATTATGTACACACCTCAAAAGGAAATGGTCTTGACATTTTTAGTTGTGGATTTTGTTTTACCTGATAGTGGTATTGGCTTTGCACTAATTCATCTGCATTCACATATCTGGATTTTCCTGTAACTGGCAGCATGTATCTGCATAAAAATCTCTTGGATTGGGGCCATGTAATACAGTGACACCAACTGGTCTACATAAGGATGGAACCTCTGTCCTCAACTCATCTGTAAAGTGTTTTGGATCAGTTGACATAGGTACTCACAGATTGGCCACAACAATAGAAAAGACAAAGGCAGCCAGGCGCTGTGGCTCATGCCTGTAATCCCAGCACTTTGGGAAGCCGAGGCAGGCAGATCACAAGGTCAGGAGTTCGAGACCAGCCTGTCCAATATGGTGAAACCCCATCTCTACTAAAAATACAAAAATTAGCTGGGCGTGGTGGCGGGCACCTGTAGTCCCAGCTACTGGGGAGGCTGAAGCAGGAGAACAGCTTGAACCTGGGAGGCAGAGGTTGCAGTGAGCCGAGATCGCGCCACTACACTCCAGCCTGGGAGCAGAGTGAAACTCCATCTCAAAAAAAAAAAAAGACAAGACAAGACAAAGGCTAGCTTTTCCACTGGTAGCTGAATGCTATATACTAATTTAGGAAGTTTTTGTCACTAAGTATATGATACACATGTTGGGAGTATGTTAATTATTTTCTCTTTTAATTGAAGTGAAAAGAGCAGTGCTGGGATTGACCATGCAGAAGAGATGGAGTTGCTGTTGGAAAACTACTACCGATTGGCTGACGATCTCTCCAATGCAGCTCGTGAGCTTAGGGTGCTGATTGATGATTCACAAAGTATTATTTTCATTAATCTGGACAGGTAAGAAAGCATTATATAAAACTAAGTTTTTTTAATAAAATAATTATAAGAAAGTTTTTAAGGAAATATTTTGTGAGGAATTACGCCATCATTATCATCTATACTACATTATTATTATTTTTTTTGTTGTGTAGGTTTCATCCATGTGGTCTGTATAGATTTGATGAATGTGCTGTATATAGTTAGTGGGCCCTTCTAATCTGAATAGGTGTTCTCCTCTCCAGCCACCGAAACGTGATGATGAGGTTGAATCTACAGCTGACCATGGGAACCTTCTCTCTTTCGCTCTTTGGACTAATGGGAGTTGCTTTTGGAATGAATTTGGAATCTTCCCTTGAAGAGGTGAGAATGTATTATTATTTCTAAAACTTGGGGGTTTTGGCCGGGCATGGTGGCTCATGTCAGTAATCCTAGCACTTTAGGAGGCTGAGGCAGGTGGATCACCTGAGGTCAGGAGTTTGAGACCAACCTGGCCAACATGGCGAAACCCTGTCTCTACTAAAAATACAAAAATTAGACAGGCACGGTGGCAGGCACCTGTAATCCCAGCTACTTGGGAGGCTGAGGCAGGAGAATCACTTGAACCCGGGAGGCGGAGGTTGCAGTGAGCTGAGATCGCGCCGTTGCACTCCAGCCTGGGAGACAGAGTGAGACTCTGTCTCCAAAAAAAAAGATTGGGTTTTGAAGATCGATATTTTTAATGGATTTAAAAAATAAAGGCTGGGCACCTTGGCTCAACGCCTGTAATCCCAGCACTTTGGGAGGCTGAGGCAGGTAGATCACGAGGTCAGGAGATCGAGGCCATCCTGGCTAACCCGGTGAAACCCTGTCTCTACTAAAAATACAAAAAATTAGCCGGGCGTGGTGGCAGACGCCTGTAGTCCCAGCTACTCCGGAGGCTGAGGCAGGAGAATGGCATGAACCTGGGAGGCGGAGCTTGCAGTGAGCCAGGATCACACCACTGCACTCCAGCCTGGGCGACAGGACAGAGTGAGACTCTGTCTCAAAAAATAAATAAATAAAAAGTCTAACCTGTAAACTACCATGGTGAAATAAAATATATAATGTAACTCACAATTCAGGCAGTACTGTTGGACCATGTTATAACCTAGATAAATACAGCCTAGGTTACTTTGTTTCCCAAAACATATAATTACAGATGGGAAAGGTGTGATAAAACAGTGTCTCTGTGAAGCAGTGTTAATGAAGAGTTTTTATTTTTTAATTCTTACATGTCTGGCAACGTACCAGGCGGTTTGCATACTTTATTTGGCTCAATCATTGCAACTCTGAAAATAGATATATTATCCCTACTTTGTAGATGAGAAGACTGAGGCTCAGAACATTTAACTTGCCCACAGGCATAGAGCTGGAAAAATAACAGAATTAGGACATGACCCCAAAGACTTGCACTTTCTACTGCTCTGTTGCCTTTCTGTATTAAGATAATACTTAACTCCCAGAGTTTTTCATTTCACTGTGGTTTTGTACAGTCATCCCTCAGTATCCAAGAAGAATTGGTTACAGGATCCCCACAGATACCAAAGTCTGTGGGTATTCAAGTCTCTGATATAAAATGACCCAGTACAGTCAACCTTGCATATCTGCAGATACAGAACCCACTGACTGTGTTTTCACAGAATAGCTTATTGTAAGTTTTCTAGAACTGAACCTGGATGTGCATCTGGCACAGTGTGATGCTGGATTCTGTGTCCTCATTAGTCTAACGAGTCTACTCTGTTGCCCACATCACCTCCCATTAGGACCACTATGCCCTTTTAAAAAGTGGTCTTTATAAGATGTAAGTATTATGACACCCTTCTGCATACAACTATTCAATGGCTTTTGATTAGCCTTAGGATAAAAATCCCGTCCTGCCGCACCGACTTGTCCATCTTGTGGGTAGCCACTTGTTACTACCTCTCTCAGTGTCCTTCCCAGACATGCTGCTTCCACTCCTCTCCCCTCAGATCCCCGTTTTGCTTAGTTACTTCCTCCTCATCTTTCAGGTCTCAAAGTAGTTGTCCCTTCACTGAATGCACCGACAACCTGGCCCAGTAAAGTTACTTTGTCGTCTGCGCCCAAATAATCCTACCCTTCCATCTGCTACATTCCTTAAATCTGCAATCCCTTGTTCAAAGCCTGCAAAAGAGCATGAGCTCCTTGAAGCAAAGACAGTATTAGTCATTTTTAATGTAAAGTATAAAAGAAAAGGAAATACATGTGTTCATTCATCTCACAAATACGTTTTTTTATTGCCTGTTATATACCAAGCACTGCTTTAGGCCCATTTAGCAGTGAGTCTGCCCTTGCGTAGGTTATATTGTAGTGGAGGAGAGAGTTCATAAACAAACAAAGTATGTTAAGTGCTAAGTGCCTCAGAGAAAAATAAAGCCAGAGAAGCGGATAGAGAATGTTAGGCAGTAGGATGTGTGGCATTTTAGAGATAGGGTGGTCAAGGAAGATGTAAGGCGGTAACACCCTGGTGGAGGCAGGAAGATCTGGGGGAGAGTGTTCTAAGTAGAGGGAACCACAGAAGTAAAGATTGAGGCAGGAACGATCTGAGCTTGTTCATGAAATGGCAAGAAGGTTGGAATGGTTAGAAGAGCATGAGTCAGGTGGAAAATGAGGTCCCAGATGCAGATAAGTATGATCATGTCAGTGACGTAGAGCGTGGTAGGGGTTTGGATTTCTAAGTGGGATAGGAACCCACTGGAGGTTTGAACTCAAATCTAGATCATTGGAAAGTTCAGAAGCAAGCAGAATACCTTGTGCAACATAATCCAGCCATTGACATTCTCAAAAGATACATCCAAAGACCTTTACAGATTCCCTAAGTGTGACTACAGGACTTTCTCTACAAGTCCCTGTCTTTTCTCTAAATACATAATCATGTTTATGTATATATACTCAATCTACAAGCTAACTCCATTTTATACTTTGATATTTTTCTCTCACTTAATTGCCAACTTTTCAAAACAATGGAAGATTTTTCAAATTCCTTTCTTATAGTTTTAGTATGTGCAATCCTAGGTACAGCACAGCCCATTTGTAATGAGATAAGAGTGGTAGGTGGTAGTGAGCTACGCTTGCTCAGTAGTAGGCTGAAAAGATTCAAATTAATGTCTTATCAGAATTACAAATTACACATCTTTGTAGGTGTCCTGAAGAATAGTTGAAAACATTAAATCCATGGATGTCAAATGTCTTTATTTCGATATAGTTAAAATTAATATTTGCCATGGTGAATCTGAGATAGGAAAAATATTTTAAGATAATTTCAGACTTCTGGAAAAGTTCCAAGAATAGTCAAAGAATTTCCATTTTCTTAAACCAGATTCCAAATATCAACATTTTATCACATTTGCTTTATCATTTCTTTGCTAGCATACTTTATTCTCTAAATTATTTGAGACTAAGAACAAATGTGATGTTCCTTTACTCCTAAATGTCTTAATACGTATTTCCTAAAACATGGACATCCTCTTACATAACCACAGTGCAGCTATCAAAATCAGGAAGTTAATACTGAAGTTATTTTCCAATCTAAAGACCCTACTCAGATTTTGCCACTTATCTCAGTAGTGCTTTTTATCACAAAGAAAATCTTAGATCACATATTGCATATAGGACTGGGGGTTGTGGTTCACACCTGTAATCCCAGCACTTTGGTAGGCCAAGGTGGGCAGATCACTTTAGGCCAGGAGTTCGAGACCAGCCTGACCAACATGGTGAAACCCCATCTCTACTAAAAATACAAAAATTAGCTGGGCATGGTGCCGCACACCTGTAATCCCAGCTACTCAGGGGGGCCGAGGCACAAGAATCGCTTGAATCAGGTAGACGGAGGTTGCAGTGAGCCAAGATTGAGCCACTGGACTCCATCCTGGGTGAAGAGCAAGACTCCATCTCAACAACAACAAAAAGAGGAGGCAGATTTCTGTTCAATAAGTGACATGCATTTCCATCAGTGATAGCTGATCAGTTGTGTAACAGGCTATCTTTGAGGAAGTGAGCTCTCAATCATTGGAGCCAATGATAACAGCATAGCTATAAATGGGATTCCTTCCTTGTGAGAGATTAAATTTAAATTCTGTGATTCTGTACATTAACTAAAAACAGTGTGCTGCAAAATATTACCACTCTGAAAATGACGGTGAGGAAGAATGTTTTTCTAAGTCTGAGGTTCCCAAACTTCCTTGGATCACGATGCCCTTAGTGTCTTAGTAATTTTTTCACAGTATCGGAAGACAAAAAATTTATTATGTTACAGATTCCTTTATGTTATTTCCCTTGCAACTTTAAAATATTCTGAGGTGCTATCGTGCCCAGCATAGCACCAGACATTCAGCTCACAGTTTGAGAACTGTGGATATAAGCAAAGACCTTAAATTGCGTGTCCTCTGGCATCATGACTTAAGATTTGCACGCATGTAAACAAAGGCTGCAAAGAAACACAAAGTAAAAGCAGTACATTTGGCATATAGATGATTTTAAAATATTTAAAACCTTTTAAATCATGTTCTTCTCCTGCTTTATTCTGTGGGTGCTATCAAGGCCCTTGTTTTTCTTAGTTCCTTTCTACAGGAAAGAGCTGTACAAATAACATAAGGCTTTCAAACTCTGGGGCAGTAACAATTCAAGGAATCTTCTAAGGAACCTGGCGTTTTGCGATGGAAATGAACTGTGTTCTCTTTTAGGACCATAGAATTTTTTGGCTGATTACAGGAATTATGTTCATGGGAAGTGGCCTCATCTGGAGGCGCCTGCTTTCATTCCTTGGACGACAGCTAGAAGCTCCATTGCCTCCTATGGTATGAAGGATATGGTTCACGGCGGTATTGTGGAAGGGTTATGATCATGGGCCCTAAAGTCAGAGCGCCTGGGATTAAGTTGTCACAGGCACTATGGCCCTTGCGAGTTGCTTTCTCAAACTTCCTTCAGTTTCCCTATCTGTCAGTTAAGTCGGTATTACCTGCTTCATAGGGTTATGGGAAGAATTAAACAATATGTGTAAAGCACTTACTAGCACACTGCCTAACACAATAAGTTAGAAATATAATTTGTGTAGAACTCTGACAACATACATTTAAACAGATGTTAGTAATTCTGGTATAAGGTTTGTCATAACCAAATGGAAATGTAGGAAACATTTATAACGTTCTTAAAAGATAGAAAATTCACCTCCATTTTCTTTGTACTTGAAGATGGCACCACTGGAATAAATACTTAAGACACTGATACTGCTTATAGTCCTTTCTTCACTGAGTAGTTACATAATACATCATTTTACTAGTGGCTTTTCTTTTAAAAAAGATACTAAAATTAATACTTCTGCTTTATTTAGATGGCTTCTTTACCTAAAAAGACTCTTCTGGCAGATAGAAGCATGGAATTGAAAAATAGCCTCAGACTGGATGGACTTGGATCAGGAAGGAGCATCCTAACAAACCGTTAGGAACAGCCCCGTGGATACTGAAGTTTTTTTTATGGTAGTTACAGGAAACTTCTGATACTCTTTTTATTATTTTCTTGTATAGAGTCAGACACTTGAAAAAAACTAATGTTTGAAGACAAAAATATTTTGGCAGTCACAATACCAGAACTGGATTGCATTTCCAGAATTCTGAGTTAAAGAAACAAAGTATTTGCTTTGTAAAAGGCCAAAATTCTATTTCCTACAAACTTTAAATGCTGTTTTTATAGATGTGATATGAGGCAACACAAGCACAGACAGTTGCATAGATTTTAATTTATACATATCAAGAAAAGTGCAATTTCATGCTGAATGAAGCGTAGGAACTTGACAAGCCCATAGGTAGCTATAGTTCTTTGTCAGTATAGGGAATTATGTTCATGTGAATTTCCTGATTCTCAGGTGACTAAAAAGCTAGCATTCTATGTATTAACCTTACAACAGACTCTGTAAGTTTGAGCTTTAAAAACCAAACTTTGACATAACCTTATTTCTTGTATTTGCCCCCTTTTTTTTATAAAAGGTGAATAAAAAGAAATAATTTAATATCACCATTGTATGGATTCCTAATCAAGATTTCACGTTCTCAGCCCCTGAGACTAGTTTTCTTTGCTCTCTGTAATTAGAGCCTTTGGAAGCAAAGTTGAAAGGAAGTATTTCCATTCTGTTACTGTTTTGTAGCACTTTGTCCATTTATTGATTTTTAAAGTAGATATTTAGATACCACCCCTGCCCTGCCCCAAAAAGAAAAATGTTTATTGTCCTGCTAATCTATATGCCTACACCTCAGAAGCTGACAGATGAGCTTCCTAAAACATGAGGATGAATAAATGTTAGAACTGTGATATCTTCTCATTTCCACAGAGATTTGGGTTTAAAACAAATGGCTAATATTTGTAAGCCTGAAAGCTGCCATCCTCTTTAACATCCTACCTACCTTTTAAAATATTTTCTGGAGGTTAAGTACAGTTAGGCACTAGAACATTTGTTAAGCCTCCCAAAGTAGTGTGCATGGAAGATTCTAGAGTGTCCAGCTCTTGCACTACAAATGTAATAATAACAGAATAAATACACTTACCCTGATGATATTGAGGGTACATGATTAGCCTAATGTGATGTCATATGAGGAAGTTTAGGAGTCCATTTTTCAGGTGGTTTGGTGATAGGAATAAAAATGTTACTCCCGTCGCTGATTTGGAAGAAAACCGATGAAGTACAAGTAAGGTTTCCCCACTCCTGTGTGTGGTCATGGGAAGCCATTAGAGGGAAGCTGCAGAACAGAATGGAACAGGACAGGCTGGGCTAGACTCGAGCACGCAGTGGCCCCTGTGCCACCACACTGTGGGTCAGGAACACGCGTCATGGTGTTCTTGTCGGAATGTGAACATACAGCACCCTCTAGCATTACGAATCTCTTAGGATTTTTAAGATTGTATTTGATAATACTTATATTTCACAGGGCACACTTTTGGCACACCTCAGAGCACACTGCTGCTATTTTGGGTCGTATCACTGTAAAATACATAATAAGTACTACTTAACTGTGACATGAAGAATTGGAATCCCAGAGGGCAACATTTGATTTGACTAAGATCAGGCATAAGATAGAATTTTTGTCATTTTTCCTTGCAGTTTTATTGACTTAGTTTATGAGCTTGGATAAAATAATTTTTTGATGAATCATGTCAATAAAAGGAAAAATAATGTAACTACCTCATAAGTCTGATAAAAGGAAGTTGCTAGTGTTTTATAGAATTTCTGAAGGTGGTTAAATCAAGTATGATTTCAAAATATCAACTAGTTCCACTTTTGTGATTGCAGGATGCTTCTTATACTAAAGTTCTCATAAATAATAAATCAGCTTATGCCAAAAATATATGAAGTTCCTTGGTTTTAAATTTTGAACTAAAATGGACTGAGCACATTAATTACTGTTTGAAAGTAGGTACCAAACACTGGGTTATGTGAGTGAGTAAGCAATCATATCGCCTGTCAAACACATCAAGTGTCGAACACGTCAAGGTGTGATACTGTCTTTGGAAGGCTCCTAAACAAATGTGAGCACAATTATTAACACCTTATTCTTCATGAACACAGACTGTTAAGCAGCACTAACCAATTTTATATTAAAAAGCTATTTATTTTGGTGAGTTATTCCAAGAGTTGTATACAGCTTTATTTTTTGGAATTGCAATATTAAAGTTGCACGTTGGATTTAACTCTCATGACTTTAGTAATACCTACAGAGGTGAGCTAATGGATGGTACATGGAGTAGGGACTGCAGAGACCCTAGTTTTGTCCCCACTCCATCTTCAAATAATTTTGGTCTCTTAGGTCTGTGATACAAAGGCATAAAACAATTCCTATCTTGAAGCCTTGAGAAAAGCTGTTACATATACGCAGATAGTAGCAAGACAGAAAATGCAAATATGTAAATGTCTTCTGATATCTTGAAATAAAGATAAATTTCAGTTAAACTTGTATAAGTTCAGATTTCTGTTAATGAGAAATTACAACCCTACAAGGTAAGGTCTTTACATTTTAGTTATTAAGCAGAATCAATGCTTAAAACTATAGTTAATACTTAGTGGAAAGAAAATTTAATCCATGTATCAGGATAATATATTAGACTGTCATGCATTAATTTTTTCCTGTATGCCAGGTTTTTTACATACGTGCCATATCAGTTGACCTTTTACAGTAGGAGTATAATTTACATTGTTTTTGACATTGGGGTTAGTATGGTTAAATGTCCTATAAACTTGAAGCTTGCTTCCATTTTTGTGGGTCTTAACCTCCACCTGGTGCTTGCTATTGGGTGTATTCAGGCATTGAGAAAAATATAAATCGTGAGGTAAATAATGGTCATGTTTAAACAGAGGCCTTATCATTTAGTGAAGCATAAAAACTGACACTATATAAATGCATCCGTCTAATGAAAAGACCCAGTACTGAGAAAAACATCCCTTTACTCAAGTGTCAGATGTCAGAGTGCTCTAACTGCTCAACTCATAAGTGAATACAACTAAGTAATTTCTGGTCCCCTAAAAATAACCATCCTTTTAATTAAAAGTAATTCTTCAGATAGGTTGGGCTACCAATAATTGTCCCTAAACAAAACCAAATGGCGCTTCCTTGTGCTTTTGCTGTGCCATAGGTTACTATGCAGCTAGCACATGTACCTCTTCCAGAAAAATGAGGTCATCCTGGGAGTGACCCAGAGATGCTCTCTAGGGATGTACCTCTTGATGTTCTTGTTAACTTTCCACTCTTCAGCTGGATTCCTCTTCCTGTCCCCTTTTCACCAGTCTCTACTCTTGAGAGAAGCTGAGAAGAGAAGGGCTCTTCTCATTTGTTATTTTCTCCTGCTTTTAGTATCATCTCACCCGTGGCAGAAGAAAGAGGTTCTTCCCAATTTAACACAAAATAAACTAGTTACTGTTTACAGATAATGCCCGCTAATGTTTACTGAAACTGAAACCCTATGATACATTCCATTCCCTTAAGTGTGCCACGCTGCAGGACTGACAAATGAAATCCATCCTACGAAAAACAGCCCAGGAACAAGCGAGGCCAAGGCCTGCTTTCCTCTCCGGCCCTTACAGTAGCGTGTGGCTCAGGCCACATCTTTTCCCTCTAGTTCTTTTGGCACAAGTTGTAACCTAATGCGACAAAGGTCCCTCATGAGATGGCTTAAAACTAGCAGTGTCGCTAGGCTCTTTAGGTGTTAGAACAGCCAACTCTACAAAAGTATTGGAGGGCACAGAAGGGTGATAGTCTTGGTTTTTATATTTGTCCTTCACTATATAAACATTGAAAAGGTATTAATCCTCATTAAGAAAGGATTATCGGCCAGGTCCTGTGGCTCACACATGTAATCCCAGCACTTTGGGAGGTCAAGGTGGGTGGATCACCTGAGATCAGGAGTTCGAGACCAGCCTGGCCAACATGGTGAAACCCTGTCTCTACTAAAAATACAAAAATTAGCCGGGCGTAGTATTGTGCACCTGTAGTCCCAGCTGCCTGGGAGGCTGAGACAGGAGAATCACTTGAACCTGGGAGGCGGAGGTTGCAGTGAGCTGAGATCACATCACTGCACTCCAGCCTGGGCAACAGAGCAAGACTCCGTCTCAAAAAAAAAAAAAAAAAAAAAGGACTATCATCCTTAGCAAACTAACACACGACCAGGAACAGAAAACCAAATACCAAGTATAGCATGTTCTCACAAGTGGGTGCTAAGTTAAAAGAACTTATGAACACAAAACAACACACACTGGGGTCTACTTGAGTGGGGAAGGTGGGAGGAACAGAAAAGATAAAACCTTCACATGTACCACTGAACCTAAAATAAAAGTTAAAAAGGACTAAGTCACAAGTGATTTGGAATGTGAGGTTATCCCTCACCCCCATGCTTTACTCTGTACTATTTTTCCTCCCTCAGTTTCTTTTTTTTTTTTTTTTCTGTATACTATGCTTTCTATTATACTTTGATTGGCATGGGCCAATCTGTTATTTTTAAGTTCAACTTTTTTTTAACTTTTAAGTTCAGGGGTACATGCGCAGGAAGTGCTGGTTTGTTACATACATAAAGGTGTGTCATGGGGGTTTGTTACACAGATTATTTCATCACCCTAAGTATCCATTAGTTATTTTTCCTGATCTCTCCCTCCTCCCACCTTCCGCCCTCTCATAGGCCCCAGTGTGTGTTGTTTCCCTCTATGTGTCCACGTGTTCTCATTTAGCTCCCACTTACAAGTGAGAATATGGAGTGTTTGGTTTTCTGTTCCTGCAATAGTTTATGAAGGATAATGGCCTCCAGCTCCATCCATGTCCCTGCAAAGGGCATGATCTTGTTCTTTCTTTATGGCTGAACAATTCTTTTTTTAAAAAAGGATGTTTTTAGGAGGAATTGTGTACAGAGACTGTTCTAACAGATAACCACAGAGGGACCTTTCCAGCCATTGGAAAGACATTCAAGAGGAAGAGGAAATAGGTTGTACAGCAGGTCTGACTACAGGCAATAAGTTGGGAAAGAAGAAAGGTTTAGATGCAAAGGGAGCGAGGAAGTAAACTGTGGAAGGAGACATGAGTAAGCAGAATGTCTGCTATTTCACATATTTCTGGTGCAGTCATATATTTACTGTATCAGATTTCCAGAGGGTGTGGCTGTTAGTGTGTCTCTCTACTCCCAGGAGCCCCATGTCTATCAGGATCTACCACCGCTCCACTGGATGTGCCACTTTGTCCATCAAAATGCTCACCATGGATGTGATTCAGCATGAGAGAGGTGGGCAGAGTGGGGAAATGCAGTGAAATCTTCAATCTGAGCCAAGGCTATAGACGTGAAGTGCCCCGGAGAGTCGGGCTCCCAAAGAACTCCTTCCAGCAGCAATGACGACTTGGTTCTGTAAGGGACACAAGACAGAATTCATGGCTCATTCATAACATCTATTGAGTTCCTATGGTAGTCCAGGCATCATGCTATGCTCTAGAAATATAAAGATGAATAAGACACTGGCCAGATCCCCTGGCTTGAACTCAAATGCCACTTTCCCTTTGTTTACAGACCGCTTTCTCACATCTATAAGTTCTGAAAACCGCAGCTAAGGATGCTCACCCCAATCCCTATTCTGGCACATAAATCATAAAGGAGAAGTAGGGCAGTGCATGCTTAGTTCTGGTACAATGTGGAAAACATATCTTGAATAGTAAGGACTTCCCCTAGAAGCTGGCTTTGTCAATGTGTTTAGCGTACCTCCCACCTACCCTGCTGCTTAAAACATTTTAGGACCCATCTTTCAGAATTGCCTTCAAAACCTGCTGCAAGTTTTTAAAACATTTTCTTCTTTTTTGAAACAGAGTCTTGCCCTGTCACCCAGGCTGGAGTGCAGTGATGTGATCTCAGCTCACTGCAACTTCTGCTTCCTAGTTTCAAGTGATTCTCATGTCTCAGCCTCCCGAGTAGCGGAGATTACAGGCATGTGCCACCACATCTGGCTAATTTTTGTATTTTTAGTAGAGACGAGCTCTCACCATGTTGGCCAGGCTGGTCTCGAACTCCCGACCTCAAGTGATCCACCCGCCTCGGCTTCCCAAAGTGCTGAAATTACAGATGTGAGCCACCATGCCTGGTCTTTAAATATTTTCAGTGGTGGCAAATCTTCATACTCCGAGGTCGGATTTGATTTGTGGAAACTGACAAAAGTTATTCTGAACCAAAGCTGGCACATGAGGTACGGGTGATCAAACTGGCTGACAGTATTTTGGTCAGAGCAGGATATGACAGTTTCTTATTTAATTTTGAAAACTACTGATGAAATCTAGAAATAATAATAATAGCTAAAATTTGTGGAGGTTGTATCATGGGTCAGACACTATGCTTAGCCCTGTGCTTATCTTATCCCTTAATACCCAGTGTCAATTAATAGGGAAAATCTACACTTAAGAAAACAGCATCAAATGGTACTTTATTCTCCCTCTCTTTCCCAATTTATGGAATTACTCATTTACTAAATTTGCCTGGCCTTCGGCTTCACTCTGTTTTGTCAGAGTCTAGTCATCTTTCCAGATGCAGCTCCGGGCCCATGATCTCTGCAGGCCCTTCCCTGACTCCACCAGCAGAGACTTCTGCTGCAGTTGCTGTCTGACCTCGTTTGGCTCTTGGTCATCATACACCAAACTGGATGGTCTTGTGGGCCTGCTGTATTTTCCCACCTAGACTACAAGCACCTGGGGCTGGGACCATGTCTCAGGTTTCTTTGTCTATCTCACAGGTGCTTGATACAACACTGCTCACTATACACTAAGTTACTGCTCTGCTGAGGCTCCTGAGCTGATGGAAGGCAGCCCCATGAGAAGTTTCTGAAATACAGAGACAGTGAGAGCACTACTTACTTAAGTAGACGCCGGATCCTAATTCTAGTTTGTTACGACTAATTTCATTACTGAATGCTCTTATGCCACAGAAAGGAAGGAATCTTCAGAACATAACTTGTACCCAAATCTCAGAAAAAGGCCACTCTGATCATCCTCTGATTGTCAATGCCCATTTTTGAAACATAACATCTGATTTATCTTTACACCCAGAGCGTTCAATGCCCCCAAGCTCAGGTATGTGCTGGAAAAGTGAAGTAATTTTAACACTAACCCAGGTAAACAATAATTAGGAAGGTACATTTGCAGTGTTTTACAAAAAGGAATAAAATATAAGTTACTTTTAGATTATATATACCACTACTCTCAACTGATGTAAGCTATAGTTGATATATGTATAGTTTTATATAATACATGGGTTCTTGACAATGCCTAATTTTTGAAACAAATAAAATTTTAGATATAAGCCAAGCTTGTCATATAAAGGATCCCTGTGATCAGACCTTCCGAGAATCTTCCCATAAAGTTAATAACCATATTTTTGTTATGTGGTTAATCCTACATTTTTAGACCTGCCTGTAAATGGGTCACTTAAATTATTGGCCACTAGAGGGCAGTTTCACCACAATTTTTCCTAATCCTCTTCCTCCTCCCACCTTCCACCCTGGTCCACAGGAACCTGGTCCACAGCACTTAACAAGTCTTACAGACCTGGTTATATATATAAATCTATGAAGGCTTCTGCAGCCCTTCAACCCACTGTAAAGACTTATTCTTCAGACTACTCATTAGCATTTAATCCTATACTAATTTGCATTTTATTTGACTTTCCATGTATATGAATCTTATTTTCAAGAACAGGGACTCTGCCCTCTCTGTTTTTATTTCTTATAGCCTATACAGTGGATGAATGCAATCAGTGGTTTACAGGTATATTTTAAGGTTAAACTTTTTTTTTTTTTTTTTGAGACAGAGTCTTGCTCCATCACCCAGGCTGGAGTACAGTGGCACCATCTAGGCTCACGGCAACCTCCACCTCCCAGGTTCAAGCGATTCTCCTGCCTCAGTCTCCCGAATAGCTGAGACTATAGGCATGCACCACCACGCCGGGCTATTTTTTGTATTTTTAGTAGAGCCGGGGTTTCACCATGTTGACCAGGCTGGTCTTGAACTCCTGACCTCAGGCGATCCACCAACCTCGGCTTCTCAAAGTGCTGGGATTACAGGTGTGACCCACTGCACCCAGCCAAGGTTAAACTTTTTAATCTGCCATATCGAAATTTAAACTGTGTACACTTTTAGATCTAGCAATCCTACTTTTAAGATTCTCACCTGTGGGGATACTTGCTCAATTATAAAAAGCTACACATACGTACAAGAATGCTCACTATGGCCTTGTCTGTAATAGCCAAAAAAAATGGGGGGCCAAGGTGGGTGGATCTCTTGAGCCCAGGAGTTCAAGACCAGCCTGGGCAACATGGTGAAACTCTTGTCTCCTAAAAATACAAAAACTAGCATGGAATGGTGTCACACACCTGTGGTCTCAGCTACTCAGGAGGCTGAGGTTGGAGGATCACTTGAGTCCAGGAGACAGAGGTTGCAGTGAGCCAAGACCACACCATTGCACTCCGGCCTAGGTGACAAGAGCCAGACTCTGTCTTAAAAAAAAAAAAAAAAAAAAAGGTGTGTGTGTGTATCTCTGAAGCCATAGAAAAACAGAAAAACTCTGGGCCGGGTGCAGTGGTGCATGCTTATAATCCCAGCACTTTGGAAGGCAGAGGCAGGCAGATCATTTGAGGCCAGGAGTTTGAGACCAGCCTTGACAACGTGGCAAAACCCCATGTCTACAAAAAGTTTTTGAAAAAATAGCTGGGCCTGGTGGTGGGCACCTGTAATCCCAGCTACTTGGGAGGCTGAGGCAGGAAAATCACTTGAACCTGGGAGGTGGAGGTTGCGGTGAGCCAAATTTGCACCACTGCACTCCAGCATGGGCGACAGAGCAAGGTTCTGTATAAAAAATAATAAAGAAAGAAAAAACTCTGAAAGTCTGGAAGAAAATAGCAAAATACTAATAATGGTTATTTTCTAAGGCAAGGGCCAGCAAACAATTTTGGAGAACAGGCAGATAATAATACTTAGGCTTTGTGGGGCATCAGTCTCCAAAGCAACCAGTCAGTTCTGCCACGGCAGCACGACAGCAGCCACGCGCAGTCCACAGCAGACGAGCCCGGCTATGTTCCACTACAGCTGTGTGGGCGCTGAAACTGCACTGCCGTTTAAACTTCATATGTTACAAAACATTCTGTTTTGATTTCTTTTCAACCATCTCAACATGAGCTGACTTTTTTAGTTCATGGCTTTACAAAATTAGGTGGCAGACGACTTGGCCCCAACCCCTGCTGTAGAGGATAAAATAGGAAGAGTAAAAAGGGAAACTTTCCACCAAGGAAGTGATGAGATTATATGTGAATGTTACTTTCTGTGTGTTCCTCTCCTTTTCAAATAAAAATAAAATCTGAAATAAACCTAACAAGTGAGACCACCAAATCCCACCCGTAGTACTAACATAAACATCAATGAAGTTCAGTCCTTGGGCTCACCTTTGCCTTGGACCTCACGGTGATGAGGGAGCTCCCAAACCTTGAGCTGGCCTGTAAAACATGCCGTCTGTTAATGGGCTTTGAAGAACATAGTGTAATACTTTATCCGTTTAAAATAAACCAAGGGGCATTGTTTTGGTAATTTTTCTTTCTTCAGTCTTTCAAGGGATACTTACTTCAGGAGAAATCAATACATATTGGGCCTGAAGAAAAAAATTGAGGAGAGAGACAATGTTATTACTGTTTGTGTGGCTTTTTAAAATCAATTTTAATTATACCCTTATACCCTCATTTCTACTTTTTTTTTTTTTTTTTTTTTTTTTTGAGAAGGAGTCTTGCTCTGTCGCCCAGGCTGGAGTGCAGTGGCGTGATCTCAGCTCACTGCAACCTCTGCCTCCCAGGTTCAAGCAAGTCTCCCGCTTCAGCCTCGTGAGTTGATGGAATTACAGGCGCCCACCACCACGCCCGGTTAATTTTTTTGTATTTTTAGTAGAGAGGCGGTTTCACCACGTTGGCCAGGCCGGTCTCGAACTCCTCACCTCAGGTGATCCACCCACCTCAGCCTCCCAAAGTGCTGGGATTACAGGCATGAGCCACCACGCCCAGCCTCATTTCTACATTTCTTGATTAGCCTTACAAATGTGCATGCCCTTTGACCCCAGAAATTCTACTTATAGAAATACAGGTCAGAAAAATAACCAGATGTATAAAAACATTTATGTGACTATTTACCATATTATTTAAAACAATGAAAATTGGAAATGGCACAATTGACTAACAATGGTTGCCTGAATAATGGGTAAATAAACTATGGTTTGTCTGTAGATAAAATACTCATCAGCCGGTAAATATCATATTATATAAGAATATCAGATAACATAAGAAAATGTTCTCGGTATATTGTTAGGTAGAAAGAAAAATCAAGTTACGGCCAGGCACAGTGGCTCACACCTATAATCCCAGCACTTTGGGAGGCTGAGGCAGGCGGATCACTGGAGGTCAGGAGTTCGAGACCAGCTTGGCCAACGTGGTGAAACCCCGTCTCTACTAAAAACACAAAAATTAGCCAGGCACGGTGGTGTGCGCCTGTAGTCCCAGCTACTCAGGAAGCTGAGGCAGGAGAATCGCTTGAACCTGGGAGGTGGAGGTTTTACTGAGCCGAGATCATGCCACTGCACTCCAGCCTGGATGACAGAGTGAGACTCCATTAAAAAAAAAAAAGTTACAAAATTATGCACAAATTATGCACAATAGGATCACAATTGTTAACCAAAATATGCACGCACATAGTGTAATACTTAAGGGTAGGCTTTAGAATCAGATCTTGGTTCAAATCTCTGTTGTGCCCTGCCTTCCTGGCAGTGTAACCTTGAATAAACTTCCTCGCTGATCTTTAATTTTTTTATTTTAAGACAGGGTCTTGGGCGGATCACGAGGTCAGGAGATCAAGACCATCGTGGCTAACACGGTGAAACCCCGTTTCTACTAAAAATACAAAAAAATTAGCCAGGCGTGGTAGTGGGCGCCTGTAGCCCCAGCTACTTGGGAGGCTGAGGCAGGAGAATGGCATGAACCTGGGAGGTGGAGGTTGCAGTGAGCCGAGATCACGCCACTGCACTCCAGCCTGGGCGACAGAGCGAGACTCCGTCTCAAAAAAAAAAAAAAAAAAGACAGGGTCTCCCTATGTTGCCCAAGCTGGTGCTGAACTCCTGAGCTCAAGGGATCCTCCTGCCTCAGCCTCCCAAAGTGCTGGGATTACAAGCATAAGCCACCACACTCAGCTGAGATCTTTAATTTTTTTAATCTGTAAATGGGCATAATATTAATTTCTTTTTTTTTTTTTTTGAGACAGAGTCTTGCTGTTGCCCAGGTTGGAGTGCAGTGGCATGATCTCGACTCACTGCAAGCTCCGCCTCCCGGGTTCACGCCATTCTCCTGCCTCAGCCTCCCGAGTAGCTGGGACTACAGGCGCCCGCCACCAAGCCCGGCTAATTTTTTGTATCTTTAGTAGGGACAGGGTTTCACAGTGTTAGCCAGGATGGTCTCGATCTTCTGACCTTGTGATCCGCCCGCCTCAGCCTCCCAAAGTGCTGGGATTACAGGCGTGAGCCACTGCGCCCGGCCAATTTCATAGCTTTTATGGGGATTAAATGATACATAGTTCTTAGCATATGCATACTAAATGCACAATAAATGGTAGTAATTAAATTCATAGGAAAAATACTAGCAGGATCCGCTCTAAAGGTAAGCAGGTATTAGCTCTGCAGAGTGGAATTTTAGGTAGATAATTTTTAATTCTCTTTGTACATTTTTGTATTTTCTAAAATTTCCATAATAAACTTTCACTAATTTTGCAATTTAAAAAATAATTTTAAATTTTTTAAAATAGGTGGGGTACGGTGGCTCATGCCTGTTATCCCAGCACTTTGGGCTGTAATCCCAGCCTGGCCGACATGGTGAAACCCTGTCTCTACTAAAAATACAAAAAATTAGCCAGGCGTGGTGGTGCATGCCTGTAGTCCCAGCTATTCGGGAGGCTGAAGCAGGAAAATGGCTTGAACCTGGGAGGAGGAGGTTGCAGTGAGCCGAGACCGTGCCACTGCACTCCAGCCTGGGCAATAGAGCCAGACGCTGTCTCAAAAAAAAAAAAAAAAAAAAAAAGTTAAATAATGGCCAAATGCTTTAGGCCCAGGAAATGTAACTTAAGGAAACTCACCCAAAAAAGGAATAAACAAAGAAATGAAACAAAAAGCAAAAGAGAGGACGTTTTAATGAAACTCCAGTGGCTGGCCGAGCATGGTGGCTCATGCCTGTAATCCCAGCACTTTGTGAGGCCAGGTAGAAGAACTGCTTGAGCCCAAGAGTTCAATACCAGCCTGGGCAACATAGTGAGGCCCCATCTCTACAAATAATAAAAAGATTAGCCGGGTGTGGTGGCACATGCCTGTAGTCCTAGCTACTCGGGAGGCTGAGACAAGAGAATCACCTGAGCCCAGGAGTTTGAGGCTGCAGTGGGCCATGATCACACCACTGCACTCCAGCCTGGGCAATGGAACAGGAACCCGTCTCTATTTTAAAAAGAGAAACTCCAATGGCCATGGCCTGTTTTCTTTCTTCTGTGCTGTGGGTGCCTAACCAAGCAGTGGCAGGCTGTGTGACCAGGGACCTACATAACACCAAGTCCAGTGGGACTTTAGCTCTGGGCACAAATGTTGCAGAACTGTAAGAACTGCAGGCAGCTGGGGCCCACAAAACATGGACAGATGATGGTGTCCTGACCCTAGGAGGTATGAATTCAGGTAAGCACTTTATAGTGGACATGAGTTAACAAGGAATCAGCAATTAGTGATCCTTTCCCAATAAGTTATAGAATTTTGTAGAACACTTACCTTTTCTTCTGGACATGGAGTTATCCATGATTTGCATTTGCCAGTCATGTCACCAAGGGTGGTCTCTTTGCCATTATATACATATACTCGGCCGTCTTCTCCCCCAATCAGTCCAGAGGTTACATCTGCTATCCTCAGGGGGGCTGCCATGATGATTTCATCTGAAAACAATAAAAACCGACAGAAGGAAGTATTTGACTCCTCACTGTCATCTTTTCCTTGTTCCGCTACTGGATCCTAACCCAACCTCTTACAAATAATATTAGTATCTCCTTTAGTCGGCTGTGATTTCATCCTGGCAAAGGCTTTTGTTTCCTACTTCATTCATCAATAGCAATTACTACAGGTGATTCTCATATTACCAGCTTCAAGAAGTGCAACTCCCTCTCTGGTCTTGCCTCATTCAAGATCTGTCTAAAGGTCCTTGGGCCACTGGGCTGTCAATTATAAGGGCAGAGCCCAGATGACCCAATTAGGGGACCCACCCCCTGGGCAAAGGGACTCAATTCTTGTCAAAGGGTCCTGTTCCTTTCTTACCTAAGCCATCATCATCCAGGTCACTCAAGTGCAGAACGCCACCAAATCGGGAGAAGCGGCGGTCTCCGCTGAAGGTGCTGAGCAGCAGAGGCTGCGCGTCAGATGTGAGTGCGTACATGCGAGTGGCTCCGCCTTGGTGTAGGGTCACGGTCAGGAATGCCACCTTAGACACGTCATCTGAAACGAACCACAGTTCCTGCTGGCCTCACAGAAAGGAAGGCATTACAGAACACGGAATAGCACCCCATCCTCAAGTGACACTGATCACTCGGGATCCTACAGGACAGTCGGTTTCGGAGCTGGTCATCTCCGGCAGTCAGGGAGGTACAACCAGCTTGGGCACCAAGGCACAAACACCAGAGAGCTTCAGTGATTTCCCTCCAGGCAGGTATTCTTTTTTCCAGTCTTATCCCCATAATACAGTCTCCACACAGCCACCTTTTTATTTTCTCGTATCACAAACTAGGTCACCCCCATGACTGACACATCCAAACGCAAGTGGACTCTGGATGGAGTCCAAACTCTTCACAAGGCCTTACAGAATCTGACTCCCACTTGGGGATCTAGCGCCATTAACCTTTTCACCCACACTTCACCAAAATGAACTTAAACCACAGCCCAATCTATGTCTTAAATTTGGGCCTTTGGACATGATGTGCTCTCTGCCTGGAATAGAGGCATATGCTCCGCGTGCTCCCCTGTCCACATCCCTCTGCTGGCTACTCCTGTCACCCTGCAGAATTTGGCTCAGGTGTCCCCTCCTCTGGGAAGCCTTTCCTAATCTCGCTGGTCTAGAGAAGAGGCCGCTTCCCTGTGCTCCCATACATAATAACACCGAGTCCAGTGGGACTTTAGCTCTGGGCACAAACGCTACAGAACTGCAAGAACTGCAGACAGCTGGGGCCCACAAAACATGGGCAAGTGATTGTGTCCTGACCCCAGGACCTCTGAGTTCAGGTAAGCATTTTACAGGGGACATGAGCTGTGCCCAGTGCCTTCTGAATACCCACGGCAGGGCAGCATCGCTCTGCATTCACTTCTGTGTCTCCTGCATCAGGCGCCCATTCCACAAGAAATGCGGTCACGTCTCTGTCTCTCTATCCACTGTACCTAGCATGGTGCTTGGTTCTGTACAAGTATTCAATAAAGTGTTTTTTGAATTAATGAATTTTGAACAAACTCAAAGCTAGTTGTTGGAATTTCGCTGTAAACTTTATTATTTGGAACACAGCTTTGATTTCAGAAATATAAATGGCACCTGTGGGTTGATGGGGCTAGTGGCCCTCTGAGAAGTTTGCCGTATGCTGGCAAAGTGTCAGTGCGTGGATACAATCTCACGTCAGCGTCCACTGAGTTTTGTGTGTAAAACTGAGCTAATCTGACCTGTTTTTTCGGACAAACTTGTGCCTTGTTTATGGGAAACTGTCCACTAGAAGCCACTGAGGGCTCAAAGCAGAGTCGGCAACAACAGTCAGATATAACAGCTAGAAAACAGTAGGAAATAAGAAAGAGTATTTTAAAAGCTCAGCAATCTGGAGCTTTCTGATACAGGGCAAACAACATGACCTAACACAATGTCTCCTAAGAGAACAATGTGCCAGCACAACAGTTAATATTCAGAGTGAAAGCCCAAAATATCAAGAAAAGTTGAAATAAGAGAAAATCTTCATTCCTTTTTCTTTTTTTATTATTGAGATGGAGTCTCACTCTGTCACCCAGGCTGGAGTACAGCGGCGTGATCTCGGCTCACTGCAACCTCCGCTTCCTGGGTTCAAGCGATTCTCCTGCCTCAGCCTCCCGAGTAGCTGGGACTACAGGCACGCGCCACCACGCCTAATTTTTTGTATTTTTAGTAGAGACAGGGTTTCACCGTGTTAGCCAGGATGGTCTTGATCTCCTGACCTCGTGATCTGCCTGCCTCAGTCTCCCAAAAGTGCTGGGATTACAGGTGCAAGCCACCAAGCCCAGCCACATTCCCTTTCTTTTCGTGCCTCCTAAAGGAACCATGAGCTCCCTGGAGCGCCCAGGAATCCAGTAACACTTCCAGCTCTCTGTCTACTCCCTGCTTCAGTCCTTCCATGGCAAGAGGATACCTGAGGCTTCTCCCTCTGGCTCTGCCGCCCACAGGATGAACACTGGCCCCAGTGCATGTGGGAGAATCTCAGAGAAGTCACCCCAAGGTCTAGCTTTCGGAGCAAGAATTAGAAAGCCTGAATAGGGCTGCCCATTGAGACTGTGTTCTCTAATCCAACTATGTCAGCTCTTCAAAAGTACATATTTTGATATCCCTCTGAATGATTCATGAATCTATTTCAGAAATGATTTGAAATGCACAAGGATGAGGAAGAATTGTAATTAATCAATACTCCCAAATCTCTAACACGCATCACAGTCTGTTAAAGAAGAGAAGCATATAATTTAAAATAATTTCATCAAAGTGTTTTTTTAATTCTTCAGAATTAAAACAGAAGAATCTAGACACTTGGAAATTTCAGCCATTCAAAACACCTCACCTTCTCAATCATGCAAATTAAACAATGGATTATCATACACATTTAGACAAGGAGAAAAAACTCAAGGTAATGTTGTAGGCATTTCTATATTATTTCAGTACTGAAAATAATTCTGAAGAACTTTGGCTTTTAAAAGGGCTACATGCAGAGGCCTTTATGAATTCCCAAATTCTAGAATGCTACTATAACACAGAATTCCTTCTGTAATGCTTATACCTTCTAGTTAACATAGAATTCCTTCTGTAATGCTTAAACCCTCTGATTAAGGACCATTATCTTTTAGACCTCCATATTGCCTTAATTTCTGCCACGAGCACTAGTCCCTAGGGTTGTGTTTGGGATGCAGGGGTGGTGGGTATTTTTTAAATACACACACAAGTGTTTTACTTCTCATGTGGAACTTTTCTTCCAGTGGAGGGAGCAGAAAACAAAAGAGCTATTGTGAAACACAGGTGCATCTCACCAACTCTACTCTCTTGAAAACCACAGGAAAGAGGATATCATCTTGTAATGTGGTTCATATTTGTGTCTCAGAAAAACTATAAACTTGCCAGGCATGATGGCTCATGCCTATAATCCCAGCATTTGGGAGGCTGAGGCAGGAGGATCACTTCAGCTCATGAGTTCAAGACCAGCCTGGGAAATGCAGTGAGACCCCATCACTACAAAAAGTAGGGTGTGGTGGCATGTGCCTGTAGTCTGACCTACTCAAGAGGCTTGAGGCGGCAGGATCGCTTGACCTCAGGTGTTCAAGGTAACAGTGAGCTGTGATCACACCATTGAACTCCAGCCTGGGCAACAGAGCAAGACCCTATGGCTTAAAAAGAAAAAGAAAAATTATCAACTGTAAGTTACTTAATGTCACCAGCTTTCAGGATTACTGCAAAAGTCAAAACTATGAAGATGTCAAGAAGATCTTTTATATTTGATCATTATCAAAAGTGTAAAAAATACTCAAAAAAAAAAAAAAAAGAAGCATAATCCAGGTGTTGTGGCACATGCCTGTGGTCCCGGCTACTTGTGAACCTGAGATGGGAGGATCACTTGAGCCCAGAAGTTCATGGCCAGCCTCGGCAACATAGCAAGACTCCAACTATTAAAAAAAAAAAAAAAAGCATAAAGAAGAAAATGTATATACTATATATATTTCTTTCTGGAAAGTGAGATAGGTAGGTAGGTAGGCAGATATCTATAAACACACATTTTAAACAAAATGGAGATTTTGTGGATTATAAAATTTTAAATCTGATTCTTTTCACATTTAGGCTATTTCTAGCTTTTTACTACTATAAACAATACAGCCATCCCTCAGTATCCACGAAGGATTGGTTCCAGGGCCTCTCACAGATACCAAAATCCACGGATGTTCAAGCCCCTGATATAAAATGGTATAGTGACTGGGCGCAGTGGCTCACGCCTGTAATCCCAGCACTGTGGGAGGCCGAGGCGGGCGGATCACCTGACATCGGGAGTTTGAGACCAGCCTGGCCAACATGGTGAAACTCCATCTCTACTAAAAATAAAAAAAAAAATAGCTGGGCATGGTGGTGCGTGCCTGTAGTTCCAGCTACTCAGGAGAATGAAACAGGAGAACTGCATGAACCTGGGAGGCAGAGGCTGCAGTGAGCTTGAGATCACACCACTACATTCCAGCCTGGGCAAGAGAGCGAGACTCTATCTCAAAAAAAAAAAAAAAAGTATATCAAAAATCTCAAATTTAGATTAATCTGTGCCTTATAGCTGTGATTCCCAAACTGCACACTGAAGCGCTTCAGTGAACTGGCAAAGATGCTGTAGATATTTTGACATTTCAAAGATAACAGTGACATCTGACACCACACGAACTACTGGGTGGAGGCCGGTCACAGTTACGACACGAGAGTCCTGCATTCGTTTCAGTGATGCCACATCTTTGCAAAGCTGCATATTCAGGGATGGTTGTGATAAAAAGCAGGCACTAATGAAAAAATTGCTGTGGATTAGGAAATGAGGAAAGTTGTGTCTAACCTGATTCCAAGACTTGAAAAGCTGTACAGTGCCGAGAGAAGCTAAGTGGTTAGGACATAAATGCAGGGCATGTGCCCCTGTGGTCACACAGGCACTGCATTTCGAAAGGACCTATGCCTGTCTTCATGTTGTCCTGTCTCTGACTTGAAATTGTCAACAATGTTTTAACAAGGGGCCCTGCATTTTTATTTGGAACTGGGCCCCGCAAACTGTGTGGGTGAAATACAAGTAAAATACAAGTAATAATGGGAAAATCTGAACAATTTGGGTGAAATATATCAATAACAATAACCTGATGGTGACATTAATTCATATTTATATATAATATATAGTTATATATACATTCATACATTATATATAGACACATACATGTATATATAATATATACATATTATATACATTTATATTATATATTAGTATACTTATACACACTTTATAAATTAGCATATTATATACATACATAAAAGTTATAATTAAACTTATTTTCTATTATTATTTATCTTTTAAAAAATAGGGTCTCACTCTGTTGCCCAGGCTGGAGTGCAGTGGGTGTGATCATAGCTCACTGCAGCCTTGAACTCCTGGGCTCAAGTGATCTTCCCACCTCAGCCTCCTCAGTAGATGGAACTACATGTGCCCATCACTATGCCTACCTTTTTTTCTTTTTCTGTAGAGATGGGGTCTCCCTATATTGTCCAGGCTGGCCTCAAATTCTTGGGCTCAAGCAATCTTCCCACCTTAGTCTGCTGAGTAGCTAGGACCAGAGGTGCATGCCACCACATCTGGCTAATTTTTTTTTTTTTTTTTTTTTTTTTTTTTTTTTTTTTTTTGAGATGGAATTTCACTCTGTCACCCAGGCTGGAGTGCAGTGGCACAATCTCAGCTCACTGCAAGCTCTGGCTCCGGGATTCACGCCATTCTCCTGCCTCAGCCTCCTAAGTAGCTGGGACTACAGGTGCCCACCACCACGCCCAGCTAATTTTTTGTGTTTTTAGTAGAGACAGGGTTTCACTGTGTTAGCCAGGATGGTCTCGATCACCTGACCTCATGATCCACCCACCTCAGCCTCCCAAAGTGCTAAGATTACAGGCATGAGCCACTGCGCCTGGCCCAATTTTTAAAATTTTTTGTAGAGACAGGGTCTCACTGTGTTGCCCAGGCTGGTCTTGAACTCTTGGCCTCCAGTGATCCTCCTGCCTTAGCCTCCCAAAGTGCTGCGATTACAGGCATGACCCACCATGCCTGACCTTCTATTTTATATTGGACTTTATCATAGGAAAAAAAATTATCAAGAGAGTAAGGGCACCAAAACCAAGAAAGTTTGAGAAACTCTAATTCACAACACTTGGGTAGAAAGAGTGGTGAAGAAAATAAAGTTAATAATGTGTGTTGCAAGAGCTTAGAAATCATTCCCTAGACTCTGAAAAGCAAAAATGATTCTGTGGCTGACTGCTATGGTTACTACTTGAGACCGTCATCACAGCAATTACTACTGTTACTGCTTGAGAGCGTCATTACAAGACTGAACGAAGGAGGACGAACGTAGAAATGAAAACTTGAAGCAAAAGAAACTGTTTTAAAGGAAGGGGAACCGAGGAAGAAGAGAGCTCCCGGCTTCTAGTGAGCAAAGGCAGCTAGCTCCCGAGCTTCCACAGCCCTTCCCATTTATTGGTTAGCAAAAGCAGGGAGGAGGAGGTAACGATTGGTCAGCTGCTTAATTGATCACAGGTTCATATTATTATTAACAGGCTTCAGATGTGCCTAATCACAAGAAACACGGCACTTGGGGCGTGACTGCCCTCAGCTTTCCTTCTGGGTGGCAAATGCAGTTTGTCAGTTTGCCAACATTCTGCATTTATGAGAAACAGTTTTGCTGCTTACTCAAATAGCCTCCAGTGGTATACTGAGTTATCACGACCCTCATTCTTTTGGCTTCCAACATGATTCCAAAGCTAAGTCAGCACTTTTTTTTTGTTATAATGCTGTGTCTTCGATTTAATGAAAAATTTAGCCATTCCTTTGCCTAATCCACTTGTTTTTTTGTTTTTTTGTTTTTGAGACTGAGTCTCACTCTGTCACCCAGGCTGGAGTGCAGTGGTGTCATCTTGGCTCAGTGCAACCTCTGCCTCCAGGGTTCAAGCAATTGTTGTGGTTCAGGCTCAGGAGTAGCTGGGATTACAGGAGCGTGCCACTATGCCTGGCTAATTTGTGTATTTTTAGTAGGTTTAGACAGGTTTCACCATGTTGGCCAGGCTGGTCTCTAACTCCTGACCTCAACTGATCCACCCACCTCTGCCTCCCAAAGTGCCAGGATTACAGGCGTGAGCCACTGCACCCCGCCTGTCTGACCCACTTCTGCTTATTATTCAAATCTTTCCCATATTGCAAGAAACAACAATCTTTCTGAAAAATAGTTTGATGATATATAACAAGAGCTTTTAGAAAGATTAGAACCTCTACTCCAGTAATTCCATCTCCAGGAATCTATCCAAAAAACTAATCAGAAAGGCAGTCAAAGACTAGGTACATGAGTGTTCAATAATTACTTATTCACAATAGTGTGAAACTGGAAACGAGCCTACAATTCCAGCAACAGGATGATGTTAGTAAATGCTGGCATTAAAAAAATGCAATGCAGATATCAAAAGTCATGTTTTAGAAGAATATTTACTAACATGAGAATGTGCTTAAGATATAAGTAAAAAAATTAGGCATGACAATATCATATATAGTATAAGCTTCAGTTTTTAAATATCTGGGTAAGGGGTGTTTTTTTTTTCCTTCTATATATTTCCTTGTATTTTCAGAAGTTTCCACAATAAGCATAATTCACCTTTATAATCTGGGAGGAAATGGTTCTTATTTATTTTTTTTTTTAAAGACTATCTTTCCCATAAAGTAAACAAAATAATGGTTTATATAAAGTATGTTTTCAGGGGTGGGTGCAGTGGATCATGCCTGTAATCCCAGCACTTTGGGAGACCAAGGTGGGAGGATTACTTGAGCCCAGGAGTTAGAGACCAGTCTGGCCAACATGTTGAGACCCTCTCGCTACAAAAAATAAAAAATTAGATAATGTGGTGGCTGACTGCCTGTAGTCGCAGCTACTCAGGAGGCTGAGGTGCAAGGTTCACTTTGCCCAGGAGGTCAAGGCTGCCATAAGCCATAATCACACCGCTGCACTCCAGCCTGGGCGACACAGCAAGACTGTCTCAAAAAAGAAAAATAAAAGATAGGTCCTCATAGTGGACCTATTCCTAGTGAACTGACTTATACAATTTTTCTCTGGCTCCAAGTTCCATGGGATAGGGGCTTTAAAAATACACTAAGTTACTTTCATATGTCATTTTCAACAAAGCTTTGAAACACAAATTTTATTTTATCTTATTTTATTTTATTTTTATTTTATTTTTGAGATGAAGTCTTGCTCTGTTGCCCAGGCTGGAGTGCAGTGGCATGATCTTGGCTTACTGCAACTTCTGCCTCCCAGATTCAAGCGATTCTCCTGCCTCAGCCTCCCGAGTAGCTGGGATTACAGGTATGCACCACCACACCTGGCTAATTTTTGTATTTTTAGTAGAGGCAAAGTTTCACCATGTTGCCAGGCTGGTCTCCAACTCCTGACCTCAAGTGATTCTCTCACCTTGGCCTCCCAAAGTGCTGGGATTACAGGTGTGAGCCACCGCACCCGGCCTGAAATAGGTATTTACAATTTCAGTTTTGTAGATGGTGATACAAAAGTTCTGAGAGGTTAAGTAACTTCCCCAAAGTTACACAGAATGTTATTAATGAAAAAAGGAAATATTGAAACCTAGATCTGTTCAGCTCCAGATCTCATCACTTTCCTCCAATACGACATGTACAAGCAGCCACATGACTGAAAGGAAGCACAGTTTCACAGTGTGTGACCTACCGTACGTAGGGGCTCCAACCAGCAGCACTTGTTTCAGAGTCCCATTCATCAGTACGTGGCCACTGGAAAGGGAAGTACCCAGTTTCCCCATTGCCTGTGAGACACAATAAATCAATATTGTATAGGTGAGAAAACTTCCTTGGAGTGTCCACTCTCCTGTGTGGGGAGGGCTTGTCATACCTTGTCTCCAGAAATGGTAAACCAGCTTTGGCCGTTTGGTGGGAAGTAGCCATACACCCTCCCAAGGCTCTTTTTCTCATCTCGGATGTGTAACAAATGGCCCAGCCTAGAATGAAGCACACTGGGCTTAGCTGCCAGGGCACAAGACTGACAGCTGGCCAGGTACTCAGGAGCAAGGAAAGGAAATGCACCTCCCCCCATCCAGGCCTCCCAGCAGGCTCTGTCTCTGCGACCCCAGGCCTGGAAGTGTGGGGACTATTGGAGTTAATCGCAACATCCAGGCTCTCCAGGTGCCACACCCACCATCCTGCCTCCCAACTGACAGGCCTCCCAGCAGACTCTCTGGGATAGAGATATAGGGGTACCTACTGTTATGGGCTCAGTGGTGGTCCCCCCGATCCCTACACTGAAGCCCTAACCCCCAGTATCTCTGAATGTGACTACTTGAAGACAGAGTCTTTAAAGAGGTGATTAAGTTACGATGAGGTCATTTGGGTGGATCCTGATCCAATAGGACTGGTGTCTTTCAAAGAAGAGGAGAGGCAGGAGGATCACTTGAGGCCAGTTTGAGACGAGCCTGGGCAACACTGCAAAAACCCATCCCTATAAAAATGTTTTTAAATTAAAAAAAAAAATTAGCTAGGCATGGGCACACACGACTTGTAGTCCCAGCTATTCAGGAGGCCGAGGCAGGAGGACGAGTTCGAGCCTGCAGTGAGTTACCACTGCCCTCTGCCCTTTGCAACAGAGTGAACCCTCACCCCCTCCTCCCAAAAGAAAAAACAGAAGTGAGGAATGGGGCACAGACACACAGAGAGGGAAGACAGCCATCTGCAAGCCAAGGAGACAGGCCTCAGGAGAAACCAACCCTCTGACCTCAACCTTGATCTTGGACGTCTAGCTTCCAGAACTGTGAGAAAATAATACATTTGTCTATTGTATTTTTAAATTTCTAAGGAGGAGAATTTGCAATCTTGCCCAGAGCCTTGGCTTTTCCTTCAAAAGTCAAGCATTTCCTAGCCCTTTTCCCTCAGCCTCATGCTCAGTGCGCTCCATAGCAGCAGGTACCTGCCCCTGTGTTCATGGTTCCCAGCCCCCAGCATCAGCCTCACCTGCTGGCATTCTTCCAGGTCGGGCTCCCAACCAACAGCAAGGTTCTGTTGTCCACAGTGACACCGTGAAGGGAATATCCAAACCAGGAGAAGTCTTCCTCGCCTCTCACCGTCCAGTTGGCTGCCTCCACGTTCAGTTTTTCTAAAGAAGACAACTCATCCTTTTTACTAATACTTTAAGTGAGAGGACTACTGGGATGAAAAGAAAGGGTCCTTCTCGTAGCCTAATAGAAGTGGGTTCATTTTGCTGAGTTTTTGCCAGAGGTCTTATATGTCCCCATGCTGATCCCAGGACCCCAATGTCATTGAATCTCACTCTTCATACAAGAAATACATTTCTAGAGCTCACTTCTGTGGAGCAGAGGATGCTATTTAAAAAGGCTCTGGGCCAGGTGCGGTGGCTCACACCTGTAATCCCAGCACTTTGGGACGCCGAGGTGGGTGGATCACCAGAGGTCAGGAGTTCAAGACCAGCCTGACCAATATGATGAAACCCCGTCTCTACTAAAAATACAAAAATTAGCCGGGCATGGTGGCATGCGCCTGTAGTCCCCACCTGTAGTCCCAGCTACTCAGGAGGCTGAGACAGAATTGCTTAAACCTGGGAGGTGGAGGTTGTAGTGAGCCAAGATTATGCTACTGCACTCCAGCCTGGGTGACACAGGGAGACTCTGTCTCAAAAAAAAGAAAAAACAACAATAACAACAACAACAACAACAACAGCTATGGACAGTCGAGAGCACCACTGAGATGCCTCCGGTGCAAAGCCTCCTCAGTGTTTCTGTTTTACATGGAGACACTATGGGAATAGTCTATTTGCCCTCTTTGGCTCTCTACCTAGAAACTGTGGGTCACCTTTTGTATTTTCAGTGAATCTATGCACATCACTTGCCAACACATCTTTAAGAGTAACAGACTGTTAGAAAATGTTGGTGAAATGATATGGAATAAGGAAAAAGGATATAAACCCCTATGCAGGATAAGTTGTCGTAGACACACAGAGCAGCCATGGTCTCACCCATTCCCCCTCAGGCACTACCTTTGTCGCTCAGGCTGGGGCCAGAATAAAACGCAGCCACAATTCCCTTCTGCTTCCCTCCACCTGGTGCAAAAGGGGAGCCGATGACCAGATCGGGTTCACTGTCTCCATTCACATCTGCAGCCAAGAGAGTCCAGCCCAAGTTACAGTAGATGTCCTTAAGAAGAAACCAGGAAAGCACATTTTACCCAGCCCTGGTGGCAGTTAGGATACAGCGAGTTCTAGGTTTCTGCACCTGGCTAAAGTGGTAAACATACCTGGCAAGAAATGGTGATGTTAGGGGAAGAAGACATTCCTCCTTGTTTGGAACCAAAGTAGACATACACGGCACCCTAGATAAGGACAAACAGCAGATAGACATGAGGCTCTGGTGGTGACCCAAGAACCTTAAATAACAGAAGATAAAAAGGACTGACTCTGGGTCCAGGTATGGTGGCTGATGTCTATAATCCCAGTGCTTTGGGAGGCCCAAGTGGGAACATTGCTTGAGGCCAGGAGTTCAAGAGCAGCCTCGAAAACACAGTGAGATCCTGTGTCCACGAAAAAAACTTTTAATTAAAGCGAGACCTTGTCAAATTATCACCACCCCCAATGATTGGGAGCTTAATGACAGACAGAAATCCATTCTGCGCATTGCTGCTGGGCTGAAAGGAATTTTTTTAAAGTCTGTCACTTCCATCAGACTATGAGAGTCCACAATGCAGAAATGATGTCATTTATATCTTTGCCTCCCTGATGTCTTACTCAAGATCCTCCACACACAATTGTGCAGTGTGCTTGCAGAATGACTTACTCAACTCCTTGCCCACTTCAAGGACCAGCACAGTTTCAGGCTCTTCCATGAAGCCCCCGGGCCACAGCCTGTTGTACCCATGGCACATCTGAATGCCAACATACCACATCTGTACCACTTACCTGCCTGAGGATACACACTGTGCTATTTTATTCTGTGTTACCAATCAGTTCCTCTTATAACTTGCCTGTCTCCATCCCCATTCATTCTACAAGCACTTCTTTTCCATCATAAGCCAGGTACTAGGTACACAATGACAAATAAGACCAATCTCTTTCCTCCTGAAAGGCTGGCACACAGGTCATTATGACACCCAGGGAAGAAGGGGATATAACAGGTACAAGCACAGGATGCTAAGTGGGGACAAGGAAGTATCAGCCTCGCCCAGGAGTTAGGTAATAGTTTCTGCAAGAAGTGACATGTCACTCCTAAAGAAAGACAGGGGAGAAAAAGCTTTTCAAGCAGAGGAAACTGTACGAGCAAAGGTCGCAAAGTGAGACAGCCTGATGAGTTCAGGACGTGACAGACTGCTGGCATGTCTAGAAATGGAGTGTGAGGAGGAAGGGGCAAGAGTTGAGTCTGCAGAGGGCAGCTGGCAAGGGAGGGCCCTCGACCTCCACAGTCACACATGGTGCCCGGATGCGTGGTCCCTGCTATGGTAGGAAGCATCTGTGGGAAGCAAGCAAGCCCTGTGGGCCAGGGTCCAGGATCTCTAACTCAGTAAGAAAGGAGGCAACAGGCGGGGATCCACCATTTGAGGAGAGGCCCAGGGAAGTCACCTCGCTGTTGTGATAACCAGAAACTACAGATGAGCTGGGATTTCTGTCTCCCTTCACTGGCATTCAGCATGGTGGGGGATGAAAAAAAGGGCTAAGTACCTGGTGGAATTGGGAAACCATAGGGCCAAAATAAGGCCAGGGAGGCAGCAGCAGGTGCTACAAGGTAACTCAAGGTCACGGCAAGAACCCCATAGGGGCCTGAGATTATCTGCTCACAAATGCTCTGTCTCACACACTGGCTGTCTGCTTTGCTCCAGGGGCTCATCCCAGCGTTGGCCTCCCTCAGAGTCCCCTCCCTGCCACCCCATTCTCCTCCAACCCTATCCAGCAGCAGCCTTACTTTGTAGGTGAGCTGCTCGGAGCCCACCGAGGGAGCTCCCACGGCCAGGTCAGGCACGCCGTCCACGTTAAAGTCCAACACAGCCAAGGCCGAGCCAAACCGACCTGAGGGCTGAAGAGGCACAAGTTTACTTCCCCTGGGCTGAGCCACGGCCTCGGAAAGAGCACTCCTGACCCCCAGGGAGTAGAGAGGCCTGGGACAACCCCCGCCCCCCGCCACCCAAAAGCCGAAGGTGCAGTAAGCTATAACATATCTGCAACACATCAGTTAGGTAGCTCTGCCCTAAGTATATTTTCAGCATGTCTGTCTGCCTTGAGGGGAAGCAGAGATGCCAGAAAGTAGAGGGTTGGTTCTTATGAGTTCTAGATTTGTAGAAAATAGCCTCGTGTATGTTCAGACCCACATTAAGCACAAAACTTATCTTCGAAAGTATCTAAAATAGGCCGGGCACGGTGGCTCACACCTGTAATCCCAGCACTTTGGGAGGCCTGAACCTGAGGTCAGGAGTTCAAAACCAGCCTGGCCAACATAGTGAAACCCCATCTGTACTAAAACTACAAGAATTAGCCGGGTGTGGTGGCACATGCCTGTAATCCCAGCTACTCTGGAGACTGAGGCAGGAGAATCCCTTGAATCTGGGAGGCGGAGGTTGCAGTAAGCCAAGATCGTGCCACTGCACTCCAGCCTAGGCAACACAGCGAGACTCCATCTCAAAAAAACAAACAAACAAAAAAGAAAGTATCTAAAATAATAATCATATAACATCAGCAACAATAGCTAACATTTGTTGAATACTCAGGATGTTCTAGAGCCATGCTGACCAAGGTGGTAGCCCCTAGCCAAATAGGGCTGTTACATTTAAATTTAAAGTAATTAACATTAAATAGAATCAAAAATTCAGTTTCTACCCTGGCGCAGTGGCTTATGCCTGTAATCCCAGCACTTTGGGAGGCCGAGGCGAGCAGATCACCTGAGGAGTTTGAGACCAGCCTGGCCAACATGGCCAAACCTCATGTCTACTAAAAATACAAAAATTAGCCAGGTGTGGTGGTGGGCACCTGTAATTCCAGCTACTCAGGAGGCTGAGGCAGGAGAATCGCTTGAACCTGGGAGGCAGAGGTTGCAGTGAGCCGAGATCATGCCACTGCACTCCAGCCTGGGCAACAGAAGTGAAACTCCATCTCAAAACAAACACACAAACAGAATAAATAAATAAATAAATAAAAATTCAGTTTTTCAGTTGCAATAGCCACATTTCAAATGTTCAAAGCCTGTGTTTTATGTCTCCCGCACTGGACAGCACAGCTACGGAACATTCCTATCAGTGCAGAAAGTCCTGTAGGACGGTGTAGATATTGTTCTAAGCACTTTAAATGGATTAAGGTAGGAACTGTTAGCATCCTCACTTTAACAGTGTACAGATGGAAAACTCAATCTCTTCAGACTTTTTTTTTCCAAAGTGGACTTTCTAGATCTTTCTTATCCTACCGTCTGGAATCAGCCTAAACCTGAAAGTAATTCACTGGGTTTTCCAATTCTTTCTCTTTTTTTTGTTTTTGTTTTTTGTTTTTGAGATGGAGTTTCGCTCTTGTTGCCCAGGCTAGAGTGCAATAGTGCTTGGCTCACCGCAACCTCCGCCTCCTGGGTTCAAGCGATTCTCCTGCCTCAGCCTCCCGAGTAGCTGGGATTACAGGCATATGCCACCACATCTGGCTAATTTTGTATTTTTAGTAGAGACGGGGTTTCACCACGTTGATCAGGCTGGTCTTGATCTCTTGACCTCAGGATCTGCCCGCCTTGGCCTCCCAAAGTGCTGGGATTATAGGCATGAGCCACCGCGCCCGGCCAGGTTCTCCAATTCTTTCACAACTTACATAACAACGAATGGCCTTTCACACAGTGGTGCTTGCCACATAACACACATGCTGAAGGACCCACGTCCATTATTTATTAGGTAATCTCTCCACACCCGTGTGCAGTGGCATCTATAAGTGCTGCCCCTTTCTGTAAGGCAGAAACTTGATAAACAAGATAAGGTTGCCTGGGGACACAAAACACGCTAGGGCAGGGTGGGAACCAATAACTCAGGGCTCTGCCAGCTGAGGACTGGTTCATTTTATCACTATCAGCTGCACCATCCGGCCCTCCTACGGGCCAGCCAGTCATTCCGAGAGGAGCACAGAACTTTAAAGCAGGCCAGGCCTTGAGTTTCCTATCATAAACCTTCATTGTATCAATGAGGACACAGAGATGCTCACTGCAGTCAGGGCCTGAGGGCAGGATTTCCATCCTTCGTCCATGCCTTTATCTTGCCATCTTTGAAATGATCAAAGGTCACTAGGGGAGGAGGGCATGGAGCCACTTCCTTTCTCACCCAAGTGGTCTTTGAGAGAGTTTAGCAGCCACAGGAAGCAGGTGCCTCTCTTTATTCCCTGTCTATATGTGCCCAAAGGTTTACACTTTACACAACAGTCTGTCGGGGAAAGGCTTTGTAGAGAAGTAAGAAGCAACAAGATTAGATAAATTTATTTTGGAAATTTTTCATGTGGTGTCAGAAGGCCCTGAAAAATGCTGTCCCTCTGGGACTGTGACCTTACACACTGACCAGTCACCTTATTTGTACATGTTGGATTCAGAGCTCCTTTCATCAGAGCCTAAACTAGATCATAAATCATTGTACTTCTTATTTTTGAAAGCGTGTTCATGGCTGGGCGTGGTGGCTCACACCTACAATCCCGGCACTTTGGGAGGCTGAGGCGGACGGACCACCTGAGGTCAAGAGTTCAAGACCAGCCTTACCAATATGGTGAAACCCCGTCTCTACTAAAAATACAAAAATTAGCCGGGCATGGCGGTGCATGCCTGTAGTCCTAGCTACTTGTGACCTTGAGATGGGAGAATAACTTAAACCCAGAAGGCAGAGGTTGCAGTGAGCCAAGATCATGCCACTGCACTCCAGTCTGGGCAACAGTGAGAGTTTATCTCAAAAAAAAAAAAAAAGCAAGCACGTTCAGGTGTGCCATCTTATTTTCTCTTCACAGGATTCACTTCACAGCGAAAGGGTAAGTGCCTTGCCTGGAACAAGAACCACGACGATCTGACTGGAAGTCTAGGGTTCTCCCCCTAGCACTTGACACTCAGAGAATGCAGTGCCAGGCCAGTATCACCAAAAGCCCCACACTCATTGGTGACTAGTAGCAGAGCTCTGTCTACCCCACCCCCCCACGCTCCTCCTTATTGCTGTTACAAAAACTAAAGCCTCTGATGTTAGAAAAACTTTCCAGGACCCTAGCGCTCTCGGGAGGAATTAATGCTTGGACTCCACGAGGAACGTTTGTAGTCACTGCGGGTTTTTTCAGGTGATGAATAACCACTTAGGACAAAAGAAGGAAATCTAAAGAAAGCCTGGCGTTTAGTTAATAGTGATGTACAGTGTTGTTTTTATTCTTAATTTTTGACAAGTATACCATAATTATGTAAGATGTTAACATAGGGGAAAATGAGTAAACAGTACATGGGAACTCTTTGTACTGTCTTTATACCTTTTCTGTGAATCTAAAATTCTGGACGGATGCAGTGGCTCACGCCTGTAATCCCAGCACTTTGGGAGGCCAAGGTGGGTGGATCACCTAAGGTCAGGAGTTTGAGACCAGACTGGCCAACATGGCAAAACTGCATCTCTACTAAAAATAAAAAAATTAGCCGGGCCTGGTGGTGTGCACCTGTAGTACCAGCTACTCAGGAGGCTGAGGCAGGAGAATTGCTTGAACCCGGGAGGCAGAGGTTGCAGTGAGCAGAGATTGCACCACTGCACTCCAGCCTGGGTGACAGAGCAAGAGACTCCATCTCAAATAAATAAATTAATTAATTAAAATAAAATACTTACAAAGTTTTATAAATACATACATTTCGTGTGTGTGTGTGTGTGTGTGTGTATAAAGAGGTTTTATATTATCAATTATATTATCAAGAAATCACATCCCAACTGGCCACTCAAAGCAGTTCTCAATAGCATGTGTGTTTTTGGAAGGTATTAGACTAATGATAGAATAAAATAAATGATGTAAACATGCTTCTAAAACTAAAAAGTGCTTCACAAATGTACACCACCAGCTGTTTGTTACTGTAATTATTCTTGTTATTAGTTACTCATCCTGGAGAATCTGCCACAAAATGCAAGAGTAGCTACTAACCACTAGAAGAGAAAGGATGAGATGGTGTCTCACCTGGAAGCCTTCAAGGATCCTGTGGGCCTCCTTGTCCAGGTCCAGGTCAACAGGTGGCAGGCCCAGGTCATTGCCGTAGATGAGGTACACGCGCCCGATGTGGATGTGGCCGGGGCGGCTGTAGCCTGGTGCGCCCACCACGAGGTCACCGTGCCCATCCTGGTTGAGGTCAGCTGAGGTCATTGCCCTTAGGGAAGTGAAGGGACCCACCATGGTATGCACTGAGCACTAGGGTTAAAGCTGTCGCCTGCTTCTTTCCTTTCTAGAGCCCAGTCCATTAACTTTCTCTCACTGACTTTTCCACCCTGCGTGACTGTTGTGAATATTCACTTCTCAGGTTGTATTGTTAGTGTGATTCAGTCTCATTCTTCAAGGGGAAAAATAAAATAAAAATGGACAAATCAAGGCCTCTAAGCATTTCTGGACTACATAACCTGAGAGGATGAAAAGTATACTCATGAAGCTTCTTGTCTTATACACAAAACCAGGGCTTGCCTGAGAGTAGAGAGGAAATTCATGTCCAGCCAAGCCCCTCTAGCCAATGGCGCAGGCCACTTTCTGATCTGCTCAATTCGTTTCAATGTGTTATCTGATCAAAGACGAGCTTGTGTGAAATAGACTATGTTTTTACCACAGCCACAAAGGCACCTGGCAGTGGGCCAAATCAAGAGTCCCACATGTTTAGTAGAGGCTCCTAGATGAGATTCCAAGAGCCACCAGTTACAGAGCTGGATAAACCGAGTCAAAGGTTCAAGTGTCACTACAGGGGCTGGAAAGACCAAAAGTCATTTGTTTATTCTAGTGCTTATCATCACATAAAGAACAAATGGCAGGCCGAGCATGGTGGCTCACGCCTGTAATCCCAGCACTTTGGGAGGCCAAGGCAGGTGGATCACCTGAGATCAGGAGTTCGATACCAGCCTGGCCAAGACAGTGAAATGCTGTCTCTACTAAAAATACAAAAATTAGCTGGGTATGGTGGCAGGCGCCTGTAATCCCAGCTACTTTGGAGGCTGAGGCAGGAGAATCACTTGAACCCGGGAGGCAGAGAACCCAGTGAGCCGAAATCAGAACAAACGGCAGAACAAAGGAAAAAGTCAAGAGCAGTTGTTTAAGGCTGTGATACCTGGTGGGAGGGACAGACACTCCAGTGGACCCATTGCTGTTCTCTGCACTTTGGAGGCTCAATGCTGGCCAGTAATGGCCCTAGGGATGCCCCTGTGGCTGGCTGTGCTTATGTAGCTGCCAGCCCAGCAGGAGGCCTTTCGGATCTTTCAGGGAGGTAGCCATACACACAAGTGAACGACCAGTAAAGACAGCATTCACCTCCCCATCTCCTGCACTAGAGCTGAATGCACAGAAGCCCTGAAAGGAAGGACTGTCAGGAAATTGTGCCAAGGAAATGCAATGCCCTTTGGAATTAAGGAGTATGATTTTTTTAAAAAGCCTTCATCCAAACTTCCAGAAAATAGTCACTTTTATATACTTGGGGTTAGTTTTGTATGTTGTTGTTGTTTTGTTTTATTTTTTTATTTATTTTGGGGGCTTAGTTTTGGTTGAATTTTAAAATCAGAGGAATTCCTAACATTCTCTTTATAAAACTGTCATGGTATACCAGCTTTTACCATATGAAGTTACAATATTTAAATCACTATAACAGCTATCTGCTTATATCCTTCTGATGTGACTAGATTACAAAAGAAATCTGTAAGAATTTATCTCCAAGAACATCAGAGCTTTACAAAAATTCCATGAAACAATCCTTTATTGTTGTGATTATTTAGTAAACCGAAAGTTCCTTGTATTTAAACATATTTGACCAAGTGTAAGGAGATCATTTCATTGTTACAATAACTTAACCATTAAATTAATGCTTTTGGCCAGGTGCAGTGGCTCATGCTTGTAATCCCAGCACTTTGGGGGGCTGAGGCAGGTGGATCGCTTGAGCCCAGGAGTTTGAGACCAGCCTGGGCAACATAGCAAGACCCCATCTCTAGTACAGAAAAAAAAATTTTTTTAATCAAATAAATTAATGCTTTTGTTGATGATGAATTCATTGACAAGCAAGGTGCTAACAAGCACCATTTAAAACAGTTGCAGAGGGCTGGGCACAGTGGCTCACACCTGCAATCCCAGGACTTTGGGAGGCCAAGGCGGGAAGATCACTTGAGCCCAGAAGTTCGAGATCAGCCTGGTCAACATGGTGAAACCTTGTCTCTACTAAAAATATAAAAATTAGCCAGGCATGGTGGCGCGCACCTGTAACCCCAGCTACTGGGAAGCTGAGGCAGAGAATCACTTGAACCTGGGAGGCAGAGGTTGCAGTGAGCCAAGATCAAGCCACTGTACTCCAGCCTGGGTGACAAGTGAGACTCTGTCTCAAAAATAAAATAAAATAAAATGAAATAAAAAACAGTTGCAGAATGATTGAATAAAATTAATACTGAAGAAAACATTCACAAGTTAGATAAACTTATACGTACCAGCCAAGCCTCGCATAAGGAAATGACAAGAAGTAAGATGCTAAGGGGCTGGAGACGTGCTTTTGTGACAACTGAGAGCCACCTATGAACATTGTCCTTATGTTCCTTTCCAAAGCCTTGTAGATAAAGGACATGGAATCCTGAAATAAAAGAATCATTATAGACAGTAAAGACACGTAGCATAATCAACAAAGCTACTGTTTCCTGTCCAAAGTATTGGACTTGTGTAAAGGAAATGAGTTTTTAGAAGTGCTAAACAATAAAATAAAACATTAGGTCCTATCAGCAAGTAAGATCACTTAGGACAGGCAATTAGGATAGTGAAATCATACCCCCAAATTATGCTGAGGGATGGCAGAGTTACAGCCCAAGAGGTTGGGACCAGCATGGGTAGAAAGAGTTATCGCTCTGTCACCAGGCTGGAGTGCAGTGGCACGATCTCAACTCACTGCAACCTCCGCCCCCTGGGTTCAAGCAATTCTCCTGCCTTAGCCTCCCTAGTAGCTGGGATTACAGGTGCTCGCCACCACACCCAGCTAATTTTTGTATTTTAGTAGAGATGGGGTCTCACCATGTTGGCCAGGCTGGTCTCGAATTCCTGACCTTAAGCAATCTACCTGCCTCGGCTCCCCCAAAGTGCTGGGATTACAGGCGTAAGCCACCATGCCCAGGGGACTAAAATTTTTTAAAAGACAAGTCTGTCCATGTGCAGTGGCTCACACCTGTAATCCTAGCACTTTAGGAGGCTGAGACAGGAGGATCACTTGAACCCAGGAGTTTGAGACCAGCCTGGGCAACATGGAGAAACCCCATCTCAACAAAAAATACAAAAAATTAGCCGAGTGTGGTGGAGCGTGCCTGTAATCCCTGCTACTTGGGAGGCTGAAATGGGAGGATCACCTGCATCCAAGAGGTTGAGGCTGCAATGAGCTGAGATCTCACCATTGCACTCCAGCCTGAGCAACAGAATGAGACTCTGTCTCAACAACAAGAAAAAGAACAAGTCCTTTCAATGCAGAACTTTAATTGTATTTGTATATGTGTATATATATTAACAAACAAATAAACTGGAACAACAGGATGCCAAAGATATCCTCCAGACCGGCCAGGCGTGGTGGCTCACGCCTATAATCCTAGCACTTTGGGAGGTCAAGGTGGGAGGATCACAAGGTCAGGAGTTCGAGACCAGCCTGGCCAATATAGTAAAACCCCGTCTCTACTAAAAATTAGCTGGGAGTGGTGGCGGGCACCTGTAGTCCCAGCTACTTGGGAGGCTGAGGCAGGAAAATCGCTTGAACCTGGGAGATGGAGGTTGCAGTGAGCTGAGATCGTGCCGCTGCACGCTAGCCTGGGTGACAGAGCAAGACTCCATCTCAAAAAAAAAAAACGATATCCTCCAAACCACACCCAAGCTGAGATGTGGTTGTATTTGCTGCCAGGCAGGCACGAGAGGTCACATGCAGAATGCTAGGAGCCGTACACCACAGAATTTGGGGGACAACAAGCCCCTCAGCTTGGGATGCTGAATCGTTCTTAATGTGGTTACTGCAGAGACAAAAAACACAAACGAGAGTGGCCCTGAACAAGCTGGCCAGATACTAGATCCATCCAAGTTAAGGGGACACAACTCTAAATCTGCCCAAGGGTGACATGAGACCAAACAAGATTTCCTAGGTCTGCTCCAAAGCAGAGCACAGTTGGCTCAGAGCATGAAGGCAGCCCAGATGGCTCAGGCGCTGCAAAAGCACAGGGTCTGAGGATCTTTCAGGCACGAGTATGCCTTCTGCTTTGCCCATTCTAATCTCACTGGCAGGCCATGCATAGATTGCTTCATCCTAAAGCCTAGCTCTGACTTGCTCATTCATCCAGGAAGCAATTAATCAGCTCCTACTATATGCCAGGTACCACAGCAGACACTGGGAACATAAAGTCCCTCCTTAGACAATTCATTTTTTTGCAAAGGAGAAAATCCAAATATGGCAAGACAAAATGACATGTGCTTTGATAGAGGTTCCCCTCCCCGGTCCGGACCAGCTACATAATTTAAGGAGGCCAGGGCAAAATTAAAACATGCAGCCTTTTGTTAAAAAAATTGTTAAAGCCGGGTGTGGTGGCTCACGCCTGTAATCCCAGCACTTTGGGAGGCCCAGGTGGGCGGATTACCTAAGGTCAGGAGTTCAAGACCAGCCTGGCCAACATGGTGAAACCCCATCTCTACTAAAAATACAAAAAGTAGCTGGGCATGGTGGCGGGTGCCTGTAATCCCAGCTACTCAGGAGGCTGAGGCAGGGAATTGCTTGAACCCGGGAGGCAGAGGTTACAGTGAGCTGAGGTGGTACCACTGCACTCTAGCTCAGGTGACAGAGCAAGACTCTGTCTCAAAAAAAAAAAAATTGTTAAGAATTTTAAGGCAGTGACAGCAGTATATTAAACCTAAACTAGGCCCTTCCGCAATTCTCAGAGACCCCATTCACAAAGTTGTCTAAACCCTTCTGACATTAAGAGCCCACTACAATCCAATGCCTACTTAGCTTCCTAAGCCTCTCATAGTAACTCATATTCCTTGTCCTGTGCTCCAGGCAAATACGACTACTCAGATTTCCCAACACCTGAAACTTTCCCAACCCACTAACAGAAATGTACTCTCACTGATGAAATACTATCTACTGTCCAAGACCTAACTTGAATGTCCCCTCCTCCAGGAAGCCTTCTCTGTCTGATAGCCTCCAAGGTGAAGCTTTTCTCCCTGCTATTTTTTTTTTGTTTTGTTTTTTGAGACAGGGTGTCACTCTAGCACCCAGGCTGGAGTGCAGTGGTGCAACCTCAGCTCACTGCAACCTCTGCCTTCCAGGAACAAGTAGTCCTCCCACCTCAGCCTCCCGAATAGCTGGGACTACAAGTGCACACTACCATGCCCAGCTGATTTTTTGTTACTTTTTTGTAGAGACAGGGTCTCATTATGTTACCCAGGCTAGTCTCAAACTCCTGAGCTCAAGCAATCCACCTGCCTCAGCCACTTAAAGTGCTGGGATTACAGGCGTGAGCCACCACGCCCATTCTCCCTACTATCTAATGATGCACTTACCGCACCATGGTATGTGTTGCAGTCTACTCACATAATGGTTATTTTTGTATTTGTCACTCCTTTCAGACTGAAATTTTTTAAGGGTCAGAGTTCATTTGTCTTTCATTTTATATCCCCCAGTAGAGTGTCTTCACTTAACAGCTAACTTCATTGATTAATTTCATACACAATGGGGCTATGCACAGTGAGCCTTCAACATTGTGAACGCCTTTGGGACTAAGTCCAAAGAAGGATTGGCCTGGGTGCCCAGGGTCATCTTGACTTGACAGAGACCACTGAGGTGCAGACTCAGGGCATCTCCAGAACAAACCACATATGGATGCCAAGAGTATTTGCCGGCCTGGCACATGCTTAGACCCAGGCTGGAGTGCACTGGCATGATCATAGCTCACTGTAGCCTTGAACTCCTGGGCTCAAGCAATCCTCCTGCCTTAGCCTCCCAAGTAGCTGTGACAACAGGCACAGCCATCACACCCAGCTAATTTATTTATTTTTTATAGAGACAAGGTCTTGCTATGTTGCCCAGACAGGTCTCAAACTCCTGGACTCAAGGGATCCTCTCAACTCAGCCTCCCAGCCACCACATCCCACCACAGGTAAATTTCAATGGACAAATAAATACCCAGGGACTCAGCGAAACAAGGTATCTCAAGAAGCAGCATTCCTCTTTCTCAACTTAGAGCAGAAAATTCTTACCGGGGTCCAGGAATTTACACTAAAGAACACTCCTCTTTCAGTATAGTTTATATTCCTGTCAACACTTTCAGTTAGGGATGTAGTCAAATTTCTGTGAAAATCATTTTTCTGCATTTTTGAGCTGTTGAAGAGAAAGAGGAATAAACTGGTTACGACTGAGAAAACAACCCCCTGTAAAACTGAGTTGAAGAATATAGTCAAGTTAATCACAGGTTAAAAGACCACAAAATTTTAACGTCAGAAGGCTGAAGGAGCAACACAGAAAGTTTTAGAAAACCTTCATTTCACAAAATCTTTTAGTAAACACATTTCTAAGGCTTAAAAGCCTATCCTTATAAAACATATTTCCTATAATATCAGAGCTCTATGGTAGGAGTAAAAGGCTTCAATTCTTTCCAGATTATGAAAAAATTTAGCAACAGGTATCAGCTGGTGGGGAAACTGCTTTGCAAGCATACTGATTTTTTTTTTTTTTTTTTGAGACGGAGTCTTGCTCTGTCACCTAGGCTGCAGTGCAGTGGCACGATCTCGGCTCATTGCAACCTTCGCCTCCTGGGTTCAAGCAATTCTCCTGTCTCAGCCTCCTGAGTAGCCTGGAACTACAGGCATGCACCACCACACCCAGCTGATTTTTTTGTATTTTTAGTAGAGATGGAGTTTCACTATGTTGGCCAGGCTGGGCTCGAACTCCTGAGCTCAGGTGATCCACCTGCCTCGGTCTCCCAAAGTGCTGGAATTACAGGTGTGAGCCATCACGCCCAGCCAGCATACTGATTTATCTTCAAAGACATGCTAAAATTAATTATACAATAAAAATACATTTTCACATTCAAAGATGTCAACCAGCCAAAAAGCAGATGACTCAGGGAGCCAGAGAGGCTTCAGAAATGACTGAAGTAGGGAGTGGACAACAGCCGTAAGTGACGGGGCCCTGGGCATGACACCAACTAGTGTCAGGGTTCTGGCAACCCCAAGAAAGATTGCAAGCCTAATCAAAAGGTGCTCAATGTGATTAAACAACAACAAAGTATGTTGAAGGAATGGTTTGCTAGGAAAAAAAGAAAAAGAAAAAAAAAAGTTACCCAATTCAAATACAACAATGACGACTTCACTGAACACTTTCTGTGTAATTTTCATTCTTCCAAAGTGCTAAGATCATTCCTCTCAGTACCTTTATCATTGCAATACTCTACTTTTGAGTATATCTCACTCTTGATCATCCTTAAATATCCCGGTTAAGCCATCACTTCTTCAAGGAGAGCTCTTTTGTGCCCAGGGCCAGGACGCTCTGTTGCAAATCCCCAGAACACCCTGCATTTTTAATTCCTGACACTTAAATATCTGTTAAGCCATCACTTCTTCAAGGAGAACCCTCCTGTGCCCAGGCCAGGACGCTTGCAAATCCCCAGAGCACCTTGCATTTTTTCTTCCTAACACTTAACAATGTCCACAATTACTTGTTTAGTGCCCAGCTACCTGCCAGGCCATATACCTGAGAGCAGGAACTGTTTCTGTCTTGTTCACAATGATATCTCTAGTGCCTGAACCAGTTCCTGGCACGTACTGATTAATAAATGATATTTTATTATTTGTGTTATTTTGTTCTATTTTATTAATAAATATACACATATTTGTAATATTAATAACTTATTAAATGAATGCATAAATGACTGTCGGTTGGTACCTGACTCCAGCAGAAAATATCATTTCTTAAAATACAAACCAGGCTTCTGGCCCTTAACATTGAGGGCTTCTCCCAACACTGTCTCATCAATAAATAAATTTTCATGTAAAATCTGGGTGAAGTTTATGAGTAAGACAATAATATTGATAGTTACAATAATACTAACTACATTTCTTCTTTCTTTTTTTGAGACAGGATCTCACTCTGTTGCCTAGACTGGAGTGTACTGGCCTGATCTCAGCTCACTGCAGCCTCGAACTCCTAGGCTCAAGCAATCCTCCCGCCTCAGCCTCCCAAGTAGCTGGGACTACAGGCACACACCACCATACCTGGCTAATTTTGTTCATTTTTTGTAGATATAGGGGTCTCACTATGTTGCTGAGGCTGGTCCTGAACTCCTGGACTTAAGGGATCCTCCTGCCTCAGCCTCCCAGAGTGCTAGGATTACACGTATGAGCCACTGTGCCCAGCCACTAACTACCGTTTAATGAGCAACTCAACATGTGCTAATTGCTTTACATCCACCACTGCATGTCATCCACACCATAATTCTGGGAGTGTTGATGTGCTTTTTCCATTTTGCAAAAGGAGGAAGCTATAGCTCCAAAAATCAAGCAGCTTGTTTAAAAATCACACAGCTGCAAGTGACAAATCTGGAATTTGAACCTACAGCTGTCTCTCAACAGATCCCGTGTTCTCAACCTCTATAGGGCATCTCCTCCAGGTGAGATGTACTTTTTCTATGAACAATTTTGGAATCCACTTACCCCTGGGTGTGGTTTTGCTGGCCGCCACATGCAATGAACAGAGGGTTCTCAGGCAGGTTGCAGTCACTGAGGAAACAGTCAAATGAGTTAGCCATTTATCTACTTCTTCACAAGCATGAATTTTACCGAGAATCGGTAGTGCGCTTCAATCATCTCCCAAAGGCTTAAAGTGTTTATTACCTAGCCATACAGGACTAATTAAGAGCCCATGTTCTCCCAGAGAGGGTGGGTAGGCTGACGGTTGTCACTATCATGGTAATCCAGGAAGGCTCATGCTGCCAGTCACCCCAGACTCAGCCTTCCTCTTCCCTCCCCGCTCCACCTGCTGAGCTGTTCCACGCTAACACGAAACGTCTCAGAATTTGAGAGTGTTATCAACACTGGTTACCAATTATGTCACCTTCTGCCCAATTATACACATTTATGCCTAAATGTGTCTGAATTTCTCAATTTCATTTCTTTAAAAAAAATTCCATAATTTCAATAATTAAATAGCTAATGAAGGATCCCCTTTTACAAGTGAAAAAGCCTCTGAGAACATAAGAGATAAACTCTTCCCAATAGAGGCTTTCCCCCAACACTGAACAGAAGCACTGAGGAAGCAGGTATTAATATAAGAAGAGTATTCTGGAATGAAGACTATCTTAAGATTTGTATGGAGGTCACTGAGGGAGGCTGGGGTAATACAAAAGTAATGTGGAGTGTAGGGGTGAAGAAAATTAGTTGCTGAAAAAGGAATTCCAAAAAGGAGGTGGGAAAAAGCTGAAGGCAGACTCTTCCTACCAAAACATTTCTCTGGCCAGGTTTGAGCTGAGGAAAAGGTTCTCTCTTTGGACCTTTTCTTGTCCACCACAGGACACAAAAGGCAGCCTTACAGCATTAGCACTATACTTTCAAATAGAGTTTGAGGTGAGTAGAGTTCTTGGCAATGTAACTACCACTACTTCATTGCTTTTTTAAGGAAAATATACCAAATAACATAAGTGAGCTTTGGAAGATAACCTGTGTTAGTAAGCTGGGAAATGCCTGTTACTATGAACATATTTATGTTTTCCTTTCTGTTATGAATTTTTTTGTGTTGTCTCTTTTTGGAGACTTCTCTGAATTTCCCATACATTTTCATAAATTCTGATGAATCTTTCTTTGTATATGTATGCAAACAAGCAATCAACTCATGGAATTTTACACCTTGGTAAATTGGGACAGGGATCAAGAGACAAGAAATATGTTCTTTCTCAATTATCTTTTCCTAACGAAAGAATAAGGTCCAGCTATCTTTCCTTAGCTATTTGGAGAACCAAACCAAAATTGAACACCAAAAAATGTTTTCCAGTTTGGATTATATAAAACAAGTAAGTGCAGGTCAATCACTCAAACATGCCCTTATGTTATGAGTCCTTCCAATACAAACTTTGCTTCCTTCTAATAATAATAGTAACCAATACTTAGTAAGTGCTTACTCTATTCTAAACCCTTTACATGACTGATCTAATTTACTCCTCACAAAAATCCTATGGTAAAAATAGTATTGCTGTCCCAATTTTATAGGTGAGGAAATAAGATTTTGGAAGGTTTAGCAACTTGTTCCAGATAACTCAGTAGTGAGTGGCAGATCCCTTAAATTCTGTACAACCACGGCAGTATGCACCTAAAAACCCAGGTCCACGGGAGAGCTTGGGGATTTTAGTTGAGGTTTATTTCACTATTAAAAGTGGCATTCATATGAGATTGCTATCCCTGCCAAATTGTTACTCACCGATTGTTAAAAACAAGTTTATTATGTACCAAGCTAAGGTCGAATTTGTCATCAAAGGGAATTTTGTTTCAAATCAACACAATATATAATTATGGTTAACACTGTTTGGGTACTAGCAAATGTTTATAAGGGTAAAGGAATATCACCCAGTATAATATTCTGGATCTACATTCTGTAGGCCATTCCAACTTATGAACAGCTAACTCTGCTATGATCCTGACCTGGAACAGTCTCCCAGGCACAGGTCCCGCCCAGAGAACCCTCTTTCCCACTGCTGGTGGTACAGCCTAAGCTTCCCGCTCTGCCCTTTCCCCGATTCGGGGGCTGCCCTGTGCTTCCTAGCCACACCCACATCTCAACCCGGTTCAGGTCAGTAGTGGGGAGAGGCTGCATGTCCAACAGCATGATCAGAAATGGGTTCTCTGGGCCAGGCATGGTGGCTCACGCCTGTAATCTCAGCACTTTGGGAGACAGAGGTGGGTGGATCACTTGAGGTCAGGAGATCGAGACCAGCCTGGCCAACCAACATGGCAAAACTCTGTCTCTACAAAAAATACAAAAATTAGCCAGGTGTAGTGGTGAGTACCTGTAGTCATAACTACTCGGGAAGCTGAGGCAGGAGAATTGCTTGAACCCAGGAGGTGGAGGTTGCAGTGAGCCGAGATCGCACCACTGCACTCTAGCCTGGGCAACAGAGCAAGACTCTGTCTCAAAAAAAAAAAAAAAAAGAAAAGAAAAGAAAAGAAAAGAAAAAAAAAGAAATGGGTTTTCCGGCCACGCATGGTGGCTCATGCCTGTAATCCCAGCACTTTGGGAGTCTGAGGCGGGTGGATCACTTGGATCTCAGGAGGTGGAGACCAGCCTGGGCAACATGGTAAAACCCCATCTCTACCAAAAATACAAACAATTAGCCTGGTGCAGTGGTGTGAGCCTGTGGTCCCAGGTACTCGAGACTGAGGCACAAGAATCACTTGAGCCCAGGAGGTGGAGGTTGTAGCGAGCTGAGATAATGCCACTGCCCTCCAGCCTGGGTGACAGAACAAGACCCCATCTCAAAAACAAAAAACAAAAACACATGTGCTCTTAAAAAAAAAAGAAAAAGAAAGAAATGGGTTATCAGAAGGGCCTTGGCTCCCTCTGATCTAGGGGTAGTGTAAGACTCTGTGAGAGTCTAATGATCTACTACAGCTAGAAGTGGGGACAATCACAGTCTACCTTATCTATATTTCGGCTGAGTTTCTGATTAATTCTTGTCCTGAGCATGCTTAGGAGAAGAAAAGGAACTGGAGGTTCAGCAGCTGTCCCATCTGGGCTAGATGTCAAATTTCAACAGAATGTTTTACAAATGCATTTATTTCTCATTTTACGTTGGAGTGTGTGTCGGGGCATGTAGCTATAGCTCTATTTGCTTCTGTTTTTTTAGTATTAGGTGAGGTATCCTTTGACACCCTGAAACCCTGAGAGTGTAGTCAGGGTGGAGAGGTGTGTCACCACAGCAAGAACACAGCCACTCTGGGACCTGTGGAGACCTGGCACTCCAGCCCCCAGCATGGGTTTTCCCAAAAGAAACAGATGGAGGCTGGGTGCAGTGGCTCATGCCTGTAATCCCAGCACTTTGGGAGACCAAGGCAGGTGGATCACTTGAGGCCAGGAGTTTCAGGCCAGCCTGGCCAATATGGCGAAACCTCATCTCTACTAAAAATACAAAAAAATTAGCCAGGGATGGTGGTGCACACCTGTAGTCCCAGCTGATTGGGAGGCTGAGGCACGAGACTCCCTTGAACCCAGGAGGCAGAGGTTGCAGTGAAGCCGAGATCGTGCCACTGTACTCCAGCCTGAGCAACAGAGCAAGACTCTGTCTCAAAATAAAAAGAAAGAAACAAATGGAGCACCACCTGTGGAGGCTGATTCCTGCCTGGCTGAGCCATTTCTCACAGACCCCAAATATTGCAATAACTGTCTCTCTATTTCTAAAACACGAGCAGCATCAACCAAGCCAACTGGATGGGAACCAGTCAAGTTTATAAGATCACTGAGTTTCCATTCTTTCCCTCTTTGAATAGGTTAGAAAAGCACTTCATGAGATTGTTTTGTTTTGTTTTTATGTGATCAGTTGAAAAACCTGAGAGTTATGTTGGGGGATGGGGTAAAAAGGCAGAGAGTGATTGGTAATAGAAATGCAATATGAATTCACCTGGTCCCATTCTCCAACATGAAGCTTGTTAGATGGTAAATATTAGTGGACCAAAATGCCATATCATCCAGTCCTCCAAGAAAATACTCTTGGAATTGTTCCACCAAAAACGGGGACTTTGTAGAGTAAGTGGGATATAACTATGGCAGAGAGAAAGAAAAAATAAAATGAATATGGTACTATTCCTGGTATCTTTATAATCCTTTAAGATTTGGAAGAATGACGCCTTTACCTTGGAAACAGCTAGCATCTCACCATACCTGCAAAATAAACAATAATTTTGGCTGTGAGTTGCAGTTTGTAACAGAGAAATGAAGCAAATAATGAAGAAAAAGTTCCATCCACCCTTTTCCACCGTCATGCAACTGCCTTTGAATAAGCAGAATCCATAAATCCAAAATCCAGTCTCAGGAAACAAAAACATAAAAACTGTGCAAAGGAAGTCACAACAAAATCAGCTGCAAATTGTCCTCTGAGTTACGCTTACATTTCTAAGAACTGGATATGTGAACAATCAACGATTACATTTTCGGTGATGACTTTTCGACCATACAGTTTCTCATAAATTCCCAGTAGATCTTTGACTGGCACATACCTGAAAAATGCAGAATAAAGTAAGAGTTGTTTTGATTCTGAAGCTGAAAATAGTAACAACAGCAGCAGCAGCTACCAGTTATTCCGTGATTATTTTGTGCCAGGCACCATGTAAAAGTCTTTACATGCACCAGTTATTTAATCCTAGCAATGACCTCAGGTGGTTAGTACTATCATATTCCCGTTTTACATAAGAAGAAATGATTAAGGCACAGAAAAGTTAAATAATTGGCCCAATGATGCAGAGCAAACAACTGGTAACTTAAATCAAATATTTATGTAGGTATACTCAGATTGGAAACTAACTATAACGTACAAAAAGAGTGGTTAATTTTGTGAATTCAGAGTTCAAGAAGTAATTTAAAGTATTTTCATGGTTTCAAGTTGAATTGAAAAGAATTATTTTAAAAACACTATTATAAAAATGTCTCCTCACCCTGACATCTTAATTTCAGAGTATATAAAGTATACAAAAAAGTATACCAAAGTATAAAAATATTGTAAAGGAAAATAAATCTCAGAACCCCAAAATCACTAAACTAAAGGGAAAAGTCAAGCTGGGAACCGTGTAGGGCAAACCTGCCTCCCAATCTATTTCTGTGTGGTTTCTGTGTGGTTGTTTTTGTTTTCTGTTTTTTGTTTTTTTTTTGGAGATGGAGCTTCGCTCTTGTTGCCCAGGCTGGAGTGCAATGGTGCAATCTCCGTTCACCGCAACCTCCGCCTCCCGGGTTCAAGCAATTCTCCTGCCTCAGCCTCCCAAGCAGCTGGGATTACAGGCGTGTGCCACCACGCCCGGCTAATTTTATATTTTTGGTAGACATGGGGTTTCTCCATGTTGGTCAGGCTGGTCTCGAACTCCCAACCTCAGGTGATCCACCTGCCTCGGCCTCCCAAAGTGCTGGGATTACAGGCGTGAGCCACCACACCTGGCCCTCCCAATCTATTTCTAAGTGAGATTGCTACAAAGATTAAAAGCTACATACCTCCCTCACAATTTGCCCACAAGGAAATTCATGTGGGCAAAGGACAGATAGAACTCAAATATCATCCCTCTGCTCACCTGAGACAAATGTATATCTGATTGCTTCCTTTGCCTAATTGTTTCACTAAACCAGACTACAGCATAAGTGACACTATTACTGTAAACTGCATTTTCAGTGAAAGGCTAATTGGAAATTCGGAAGGATGTCTCATAGCTACCTATGACCTGGAAGCCTCCTCCTCGCTTCGAGTTGTCCCATCTTTCTGGACTGAACCAATGGACATTTTACTTATTTTTTTATTTTTATTTTTTTTTTGAGATGGAGTCTCACTCTGTCACCCAGGCTGGAGTGCAGTGGTGCGATATCGGTTCACCGCAACCTCCGCCTTCCAAGTTCAAGCAATTCTCCTGCCTCAGCCTCCCAAGCAGCTGAGACTACAGGCATGCGCCACCATGCCTGGCCAAAACAACTGACCTGTAAGGGGACTGAACCTGCGACCCTGGTGTCATTAGCACCACAACTGAGCTAACTGGCCAACAGCCATTTCGCATTTATTGATTGATGTCCCAAGTCTCCCTAAAATGTACAGATAACCAAGATGTGCTCCAACAGCCTTGGGCACATGTTGTCATCCGGACCTCCTGAGGCTGTATCATGGGTGTGTCCTTAATCTTGGCAAAACAAACTTCCTAAATTGATTGAGACTTGTCTCAGATACTTCTTGGTTTACAGTATAAAGCAATGAAAAGAATTCTAAATCAGGCTTTTGGTTCACAAATATTAGTTATTTCCATTGCAAAGAGCAGCATTTAAAAACCAGATTTATACTCAATCATCTTTTAATTTAAAAATCCTCAAAAGTCAGGAAACAACAGGTGCTGGAGAGGATGTGGAGAAATAGGAACACTCTTACACTGTTGGTGGGACTGTAAACTAGTTCAACCATTGTGGAAGTCAGTGTGGCGATTCCTCAGGGATCTAGAACTAGAAATACCATTTGACCCAGCCATCCCATTACTGGGTATATACCCAAATGACTATAAATCATGCTGCTATAAAGACACATGCACACGTATGTTTATTGCGGCATTATTCACAATAGCAAAGACTTGGAACCAACCCCAATGTCCAACAATGATAGACTGGATTAAGAAAATGTGGCACATATACACCATGGAATACTATGCAGCCATAAAAAATGATGAGTTCATGTCCTTTGTAGGGACATGGATGAAATTGGAAACCATCATTCTCAGTAAACTATCGCAAGAACAAAAAACCAAACACCGCATATTCTCACTCATAGGTGGGAATTGAACAATGAGATCACATGGACACAGGAAGGGGAATATCACACTCTGGGGACTGTGGTGGGGTGGGGGGAGGGGGGAGGGATAGCATTGGGAGATATACCTAATGCTAGATGACGAGTTAGTGGGTGCAGCGCACCAGCATGGCACATGTATACATATGTAACTAACCTGCACAATGTGCACATGTACCCTAAAACTTAAAGTATAATAAAAAAAAAATCCTCAGAATAAACAAGATAAAAAATCGCAACCAATAAAATCTAACTTTAGTAGGTTTCTTTTAGTAGGTAAAAGAAAGAAACAATTGAGAGACTCATTTTTTATTTTATAAGAGCACTGGAATGGCATTCCCAATAAAAATAGCTTAAAAAGTCAGACAAAATAACAAAAAATATTTTTTTAAATGAATCACCAAGCTAGCAGGACAGCAGAAATTTTTCAAAGGCCAAAAACAACTAGAAACAAAAAAACCCTGGGAGGTAAGCAAATGGGACAACCAGCTTTTGCCCTGAGAACGTGTGCCACACCCTACACGTTAGGTTTGGAACCTGGACGGTTTTTTTTTTGTTTGTTTTTTTGAGATGGAGTTGGAGTCTCACCCTGTCGCCCAAGCTGGAGCGCAGTGGCATGATCTCGGCAGTTCTTAACTTGAGCCTACTTATTCTAGCACCATGGAATATCACCAAACATGACCAGTATAACTCCAGTCACATCTGATAAAGGAGACTTTAATGCAGCAACTATTATTAGAGATAAAGAGGGATTTTGCCTCACGATAAAAAGCTCAATTCACAAGGTATCCTTTTGAAATTGAATGTACCTAACAATATATCTTCAAAATCTATATAGCAAAGCAAACTCTGACAGAACTACAAGAAATTGAAAAATCTACCCTCATGTGGGAGATCTTTGAAACTAATTTCTCTCTTAATAATCAGTAGATAAACCTGATAAAAAGTAAAGAAATAAATAGTGATGTTATCTTACTTATAACTTACAAATCTTTTTATTTGAATGGTAAATTTTTTTTTCTTTTTTTATTTTTTGAGACGGAGTTTTGCTCTTGTCTCTCAGGCTGAAGTGCAATGGCATGATCTCAGCTCACTGAAACCTCCGCCTCCCAGGTTCAAGTGATTCTCCTGCCTCAGCCTCCCAAGTTGCTGGGATTACAGGCACGTGCCATCGTACCAGGCTAATTTTTGTAGTTTTAGTAGAGACAGGGTTTAACCATGTTGGCCAGGCTGATCTCGAACTCCTGACCTCAGGTGATTCACCTGCCTCACCCTCCCAAAGTGCTGGGATTACAGGCATGAGCCACCGTGCCTGGCCTCAATATTTCAAAATTGTTAATTTTCCAATTCATCTCTAGATTCAATAAACACTTAATCAAAATTCCAGCAAAGTTTTTCTTGGAACATGACAACTTGAGCCTAAATCTTATTTGAAAGAACAAAGGCAAAGAATAGGCAAGGTACTTTTGAAGAAAAAGAAGGACTAGTTATAAGATCTGCCCTAACAGAGCCCAAGACTTATTATAAAGCTACAGCAATTAAAATAATCAATATTGTTCAGGGACCAAAAGGACATATCAGAAAGCCCAGAAACTGACCCATACATATACATAACATTTTAATTTATAACCCAAAGGGGGTGCAGTGGCTCACACCTATAATCCCAACACTTGGGAGGCCAAGGTGGGCGGATCACTTGAGCCCAGGAGTTCGAGACCAGCCTGGGCAACATGGCAAGACCTCATCTCTTACAAAACATTAAAAAATTAGCCAGGTGGAGGCTGAGGTGGGAGGATCATTTGGGCCTGGAAGTTGGAGTTTGCAGTGACCCAAGATCACACACCACTGCACTCCAGCCCGAGCCACAGAGTTAGACTGGCTCAAAAAAAAAGACAGAAAGAAACAGAAAACCAAAACAGAGAAGGTATTGTAGATCAGCAAGGAAAGGGGAGACTATTGATAAATCATTCTGGGACAATCCATTATCTCCAGAGGAAAAAATAAAATTAGATTTACATCTCAGAACATACAAAAAATTAACTCCAGTTAAATCAAAGACATAAAGCTAAGATATAAAACTATAAAAGCTTTAGAAGTCCATGTAAGAGAATAACCATTTGCCCTCAAGGTAGAAAGGTTTTCTTTCTTTTTATTTAAGAGACAGGGTCTCACTGTGTTGCCCAGGCTGGAGTGCAGAGGCGCGATCATAGCTCACTGAAGCCTCAAACTCCTGTGCTCAAGTGATCCTCCCACCTCAGCCTCCTGAGTAGCTGGGACTACAGATGCTGTGCCACCACACCTAGCTAAGAACGGATTTCTTAAATAAGACATCAGAAGTACACATTACAAAGGAAAAACTGATCTATTCAACTACATGAATATTAACAAATCCTGTTTGTCAAGATACACAATAAGTGAAAGGACATACCACAAACTGTGAAAGACATTTGTAATAACTAAGTGACAAACTGACAAGAGAGTAGAAGCCAGAATATATAAATACTCACAAATAAATAAAAAGGATAAACAACCCAACAGAAAAATAGACTGAAAACTGGAAAAAGTTTTCACTTAAAATCAAACACAAATGATCCATAAAATAGAAGAAAAGTGTAACCTCATTAGCAATCTGGGAAATTCAAACTGCAACCTCAATGAGATACCATTACACACAAACAGGCTGGAAATTTTAACAGTTGGACAATACCAAGTATTGGAGAATGCAGAAGAACCAGAATGATTATACAAAGCTAATGGGAGCATAAGTTAAGATGATCATTTTGAAAAAGTAAACTATGACTCAGCAACTCCACTCCATTCAAAATTGAGTGGAATTCAATTTCTCAAAGAATCTAAACTATGCTAATATGCAATTTTACTTTTCAAAATTTACCAGTGCAGAAGACTTCTAATTATATTGTCAGTTATATTTTCTAAGAAAAAAAGTCAAGGCTCTAAATGCCACTTAGATACCACATATTTAGATGTACATTGCTCTTACCAGCGTCGTGCAAGGTAATTAAAATTAAATTCAAACTGGCTCAACACATCTCCTCCTAGGGTATGAGAAAAATATTGACATTTGGTGGATTAGTGACAAACATAGCATGCATCTATTCAACATGAGGTCTGACAAGTTGGATTATTAGTTTTTCACATTATTACATGTTTTTGTTCATTGTTTTAGGTAAAGGCATGCCTTTTTTTTTTTTTAGACGGAGTTTTGCTCTTATTGCCCAGGCTGGAGTGCAATGGCGTGATCTCGGCTCACTGAAACCTCCGCCTCCTGGGTTCAAGCAATTCTCCTGCCTCAGCCTCCCTCGTAGCTGGGATTACAGGCATGCGCCACCACGCCCAGCTAATTTTTGTATTTTTAGTAGAGGTGGGGTTTCACCATGTTGGCCAGGCTGGTCTTGAACTCCTGACCTCAGGTGATCCACCTGCCTTGGCCTCCCAAAGTGCTGGGATTACAGGTGTGAGCCACCACGCCAGGCCGCCTTTTTTTTTTTTTTTTTTTTTAAGAAAAAATTATCTTTTAAAAATCTTAGTTAGTGAAACATATAAATTAAGAAAGAACTGGCCATATAACCAAAGGTGTTTTTTGTTTTACTTTAAGGAAATATCGACCATAAGGGTTTAATAAACACCATTCACCACCTAGTTTAAATATTTAAAAGCAATTTACTACTACAGGCAAAAGGTGGAGTTTACTAGTTTAAAGCTAAAGTATTAGGAAAGTAGGAGACACTAGCTAATGAATTTTAACCCAATGTATAAGTAAAGTTTTTCTAAAATTATGACATGTCAACAACAAAGTGTAGAATTTTTTAACAAAAAAATACATATAGACACAAGTTTTTAGAAATACATCTCTATGTTAAATGAGGTACATCTCTACTCTAAATGAACTGCAACATTAAATAGAAAATACATGCAACCAGCAAAATATTAAAGACACACATATTTAAAGCACAGTAGTGATGTCATTATAAGTGAACTATACCACGAGAAAATTTAGCAAATGTAAATAAACAGTACCAAAATCACCAGCCGAATGAGCCTCTGAATAGGAGCCGTGAAAATCAATCTAAGAAAGAAAGAGAACCATCTGGTGTGTATTACAAATTGTAGCCCCAACTCTTACTTCCACAGTCAAGCAAGTGGTGGGAGATGACAGCTAACTCAATGAACTGCTGAGGACGCATAATAGACTCAATTTTCACACTAACATTTTATTAGTAAAAAAATAATAATAATAAAAAGGCAGGGCGCGGTAGCTCACGCCTGTAATCCCAGCACTTTGGGAGGTTGAGGCGGGTGGATCACCTGAGGTCAGGAGTTCAAGACCAGCCTGGCCAACATAGTGAAACCCCATCTCTACTAAAAATACAAAAAATTGGCCGGGCATGGTGGCGGGTTCTGGTAATCCCAGCTACTTGGGAGGCTGAGGCAGGAGAATCACTTGCACCTGGGAGGCAGAGGTTGCAGTGAGCCGAGATTGCACCACTGAACTCCAACCTGAGCAACAAGAGTGAAACTCCATCTCAAAAACAAACAAACAAAAAAACAACAACAAAAAAAACCACACCCACATACACACACACACACACACACACACACACACACATATATATGCAGCTGAGTTGGATACATATGTCTGGCAATAAAGCTACTACAGACAACTCTGCCTTATAGGATATATATAAAAATCTCTGAGTTGAAGTTGAAACTTCTAACAGAATGTAATTAACATAAATTAAGGACCAGGGGGCCTTCCAGAGGCTAAGTCATCAGGTAAGATCACAATTTTCAGTTTGAGGACATGGCATTTTCATATAGAAAGTTAAAAAGAGAGAGAAAAAGTCCAATAAAGTAGAAGTATTACTTTTAAATAGAACCAAGTGGCAGGTATTCATATCCTTCTTAAGATATACAGCTTGAATAAAGCATAAGATTTATCAATTATTTTTGTGACTAAAACAAAACATCACATCTATGACTGTTTTCAGTACACATTAGCCACTCTGCTCTTGTGGATGAATCTACCCAGTTGGCAAGAAGAATAAAAGGAATGAATTGGACCGGGCGCGGTGGCTTATGCCTGTTATCCCAGCACTTTGGGAGACCAAGGCAGGCAGATCATGAGGTCAGGAGATCAAGACCACCCTGGCCAACATGGTGAGACCCCGTCTCTACTAAAAATATAAAAATTAGCTAAGCATGGTGGCACGTGCCTGTAATCCCAGCTACTCAGGAGGCTGAGGCAGGAGAATCACTTGAACCAGGGAGTTGGAGGTTGCAGTGAGCCAAGATCGCGCCTTCGCACCACTGCATTCCAGCCTGGCAACAGAGTGAGACTCCATCTCAAAAAAAAAAAAAAAAGGAACAAATTGGAAAAGATGGGACTCTAACCAAACACTGCTTTGGGCAGAAGTCTGAATAACCTAACATTTTCCTTTCTTTTAAAACGGTCAGGTTTTGATCTTAGGTGAGACAGTATCACTCCCATAAAGTCATTCCCCATAAAGGGATGTACTCACAGCTCCCATGGTCCTAAGGAATCCTTGTTCAAGGCCCAGACTATGCCAGCTGACATCTGCCGCCATGTGAGAAGTAATTCCAAACAAGAAAGCTACCAGTTTCTCTGTGTCCTGCCAAACAAGCAAATTAGAGTCATGTGTGTTTGGGTGATTTTATAATAACAATCCTATTAAAAGTTTTAATAAATATAAATTCATTTATGTTACTGAGACCTAACAAAAAATTTCAGGCAAGTAAATTGCAGTTTCTAGTTATTAAAAACCACATAAGAGGCCAGGTGCAGTGGCTCTTGCCTGTAATCCCAGCTACTCAGGAGGCTGAGACACAAGAATTGCTTGAACCTGGGAGGCGGAGGTTGCAGTGAGCTGAAATTGCACCACTGCACTCCAGCCTGGGCGACAGAGCAAGACTCTGTCTCAAAAAAAAAAAAAACCACACACAGGCCGGGCGCAGTGGCTCACCCCTGTAATCCCAGCACTTTGGGAGGCCTATGCAGGTGGATCACGAGGTCAGGAAATCGAGACCATCCTGGCTAACATGGTGAAACCCCGTCTCTACTAAAAATACAAAAAAAAAAAAAAAAAAAATTAGCCGGGCGTGGTGGCGGGCGCCTGTAGTCCCAGTTACTTGGGAGGCTGAGGCAGGAGAATGGCATGAACCCGGGAGGTGGAGCTTGCAGTGAGCTAAGATCGCGCCACTGCACTCCAGCCTGGGTGACAGAGCGACACTCTGTCTGAAAAACACAAAAACAGAAACAAAACCACACACACACACACACAAAACCATAAGGACTTTTGGAAACGTTTTACGATGTGTTGGAAGTGCTTTCAGATTAATTACTATTGGAGCAAAATGATGAAGTGATGTATCCCAAACCGTGTTTATAAGTAATTCAAGTATTAGCTAGCCATCTACTATGTCCAAGCAATGTGCATGACACTGAAGGTGGAATGGTGGGCAGCCCTTACAGAGCGGTACAAATGGGGTCAATGCGGGTGCAAACACAGTGCATGGCAGGTTTGGTGCTAAATATTTTAAGGATTGGAGGACCACGCCTACCTTCTCCCAGGGAAGGGGATAGTTCTCTCGGATATAATGAACGCTTGCATTAAGAAACGGAGTCCAGTGAGTGCTCTCAGACACATCATGGAATTTTCCTGACAAAACAAAAGCAGGGCTCTAGATTCTCTCTTAAAAGTTGGAGAGTCTCAATCAAATCTTCCACACCACCCGCTGCGCTGCTGTGTCCCTTCTCCTCCTTCCCTCCATGCCCCTCAGTTTCTTCTGTCGACTTTCAAAAGAAGCCTCTAAAACGGAAGAGCCAGCTGAGATTTTGGAATACGCGTGGTACTGTCTGCCTGATGACTAAAAAGAGCCCTACAGTAAGAGGGACGGAGCCTAAACTGGCTCACGGAATCGCAAGCCCGGCTACCTGGTTAGAATAGAGGCTAGAATTGTTTCCATTTCTGTGCCCTAAAACTAAGGAAACAAGTTGTACTTTGGTTTTGTTTATTTGTTGGGATTTTAAAAAGTATCTTCCTTGTCCCTCACAGTCAGCCTCCTTAAGAGTACAAGAAATAAAAGCAGATATTTCATATGCTTTCAAGCATTTGATTTTATAATAATTATTGCAAAATGGCACAGGCCCCAGTGAGCATTTTATGCAAGTGTCGTTTGAGTGGGCCAGTGCGTGTCCCATGTAGCTCTTTATTCCCACAAGAGGGGTAGGAAAGACAGAACTGGCCTCTGTGCTAAACCTCCAAGAGCCACAAATGCCTCATGGAGTGCCAAATGTTACGAGGGTAACTAAAAGCAAAACTGCCGAGTTCAGATCCCTCAGTTCAATTTTTCTATGCCGTTCCTAAAGTAAAAATTGCCGAACCAGTTTTAAATCATTGGTTTTTTTTCAAAATGATTTTCAAAGGAGTTAGAATCAAGACATTTGATTTGCTCCCACAGTTTTCCTAGAGATAAAGCTTTAAACAATTCTTGTTCTCCAGAATACAGTAAAACTCCAGAATTAAATATGGCAGTAGCTCTTTTGAACAACTTCAACTTAAACAAATTGGCAGATTAACTGAAGCTTTCTGATCCCTCTGTAAATCCAACAGACTGGAAGCAGAAAGTCCCCCAGGACATACTAGATGCTGACAGCTGGCAAGCCACTGCCCAGAGACTTGAACTTACCTGTCTATACCATAGCTCACAAAGGGTCAATCAGACCCACTTCTAATCCTGTTTAAACCAGATGTCCTTGTTACTGTAATTACAAAGGCTAATTCAGTATTAGGTAAACTAATACAAATGAAGAGTTTTGCTGGGTGCAGTAGTGCACGCCTATAATCCCAGCACTTTGGGAGGCTGAAGTGGGAGGACCCCCTGAGGCCAGGAGGTTGAGACTAGCCTGGGCAACATAGCAAGACCACATCTCTACAAAAATTTAAAAATAAAATAAAAAAGTAGCCAGGTATGGTGGTACACACCTATAGTCTCAGCTACTCAGAAGGCTGAGGCAGGAGGGTTGCTTGAGGCCAGGAGTTTGAGGCTGTAATGAGCTGTGATTGCACCACTGCACCCCAGCCTGGGCAACAGAGCAAGACCCTGTCTCTAAAAAATGTAAAAATAACTTTAAAAAAAAGGTGTTTTTTCTTTGGCAATTAAGTATCTAAGAAAGCTAAGTGCTTTGGAAAGATGCAATGAAAGTGAATCATCACCAAATAAGAAAAGGAAAACTACAGTTGAATTAGGTATGTATGAGACAAGGTAAAATGTGGAAAAATGCAAAAAAACCTAAGTGGAATAAGTGGAATTTGTATGCAAATTCCCTGTAACTAGTCATATACCAGTCCCAATCTTTTCATCACACAAGACTATTTATTGCTGCAGAAAAAACTGGAAAATGCTAGGTAAATACTTTACATTCCTTTTCCACTCTCCTCAGAACCTTGATTAGTGTGGGTTTTGTCTGTCTCTAAAAATGGCGTACATTAAGCAATGTTGCTCAAATTGAATGGACAAAAATATCCTTTCTTCTTTCTTTTTTGTAGAAGCTATCAAGGGACAGTAGAGCTCCCATGAATACAGTTTGGGAAGTGCTAAATTAGAAATAATAGGTTAGAAAGGAGAACTATAACATGCAGGCAAAATAATAGGATTGAGAAATGATAGTTAACAGACTAAGAGGGAAACAGAACAAAACTCCTTATAAATATGAGAAATACAAAAGCTAGCTGCCTGGGATTCTAACTGCAGGAGTGATTAGCCCCAGATAGTTCATTTCAGTCCCAAAGACATCACTGAATTAAAGGAATGGGATAATAGCAGATGACCCAAAACCCCAGAAGCAGTTTATACAAGTACCCAGCGTGCTGGGGGCCTCCATTTGTCCTTCCAGACCCACTCCCCATCCTTCTCTACCTTGTAGGGTGACTCTGAGGTCACCTGCTTCAACTAGCTTCGTGGCTCTCTGGCTTTGATTGGGTTGGGTTTGGCCAATAAAGAGAACTGACAGATCAGAGAAAAAGAAGACACAGAAGTTGGGGTATATATTCTCCCAGCTCCCCTTCTGTGGGGTCACAGTGGGCTGGCTGTGCCCCTTAGCTGAAGGTCCAGCTCTCAAGTGGTCCTCTTCATGCAGCTCTCTCTCTCCACGGTTCCAGTAATCTCTCCCTCCCTTGAACTATCTTTTGCAATTCCTCGCCTCCTGTCCATATCTTTGAAAATGGTGCCCTTACTAAGCTCCTCTCCAATTACTCAGTTTGAGTGTGACTTCTGGGTCCTGCTGGGGCTCTGACTGATACGACTCATGAGACAAGTTTACTGATAATGACAGAGCAGAAGCATTGCCATCTTGGACAAGAACTGCCATTTTAAGTTCACCTTGACCAAAAATTGCCTAAATCCAAAGGGCATCAGCCTAATGGGTACAGTCAGCATAACCATAAATCACAGATAACATCTCCAATCAGAAACATTCCAAACCCCTCCCCAACCAGAGACGTGCAAGCCCCAAGATAACCTCCCCTCCAGCCAGAGAGATGTCAACCCCAAGATAACCTCCCCTCCAACTAGAGACATTCCAATCCCACCATAAACTTCTCCCCCACACAGAAACATTCCAAACTCTCTCACCAATAAATACTCTCAGTCTGTAAGAGAGAGAGTGTTCCTGACCGAAATCGGCCAGAAGCCCCTCTCAGGTTTACTTCTCCAAAATAAATCTGTCTTTGACTGTTAAGCTGCTTTTCATGTTTCTTTCCTCTTTCTTTAACTCTTACAAATAATAGTATCTGCGATTTGCATAACACTTGACAAAATACTGTGCATTAATGCCAAGGACAATCCAGTCTAGGCAGGGCAGGCAGGACAATCCAGTCTTTGCCAAGACATGAAAATTGAGATTCTGTGGATAAGTGACTTTTTTAAGATCACATGCTAATATAGAAGGAACACAAACTCAGACCTTTTGATCTCTTGCAAAATGTCTTCTATCATGTCACTTAGGTTTTCACCAAAAAATAGTTTTCAGAATTTCTATGCTTAACTAGGTCAGTTATAGCTAAATGGAAAATGCAACTATGTAAACTAAGTCATTAACCAACAATATTGTTGGGAAACAAATTGTTCTCAACAATAATGGAAAATATACTGTGCAATTAAAAATATATTGTACACACATATATATATATTTTTAAAGTCATAGCTATTCCTATTAACCAAGTAAAAGTGACTTCATTCAGTCTGCAAACTTTCATCTTACCTCCTTTGCAGATGCTAGGGTAAAAACAATCAGGAAACACGATTCCAGCCTGATACGCATCCTGGTGTTCTAGTAACAGCTGCAGAGCAAGAAAATACAGAGATTAAGGGGCAGGAGTCAACAGCCTGGGGAGTATAGGCCCCACCAATTTTCTGTGATGAGATGCTAGAAATATGGGGGTATAGATGGAATGAAAGGGAAAAAGGAAGGAAAGCAGGCATAAAGTAAATAAATGATTAAAATTCACACATAATCCAAGACAAAACACAACAATATATAACTTCAGATTCTTCCCTACCAAACACAGAGAGGCTAATTTAGAAACAGCAGAAAACACTTGTTTAAATTTCATCTTCTTTCATTTTCTCTGTCAATCCAGTAAAGCAGGATTTCCCTGAGGCCTTAAGGTTGTTTTACTGACCCAGAGCTGTTGTTTTTGTTGCTGTTGTTGTTTGTTTGTGTTTTGAGATGGAGTTTTGCTCTTTTCACCCAGGCTGGAGTGCAGTGGCGCAATCTCAGCTCACTGCAACCTCCCAGGTTCAAGCGATTCTCCTGCCTCAGCCTCCCAATGTGCTGGGATTACAGGCATGAGCCACCATACCTGGCCCACAGCTGGTTTTTTATAAAATTTTCAATGATTCACAGTGAAAAGAGAAAAACGGACACACAAACGCACGTACGCACGCACACAAACAAGCACGCACATATGTGCATATCAGTTTATAGTTGCTACCTGTGTTTTAGTGTAAGATGACGTCCTTTGTGTTTTGGGAGGGCTAAAAAAAGTGCTTTCCCTTTTTAAATGATGTGAAAGTAGATGGTAGCGGTTTTCTTCTAAATGTTCTTCCTTGGTCAACTGGCTCACTTCCTTCCATTCCGAGTCCCTTATGGGATGTCTAGCTGCATGCTATAGGCTAGAAAACACAGACTACATTTCCCAGGCTGTCTCAGCTCACAGTCTGATATGGCCCAGCCTCCACCACGGAGCCCTCGGCTAACATGGAAGCATTTGGTTTTTCCACAGCAGAGGTAGCACAGCCCCTCGTGTTGCAGCTCTGGCTTCCCACGTGTTTATGGGCAGAGTACAGGACAACCATATTGTTAGTAAGGCAGGTGCCCGAGGTGGTGATGAGGTCCCAGAACCAATAGGTGAGGTGGTGGCTTCTTATTTTACAAACCGTGTATGAGACCGTTGAATTTGTAGCAAATGGGGCAGTGAATGCCTGTCAATGGCAGGAGTAGCAGCTCCTTGACAGGCCAGTTCTGTGCATTATTTTGGGAGTCCTTTCTGGACACCTGGCCTAGAGCCTGCTCCTGCAGTTCCCACAGTTTGTAAGCAGTGAATTCTCTAATTCCTGGTATTAATCCTTTCCTTGCCTAAACTAGCAGAGGGGTTTCCATTATCTGCAAATGAACTCTGATGGACACACTGGGCAAAGTAAAAGTTTGGCAATATCCCGCCCTTTTTTTTTTTTTTTTAAATAAGAACTTACTAATAATGTGGACCATATATAGGTGCAACAAAGAAGTACTTCAAGAAATTAAAACACAAAGAAAGATAGTATCATCTGGTTTTTGGTTTTGTTTTTCTAACCAGTATCCCATTCTCCTCCTTCTAGAGGCAGAATCACCCTCTCCCGAGGAGAGCCCATTCCACACCGCTCAGGTGGGGCTGACCAGAATGCTGTGGCCAGCATGCCCACCCTCACCACAGAGTTTGGCTCAGAAATGGACCTTTGAGCAAAGCTAGTTCCGTTCACACCTTCCCCAAGACTTCTCCACTAGAGCTCTGGGAAGATGCCCTCTTCCCCTTGTGGCTGCTGAGCTCTGACGCTGAGTGCTAGGCTGTCAGCATTCCCCACGTGGAGAGATATAGAAACCATCTAGAGCTCTGGGCCCAGTTCCACACTGCAGATATCAGTTACATGAACCAATAAAGTCCACTTTTTTCCAAAAGATAGCTTGAGTTGGACTTTTTTCACTTAAAAATAGTAATTAACTTTACTGGCTATTTACTTAACCAGTCACTGTTCTAAGCTCCTTATATGTATTAAGACTTGTTGAATCTGCATCTCCCAGTGAGGTAGGCATGTTATTTAATGTGATAAAATAATCTGAAGTAAATTTTAAAAATTATGCCAAAGAGCAAACTGTTGAGGAAAAAAGAAGAGTACTAACGAAGGATGTATCCTTCAGATATTAAAATGTATTTTTGGATTTTTTTTTTTTTTTTTTTTTGAGATGGAGTCTCACACTGTCACCGGGCTGGAGTGCAGTGGCGTGATCTCAGCTCACTGTAACCTCTGCCTTCCGGGTTCAAGCAATTCTTCCTGCCTCGGCCTTCTGAGTAGCTGGGATTACAGGCACTGGCCTCCACACCTGGCTAATTTTTGTATTTTTTTTCTTTTTTTCTTTTTTGAGACAGAATCTCGCTCTGTCACCCAGGCTAGAGTGCAATGGCATGATCTCGGCTCACTGCAACCTCTACCTCCCAGGTTCAAGTGATTCTCCTGCCTCAGCCTCCTGAGTAGCTGGGATTACAGGCACCGGTCACCACGCCCAGCTAATTTTTGTATTTTTAGTAGAGACAGGGTTTCACCAGGTTGGCCAGGCTGGTCTTAAACTCCTGACCTCAGGTGATCCACCTGCCTTGGCCTTCCAGAGTACTGGATTTACAGACATGAGCCACTGCGCCCAGATAATTTTTGTATTCTTTAGTAGAGACAAGGTTTTGCCATGTTGGCCAGGCTGGTCTTGAACTCCCGACCTCAGGTGATCTGCCAAAAACATATTTTTGGCTGGGCAAGGTGGTGCACACCTGTAATTCCAGCACTTTGGGAGGATGAGGTCAGCGGATCTCTTCAGCCCAGGAGTTCAAGACCAGCCTGGGTGACATGGCAAGACTCTGTTTCTACAAAAAATTTAAAAATTAGCCAAACATGGTGGTGCAGCTACTTGGGAGGCTGAGGTGGGAGGATCAATTGAGTATAGGAGGTTGAGGATGCAGTGAGCCATGATCACACCAGTACACTCCAGCCTGGGTGACACAGTGAGACCCTATCTCAAAAAAAATACATATTTTTAAGCTATAGAAACAAAACAAAAATAGTATGATACTGAAACCAAAAGGAACAGATCAATGAAACAGAATAAAGAATACAGAAAGGCTGCACGCAGCAGCTTATGCCTGTTATCCCAGCACTTTGGGAGGCTGACGCGGGCGGATCACTCGAGGTCAGGAGTTTAAGATCAGCCTAGGAAACATGGTGAAACTTCCACTCTACTGAAAATACAAAAATTAGTGGGGCATGGTGGTGCCTGCCTGTAATCCCAGCTACTCAGGAGGCTGAGTCACAAGAATAATTTGAGCCTGGGAGGTGGAGGTTGCAGTGAGCTGAGATCATGCCACTGCATTCCAGTCTTAAAATATATATATTTTAAGCTACAGAAACAAAAGTACTATGATACTGAAACCAAAAGAAACAGACCAGTGAAATAGAATAAAGAGTACAGAAAGGCCAGGTGCAGTGGCTCACCCCTATTATCCCAGCACGTTGGGAGGCTGCGGCGGGTGGATCACTTGAGGTCAGGAGTTTGAGACCAGCCTGGGAAACATGGTGAAACTGCGACTCTACTGAAAATATAAAAATTAGCCGGGCATGGTGGTGCACGCCTGTATTCCCAGCTACCAGGAGGCTGAGGCAGGAGAATCGCTTGAACCTGGGAGGTGGAGGTGAGATCACACCACTGCACTCCAGCCTGGGTGACAGAGTGAGACTCCATCTCAGCATTAGAGAAAGGAGTTAAAGATATGGACATGGTGAAGGCTAGAGTAAATCTTGCGGTGTCGGATTAGAATTGGTGGTATTTTCATGTGAACTTATGGAGAGTCTCGTTCTGTCACCCAGGCTGGAGTACAGTGGTGTGATCTTGGCTCACTGCAGCCTCTGCTTCCGGGGTTCAAGCGATTCTCCTGCCTCAGCCTTCCAAGTAGCTAGGATTAGAGGCATGCCCCACCACTTTGTTTTGTTTTGTTTTGTTTTGTTTTGAGATGGAGTCTCACTCTGTCTCCCAGGCTGGAATGGAGCGCAGCAGTGCGATCTCCGCTCCCTGCAAGCTCCGCCTCCCGGGTTCACGCCATTCTCCCGCCTCAGCCTCCCAAGTAGCTGGGATTACAGGCGCCCACCACGATGCCCGGCTAATTTTTTGTATTTTTAGTAGAGACGGGGTTTCACCGTGTTAGCCAGGATGGTCTTGATCTCCTGACCTCATGATCTGCCCGCCTTGGCCTCCCAAAGTGCTGGGATTACTGACGTGAGCCACCGTGCCTGGCCCACCATTTGTTTTTTGAGATGAGGCCTTGCTCTGTCACCTAGGCTGGAGTGCAGTGGTGTGATCTCAGCTCACTTCAGCCTCTACCTCCCGGGTTCAAACGATTCCCCGCCTCAGCCTCCCAAGTAGCTAGGACTAGACTATAGGTGTCTGCCACCACGGCCAGCTAATTTTTGTATTTTTAGTGGCGACAAGGTTTCATCATGTTGGCCAGGCTGTTCTCAAACTCCTGACCTCACGTGATCCACCCACCTTGGCCTCCCAAAGTGCTGGGATCACAGGCATGAGCCATCACGCCTGGCCTATTTCTGAGGATGACATTAGTATTTGGATTAGAATGCATCCTGAAAGGGAGCGTCTGTGTCCATTTAACATGTTTTAAATTAATAATACCTCTACTAGAATACCTTGTAGAATACCTCTACTAGAAATCACTCTGCACACACTCTGGATTGATTGTTCATGTGATGAATTAGGCAGATTCTCGTTTCCACTCCTCTTTCCTGCCTACTTGCCGTCAAGGTCAATGAAGATGACTATCAGATATAAATGCTGTTTTTCCTCATTCGGCCTGTTAGGTTGGCAAGTGAGGAAGCTGAATCTTACGACTAAAAGTATTTTGAGGGTACAATAAATTTCAGTTATCTTACCATCCCGCTTCCCAAATGGATTATGAAGACTTAATGTTATTAAATGATCCAATTCTGATGTCAGAAGGGAATGCTAACCACTTATCAAATATAAGTATGAAAGAATTACACCTTCGTCACAAAGTATTATTTAGCCATAGAACAAATAGTGCATATGATCAGAATGTGTTCATTTGAAGATGGGTAAAGGTGAGTCATGAGCTAGTCCTACCAGGATATGGAATATAGCAGGAGTTGGATGAAGAATCTCTGGAGAATCTCAGTGCGTATTTCTTAATAAATACTTCCTTCTCCTCCTGGTGATGCAATTTGTGCTCAACACACAGTAACAAGAAGTGGAAAATAAATGATCTCTCTCAAGTATGACTTTTTAAAATAAAAACAAAAAAGATGGGCCAGGCATAGTGGCTCATGCCTATAATCCCAGTGCTTTGGGAGGCCAAGGTGGAAGGATTGCTTGAGCCCAGGAGTTCAAGACCAGCTTGGGCAACATAGCGAGACCCCCATCTCTACAATAAAAACAAAAAGATGTGTTCTTCTCAGCAGCACATATACTAATATTGGAATGATACAGAGAAGATTAGCACATTTTTAAAAATGTACTGTTTAAAAAATTTCTCAAGTATTTTTTCAAATTATGAGTCATATCATTAAAATCTTTAAATTTTAAGTGTGATATATATAAGATACCTATAAAATGTTCAAGTAGCACTTGGAAGAGACATATACCTTTTAACCATAATATTAATGTCTTATAACATTAATAACATAATATACAACATTATAACATAAAGAAATAAATAATGAGTCTCTTTTTTTTTTTTGAGACGGAGTTTCACTCTTGTTGCCCAGGCTGAAGTGCAGTGGTGCAATCTCAGCTCACCACAACCTCCACCTCCTGGGTTCAAGCCATTCTCCTGCCTCAGCCTCCCGAATAACTGGGATTACGGGCATGCACCACCACGCCCGGCTAATTTTGGATTTTTAGTGGAGATGGGGTTTCTCCATATTAGTCAGGCTGGTCTCGAACTCCTGACCTCAAGTGATCCACCTGCCTCAGCCTCCCAAAGTGCTGGGATTACAGGCATGAGCCACCACGCCCAGCCAAAATGAGTCTTAAAATTACTGTTTAAATATCTGTTAGGATCTTTGTTTGGCACCTATAAAAGAAAACTAATGCACAAAGAAGAAAAGAAAAATCAAGATTTCTACCTCTCTGTAGTTAACACGCCCATTGTGAAGCTGAAGAAACTCCAGAGCTCTGTGTCCTGAGAGAAATAAATACATAAATCAATTAAGTTCAACTATTACTGAAAACATAACTTAGGCGAGATGATTTTAAAAGAAAAATACACAATTTGTGGTTATAACTGTCAAGGACGCAGGAAATGAAATGAGTTTGCACTCACTGGCAATTTTCATTAGGTATAGGCTTGTGCAGTATTTCTATTGTTATAGTACAAAGCAAGTTTAGATGGTGATTTAAAGTTTCTGCTTAACTATTAAATAACTCTATGAGCTTTAGTGCTATTCAACCTCTCTAGACCTCAGTTCCCTCCTATGGAAAAGAGTTTAAAAAATACCCACCGTATAGGTTGGTTGAAATAATAAATGCTAAGTGACAAGCACAGTGGCTGACACTTGGTAGGAGCTCAAGAAAAAGAAACTGCCAGACCACACATGGTGGCTCACACCTGTAATCCAAGAACTTTGGGAGGCCGAGGAGGGCGGATCACCTGAGGTCAGGAATTCAAGACCAGCCTGATCAACATGGAGAAACCCCGTCTCTACTAAAAATACAAAAAATTAGCCAGGCATGGTGGCGCATGCCTGTAATCCCAGCTACTTGGGAGGCTGAGGCAGGGGAATCACTTGAACCCAGGAGGCAGAGGTTGTAGTGAGCCGAGACCACGCCACTGCACTCCAGCCTGGGCAACAGAGCGAGGCTCTGTCTCAAAAAAAAAAAGAAACTGTCATCATATTTTGCTTCAGTACTGAGGCAGACAAACCTAAGTACAAAATACAATATAACACCTAACCTATGGACTGAACCAATGATCCTCAAAAGTTTTTCATCATTGGACCAGAAGGACAAAATCATCTCAGAAAGCTACCAACTACACCCCACACCCACCCACAGCCTGAATCTCCCAAGAATCAATAAGAGGACTAACATTCCCTGGGAAGTGACATTCAAAGGTGATACCTTATTTCTGTTGTGAATCACCTCCAATTTTTAAAATTCATATAACAAAAAACTATTGCCACTACTATAAGCATTAATATCATAAAAGTCACAACCCACAAATACAAATAACCTGTGTACAGGATTCCAGTGATTTACGCTGAATGAAGCCATTTCTAATTAACTCACTCAGATAATGCTGACCTTCCACTCAGGCCCCTTTATAAGAAATGAAAAAGTGAACCAAAATATTTATAAAATCATCTAATTTATTAGTAAATAAATGATGGAGTTTTGGTCTTCTTCTATGTAAAAAAATTCTCAGAATCCGTGCAGATTCTATTTCAGGAGATGCCTTCAATTATGTTCACATAAATATTATTCTTTAAATGTCCATTAGGACCTTTGTTTGGTACTTAATGAAGAAGGGCAAGCAATTATCTGGTTTTATTAAAATTTCAGATGCAATCTGTCTTGTAAATTTTTAAACACTAAGGATTAAAAATGGAGTATTTCCATTTATATTTGTTCCTCATCAGCTTACTCTGTAGTTTTGGCAATTTCAACTTCACAGAACATAGAACTGCAAGACACTTTAGAATTCTTTAAGAAGTTCAACCCCCTCATTTTATAGAATTGAGAGGTAGGTAAAAAGTGAATTGCTCAGAATCACACATCTACTTTACTGGATGGCTGGAACTAGAACCTAAGTCTGATCCTCTTTTCCATTGTTTCCTGACTCCCTTCTAGCAGTACATTTTTAATGGAAAGAACGCCGGACCAGCTGTCAGGACATGTAATTCTAGGCCAGGCCACTGAAAACTTAGCTGTAAAACTGTCTAGTATCAGTTTCTTCATCTGTAAAAGAAGAGAACTGGACTCGGTGACTTCTAGTGTCCTTTCAGATAGTCAAATTCTGTGATAACAGGTTCTTGCCCATCGTAGCTCAGTATATATGTCTATTTTGCACTGATAAATTTTCATTTTTTGCCTATAATCTTATTATTCTTTGAAACTTCTGGAGGTGGTACAACTATAAAATTCTGTTATAATTTTTATCTAAATTAAAGAAAACTCAGGCCAGGCGCGATGGCTCACGCCTGTAATCCCAGCACTTTGGGAGGCCGAGGCAGGCGGATCGCAAGGTCAGGAGATCGAGATCATCCTGGCTAACATGGTGAAACCCCATCTCTACTAAAAAAAAATACAAAAAAATTAGCCAGGCGTGGTGGCGGGCACCTGTAGTCCCAGCTACTCGGGAGGTTGAGGCAGGAGAATGGTGTGAACCCAGGAGGCGGAGCTTGCAGTGAGCCGAGATTGCGCCACTGCACTCCAGCATGGCGGACAGAGCGAGACTCCGTCTCAAAAAAAAAAAAAAGAAAACTCAGAACATCAGGTATATCTGAAATTAATCTGAAAATTGCTGTAGAATGTTATCACAGCTAATTCTATTACAAATTGACTCACGTTTTCCATGCGTTAAAACATGTTACAAATACACTTCATACAAGAACCAAATCCTTTTGCTAAGAAAGATCTTAAGTGTTCTCAGCCCATATGCAAAAAACATGGTAGCTATGTGGGGGGGGCGGATGTGTTAATTAGCTTGATTGTGCTAATCATTTCACAAGGCATACATATATCAACACATCATGTTGTATATCTTAAATTTATACAATTTTTGTCAATTATACATCAATAAAGCTAGAAAAATAAAAATTTTAAATAACTCTTTGTGGTGCCATCTCCCTATATCCAGGATGACTCTGCCCTTGCCCCTAAGGTCGGTGGCACTGGCTTGCTGTACCCTTCTGCTCTCCAACTCCTGCCATCTTCCTGGCACCGTGCATGTGGATAACTAAACTCCCTTACTTTCTTGACCTTCCTGAAGCCAAGCACTTTTACAGCAATTTGACTCAGGGACCCACTCCCATGGCCACATATGGCTCTTTACATATACTTGGAAATGCCTGTCCTTGGACATGTAAAAACAACAAAAGTACATTTCTCACTCCTGCCATATTCCACCCATCTTGTTCCTCTCCCATTCTGTCAGTTCTGCTGCCACGTTGCAACCTCTCGTTCACTGAGCCTCTCACTATTTCCCCACCCAGAGAAACACACAGGGGTCCCATGACCAATGGGGCATCAGCTCTCTTTCTTATTTGCCCCTTAACTGAAGTCATGCTGCCAATCCCTATCCCTGGATGACTGCAATCACCGGCTTCTCCTCCCTGCTGTCAGGCCACTCAGCTCAGTGCCCAGGGGAAACTGTATCAATCCACGAGCGGGATTTTCAGTCTCTTCCTTAATGTCTTTGACAGATGTATTGTCCTCTCAACAACATAACAAGACACCAGTACTTACCTATTTCTACGTGTGTTGAAAGGCCACACGGTGAACCTCTATGGCAGAGAGAACCCAACATGATCAGCAGGCCAGGCCACAACCTGAAAGCAGACATGATCTCATTGCCCACCGGCTTCTCTGGTGACGTGGGAATGCTCAGAGCTGCAGCAGCACTGGGACTCCAAAATCCAGGTGCAGACCCACCGCTTCTCTCTAAGCAGGTCACTGACCGAGGAAACCAAGCCTCATTTCAAAATAATATCGTTTTCCAATGAAGTCAACTGTCCAACTACTGTTTAGCTTCACCAGAACAGCAAACAAACTCTGTGCTCCTGGGGGGTGGGGTTGGGAGGATAAACTGAAATCTGAAAAGCCTTAGGCCAGAAGCACTGCATCTTCTGACCGAGGTTTTTTCTGGATTTCATTTTAACATGAAATTTGTGTAGAGATGCAAGCAAAGTTGTCTCCAGATATTTTTTGCTTTCTATAAAAAGGCTCACCTGTGCAGATAGTCAACATATTAGACCACCTCACCTTACAAGGGTGGATCTCTCATGCATCCTTTCTACACATTTATCAGGCTGTCCTGCTTCCTCCGCCTCCCAAGCCACAAGTGCTGGGAAAGTTTTATGGTAATCAGCTGGAACTGGCTTCCTTTTCAGTATTTGGCAACAGATACTGACACTTGTATGGGATTACACAAGAGCAGCCACTCCTGGTCTCTCTACCTCTGGCTGTTCTAATAGGGCTTATCCAGAGCCTGTTGCAAGGTCAGATTCCTGCAGCTGAAGCAAAGATGTCAATTCCACTTGGGAGGTGGAAGGAAGGGGGCAGATTTAGGGCCAAGAAACAGGGTTTGGAAAATGTTAAGCTCACGATATATTATCAGGTACCCACTTACACTTCATCCATGGGAAAAATTAAGCTCTTCATGAAACTGATGGTAATCTTAAAACACAAATTATGCATATTTTACATTAAAAGCAAGAGATGGGCTCCTAAAAGAGTGGGAGGAAATAGTATTCACTTCAGGTTTGCCAAATGAAAGGATGAATAGAAAGTGGGATGATTTGGCTGGGCGTGGCGGCCCACACCTGTAATCCCAGCACTCTGGGAGGCTGAGGCTGGTGGATCACCTGAGGTCAGGAGTTTGAGACCAGCGTGATCAACATAGTGAAGACCCCGTCTCTACTAAAAATACAAAAATTAGCCAGGTGTGGTGGCACGTGACTGTAGTCCCAGCTACTGGGGAGGCTGAGGTGGGAGGATCTCTTGAACCCAGGAGGTGGAGATTGCGGTGAGCCGAGATTGCACCACTGCACTCTAGCCTGGGTGACAGAGCAAGACCCTGTCTCAAAAAAAAAAAAAGAAAAGAAAAAAAGAAAGTGGAATGATTTGACAACAGTTGTCGCCCCAACAGTTTCCCCTGTAAGCTTAACACAGCCATGTGCACAGCCCCAAGGAAAGAAATCCCGCAGCTACCCCCAGACCTGAGGGGCAGTAGGCCCAGCTACTCCTGATTAGTCCAGAGGCCATATGCCTACGTGTTTTGTTTGGCTAACAGGATGTTTTATAAACTTAAATCAAGTTTATGAACTTTTTCTAAATGAGAAAATTCACGTAGAAATCTAGATTTCTGGCTCTCTTAAAAACAAAAGAACTGGCATCATGAACTGACGCTCCCATGTGACACGACAACCAGCTGCAGCCAAAGAGCCAGCTGCCCCCTGATAGAGCATGTCCTGCTCCTCCAGTCCCCACCATCCATGCAATGTGTGCAGGTTTCCACACCCCTTCTGGCCACCAGAGGCCTTTGAGTTTGCCTCCCTGTCACTCTGGGCCTTCTACAGACTGTGCGTGAGGGAGTCACAATTATTAATTGGGACTTTGGATATTGTCTCTCAGAACATCCAAGAGCAGTCAATCAATGGTTACAGGGGAAAAAAATACTGCTAGAAAAGATATCTAACCATATATAATACAACAAACCCATCCAAAAAGCACCAAAGAAATGGGTTCAGAACAGGTGTGGTGGCTCACGCCTATAATCCCAGCACTTTAGGAGGCCAAGGCGGGCAGATGGCTTGAGGCCAGGAGTTCAAAACCAGCCTGTGCAACATGGCAAAATCCCGTCTCTACCAAGAAAAAAACAAAAACAAAAATTAGCCGGGCATGGTGGCATGCACTTATGGTCCAAGCTACTCAGGAGGCTGAGGCGGGAACATCGCCTGTACCTGGGAAGTGAAGGTTGCAGTGAGCTGAGATCACACCACTGCACTCCAGCCTGGGCAAGACCCCACCTCAAAAAAAAAAAAGGAATGGGTTCAGTTACCAAACAATACTAATCCCAAATGTCTCAATTTCTCATTATGCATTTTTTTGTATTTGAGATTCAGAATGACATAAACGTATAAATGTAATAAAATAAGAGGAAATTATTTGCTTAGTGTGATAGTTATGAATATGGTCTTTATATGACAATATTGCTTGCAGTTTTATGAAGTTTGTATTACTTTGGTAACAATAAAAACATCAAAGATATGACTTTAAAGAAAGTTAAAACGTAGCTCACAATATTACTATCTGACAAATAATAAGCATATGGAAATATTTTTCTTTCTGCCCCACACCCCCCTTTCCTAATATAGGTGGCTTTGTTATAAACAAGACAGCATGATTCTACCATTTAGAACTCTTCTGGAAATAGAGACCCAAGGTGAAAAGTAAACATACAGTTACATTAAGGAGTGAGTAGGGAGAATACAGGTTTGAAAGCCAGAGGGTCTCAAGCTTTATGTGGGCCAGTCTAGAAAATGGGGGAGAAGAGGCTGGGCACAGTGTCTCATGCCTGTAATCCCAGCACTTTGGGAGGCCGAGGTGGGCAGATCACCTGAGGTCAGGAGTTCAAGACCAGCCTGGCCAACATGGTGAAACCCCATCTCTACTAAACAATACAAAAATTAGCCAGGCATGGTGGCGCGCACCTGTACTCCCAGCTACTCTGGAGGCTGAGGCAGGAGAATCACTTGAACCCAGGAGGCAGACGTTGCAATGAGCTGAGATCGTGCCATTGCACTCCAGCCTGGGCGACAGAGTAAGACCCTGACTCAAAAAAAAAAAAAAAAAAAAAAGTGAAAGAAAAAAAAGAAAAAGAAAATGGGGGAGAGGATGAATAAGGGTGGGAACTGGGGAGTGGAGGTTCCCAGGACAAGGGCAGCCAAAGGAGAAAGGAGGGAAGAGGTCCCTCTCACCTGATGGTCTTGTCCTTGTAGGCCCTGGTAAGGACAGACACCCAGCCAGGCGCTAGGGGGCATCAGGACAGGCTGGAAGTAAGACAGGAGCCAGGAGGAAATTGTTTACACTCTGAATGGGGGCTTGAAGAGGGGCACAAAACTGAGGGAAAAGGGGAGGGCCACATTGTGAACTTTCTAAGCTCCAGGCGCTTTTGCCTTTGTGAAGTACTTCCTGTCACAAAAATAAGTAAACAATAAATAGAAATCACATTTTACATCTGCATTGGTGTAAGATTAACATATTAATATGCCACCTAAAACTTCTTTTCTTCAGATTTTAGAATAAATTAAACATTTGTGAGTGCTCCTAAAAGTTTTATGGGCCCTTGGCATCGTACCTACTGTGCGTAATGGATAAGTCATCTGGGAAAGGGAGTGGGTACCGTTTGAAATAGAACCTTAAAAAGGTAAGTGGGCTAGGGTAATTTTTGAACAAGAGAGGCAGCCACAATTAACTTGGCTTTTCTGGGCCTCAGTTGATTGAGGCCTCAATTGAATGATTTCCCCAGGCCAGTAGAAATGAGCCCTGTAATCCCAGCACTTTGGGAGGCCAAGGAGGGCGGATAACTTGAGGTCAGGCATTCAAGACCAGCCTGGCCAACACGGTGAAAACCTGTCTCTACTAAAAATACAAAAATTAGCTGGGCTTGGTGGCACACACCTGTAGCCCCATCTACTCGGGAGGCTGAGGCAGGAGAATCGCTTGAACCCGGGAGGCGGAAGTTGCAGGGAGCTGAAATCGCACCACTGCACTCCACCCTGGGTGACAGAATGAGTCTGTCGGTCTCACAAGAACAAAACAAACAAAAAACAAAAACCACCACCAAAAACAAAACAAAACAAAAACAAAAACTCCCTCCGCAGGCAGGAGATGTAAACACGCCAGCTCCCCAGCCCCACCTGTGATACCTACTGGCCCACATCCCTATTAGGACTCCCTGGTTCTCCCCAGTTCCTGCAATAAAATACAGAGCAAAATAGTGTGAAATTGATTAAACTCTACTGTTATCACTTCTGCCATATGTGACTGGCTCAAAACTCAATGGATCTGACTCAGCAAAAGACAAAGTCAAAATTTAAAGTTACTGCCTCGGCATTTTGCAAATGTCCTAGAAAAAAATTCAACGTCCTAGAAAAAGGTGAAAGCTAGCAAGATACTCTCAACGCTGTAGGAGTTGAGAAAGGGAGATATGTAACCTAAAATCAATGCATAGGGCTGGGCTTCATTTGCACCCACAAATTCCCAGCATACGCCTGCTATTTTTATTTTTATCCTCATTAGGTTTTAAGCTTCCCTGCTGCTTTCAGAGTCTTAAGCCCAAGTCTAATTTTTTAACGGATGAAGAATGCTGTTTAAAGGTGCTCAAATACCTTGGTTGGATAGTATGCTCAATCCTTATACCTTGGTTGATTCAATTTTGACAAATGCTTCCATTTACTAGTTGGTGACCCAACTTTAATCTTACTAGTGGCTTGACTAGGGTAGCTAGTATGACTTTGAACGCTATATTGAATTTAATGTGGCAACTGTAATGAGCATTTTACGTTATCTCACAACAAAATGGGGTAGATATGGTTCTATTTTATAAGTGACTGGACTAAGGTTAACCTGTCGGTCACACAGCTTGTCGGCAACAGACTTGAGTTTGGATCCTAGTCTGTTTATTTCCAAAGCGCTGTTATTTATCGGGAGCAACCCTAGGAGAATGCCTAGACACACACCCAAAAAAGCAGCCAGGCAGCAGAACGCGGGGTCACACTTCGACCCCTCAGAGAACGATCGCTCCCAATCAATACTACGTGCTCAGGAGCTACAACTGAAGAAGCGTGATCACGGCCTTGGCATTTAGGGCAGGCACCAGCGCATCTATGGACCGCGCACAAATTCCGGGGATGCCGAATTTGGGGGATGCTAAGGGGAGAGAGTGGGTCTCTAGCAGCGATTGGGGGCTCAGGAGCAGTTAGTGACAAATGAGCACCCGAAAAGTGAAAAGGTGACAGCAGTCCGCAGGTGCATCTACTGGCGAGCCTTCTCCATCCCCGAACCCAACCCTCCCCCGGGAGAAGGTCGCGCCAGGAGAGAAGCCGCGCGGCGCTTAGGGCAAGGTGCAGAGGGCGGCGCGGCGGTGCAGCGAGAAAGACGCGGAGAGAGGGCGCTGCTCTGTGGCTCTGCAACCTTCCGCCAGCTCCCACGCTTTCCCCGCGCGTCCCCGGCGCCTCCTCGCTCCTCTTGCTTCCCCGCGACCCCTGCGTTCCCGTGCGCGCGCGCCCGCTTGCCTGTTTCCTGTCGCCGTCGTTGCCCGGGCCATGGCGACCTGCATTTGGCTGCGGAGCTGTGGGGCCCGGCGCCTCGGGTCGACGTTTCCAGGCTGCCGCCTCCGCCCCCGCGCCGGCGGCCTGGTCCCTGCCTCCGGGCCTGCGCCCGGCCCGGCCCAGCTCCGCTGCTACGCTGGGCGCCTGGCGGGCCTCTCTGCGGCGCTGCTGCGCACCGACAGCTTCGTGGGCGGCCGCTGGCTCCCGGCCGCCGCCACCTTCCCCGTGCAAGACCCGGCCAGCGGCGCCGCTCTGGGCATGGTAGCCGACTGCGGGGTGCGAGAGGCCCGCGCCGCCGTGCGCGCTGCCTACGAGGCTTTCTGCCGCTGGAGGGAGGTCTCCGCCAAGGTGAGAGAGCCCGGATGCAGGGGGCCAGAGCTGGCCGGGGACACGGCGGGGAGCAGAGGGGGCTTTACCCCAAAGTGACACCAGCCGCGTCGCCTCCCTCCTGTGCTCAGTTCCCCAGGGTATACAAAGTGGAAAGTCAGAGCAACAAGGGAGACGACCGACAAATAAGTTTGGAGCTTCCACTTTGAGCCGGGCACTAGGGACACGACCCCTGCCCTCAAGCCTCATCAAGTTATGCACTGCCCAGTAGGGGAGGCAGAACGTGAGCGCCTAATACAAGCGAGCTGCTTGTTATGGTCAACAAGCCTAACCGTGGAGGGGCGGGGAGAAAGGGGAGGGGTGTCAGGGAAGTGAGAGCACGTGTGGCCCTTCAGAGTAGCTGAAATATCTCCGCAGCTGCAGGGAGCCCACGCAGGAGGCTGCTTCAGCGGCCCTTGAGAAGGCTGGTAGTGAGGGCCCCTGGCCAGAATCATGGGATCGGAAACGGAGAGAACTGTAGAAAGATTTGGGTTTTGTGCAGGGGAAGAGAGAAATCCAGGAGCGTTCTCCAGGTTTTCACCCTAAATGGATAAATGCTGCTATTGGCCATTGCATAGAGAACACTGGAGAATTGGGAGTAAGGGGTGGAGGGCCATTAAATGGGAAGAATAGAGTAAGAAGAAAACTAAGAAAGTAGTTTCTTCCTTCTAATATTATATTATTAAACCTGGAGTCAACGCAGTGAAATTTTTTACCGTGTCCTTCAAAGCTCTCCCTCTGAAGGAATGCATCCAGCGATCCCTACGAGTACAAGAGAGTCTTAGCACTCATTCATCCATCAGCTGTTTACTGAGCACCTGCTGTATGCCCTGCACTGTTGGAGGTGCTTGGGATACCTCAGTTAAACGAAAGAAGGATTCTGCCCTTATGGAGCTCACATGGGGTGGAAGGGGAGCAGAAGAGAGATCAGAACTCTAAACAACAAACATAATATCTAAGCAAATAAGTATGTGAGAGATGCTGAGTGCAATATGGAAAAAAGGTAGAAGCAGGAGAGGATCCGGGCCAGAGGGAAGGGGCAAGATGCAGCATCAACAGTGTGACCAGGCATATTCCTCTGCTAGGGCTGCCATAGCAAAGTACCACAGACTGGGTGGCCTGAACAACAGACATTTCTCATTTTACCGCTCTGGAGGGTAGAAATCCCAGATCGAGGTGTTGTCAGAGTTGGTTTCTTCTAAGGCCTCTCATTGGCTTGCAGAGAGCTCAGCTTTTGTCTTTGTATCTCATCAGACCTCAATTTTAGACTCATGGAGTCTGAGATGTCTGTTCACGCCCAAGTGAGGATGTAAAGTAAGCAGTTGGTTATATGAATGAATCTTCCCTGTGTGTCTCCACATGGTCTTTCCTCTGTGTGTATATGTGTCCTAATCTCTTCTTCTTTTAAAAACAGGAGTCAGATTGGATTGGGGCCCACCAGAATGACCTCATCATAACTTAATTCCCTTTTTAAAGACCCTATTTCCAAATGCACTCACATTCTGAGATACTGGGGGGTTAGGACTTCGACATGTCAATTTTGCCAGGAGCACCATTCAGCCCGTAACATCAGGGTAGGTCTCATTGAGGACATGAGATACAAAGACCAAAGGAGGTAAGTGTGTCCGGAGTTGGTTCCTGCCGGTAGGTTTGTGGCCTCGCTGACTTCAAAAATGGAGCCGCGGACCTTTGCAGTGAGTGTTACAGCTCTTAAAGATGGCATGGACCCAAAGAATGAGTGGTAGCAACATTTATTGTGAAGAGCAAAAGAAGAAAGCTTCCACAGCGCGGAAGGGGACCCGAGTGGGTTGTCGCTGCTGGGTGGGTGGGGCGTGGTGGCCAGCTTTTTATTCCCTTATTTATCCCTTCCAGTGTTCCGTTTCTGTCCCATCAGAATGCCTTTTTTTCAATCCTCCCTGCGATTGGCTACTTTTAGGATCCTGCTGATTGGTGCGTTTTACAGAGCGCTGATTGGTGCATTTTACAGAGCGTTGATTGGTGTATTTTACAATCCTCTTGCTAGCTACAGAGCGCTGATTGGTGTGTTTTTTACAGAGCACTGATTGGTGCATTTTACAATCTCCTTGGTAGCTCCAGATCGCTGATTGGTGCATTTTACAATCCTCTTGCTAGCTACAGGGTGCTGATTGGTGTGTTTTACAGGGCGCTGGTTGGTGCATTTTACAATCCTCTTGTAAGACAGAAAAGTTCTCCAAGTCCCCACTCGACCCAGGAAGTCCAGCTGGCTTCACCTCTCATAAGGACATTCAGCTAGAGCCAAAGTAGAAGCATGGCTGACACATTTGCAGAACAGCAAGGAGGCCCGTGTGGACTGAGCAAAGGGGAAGAGTTGTATCAGAGGAGGTCATAGGGAGAAGGGGAAGAGTGGGTGGAACATGTAGGACCTGTGAGTTATTCTAAGGACTTGGTTTTTACTTTGAGTAAAGAGGGGGCTGTGTCAGGGTTTTAAGCAGAGATATGATCTGATTTACATTTTGAAAGGCCACTCTAACCACAGTGCTGAGAATAGATGAAGAGTGGTGGAAGCAGAGAGACAGGTTAGGAGGTTGTTGCACGGATTTAGGTGGGAGGCCACGGTGGCTTGAACCAGGGTGGTAGCAGTGGACAAGGTGAAGAGTTATCCCATAAAGGATGTATTTTGAAGGTAGAGCCCACTGGATTTTCTGATGGATCATTATATAGAAAGTAGGTGAAGGAGAGGGGTTAGTGATGACTCCAGGGCTTTTGGCCTGAGCAATTGGAAGGATGAGGATAGCTGAATTGAACAGCATTAGGGTGAGATATCAAGAGTTCAGTTTTAGACTTATTGAGTTTGAGATGTCGGTTCACACCCAAGAGAGGATGTAAAGTAAGCAGTTGGGTGTATGAGTCTGAGGTTTGAGAGCGAACCCTAGGCTAGAAATATAAATGTGAAATTCATACCTGTGTGTACTGCATACATACTTACAGCTATGGAAATGGTGAGATCACAGGAAAGGAGTGGACCAGGGCCTGAGCCCTGGTTCCCCTAGCATCATTCTGGAGTCCCACAAGGCCCCACGAAGATCAAGGCTGCCATACAATGGTGTTACACTGCAGGGGTCTGGAAAGCCTTCTAGTCTGTCAGTGATTGTTTGGCAGCTGCAGGGCGGGTGTTGGGACCTCTTGCTGACACTAGCAGCATTATCCTGTGTTCAGATCACACCGCCCATCCTAATGTCTGTGCCCCTTGAACATTACAGTGATGTCAGCTTCCATCTTACAAGGGCTAGGATCTTCTCAGGGAACCTTCCTTTTTGAAAGGAGGGGTTCAGGCTGGGCACGGTGGCTAACGCCTGTAATCCCAGCACTTTGGGAGGCCAAGGCGAGTGGATCACCTGAGGTCAGGAGTTCGAGACCAGCCTGTCCAACATGGTGAAACACTGTCTCTACTAAAAATACAAAAATTGGCCAGACACGGTGGCTCACACTTGTAATCCCAGCACTTTGGGAGGCTAAGGCAGGTGGATCACTTGAGGTCAGGAGTTCAAGTCCAGCCTGGCCAACATGGCGAAACCCCATCTCTACTAAAAAATACAAAAATCAGCTGGGCGTGGTGGTGGGCGCCTGTAATCCCAGCTACTCAGGAGGCTGAGCCAAGGAGAATTGCTTGAACCTGGGAGGCGGAGGTTGCAGTGAGCCGAGATCATGCCAACTGCACTCCAGCCTGGTGGACAGAGCAAGACTCTGTCTCAAAAAAAAAAAAAAAAAAGAAAAAATACAAAAATTAGCCAGGCATTGTGGCATGCACCTGTATGTAATCCCAGCTACTCAAGAGGCTGAGGCATGAGAATTGCTTGAGCCCAGGAGGCGGAGGTTGGTTGCAGTGAGCCGAGATGGCGCCACTGTACTCCAGCCTGGGTGACAGAGCGAGACTGTCTCAAAAAACAAAAATGAAGGTTTTTCTTGGCTTTGAATACACCTGTGCAGATGTGGGAAGCTACAGCCTGAGCAGCGCTCTCTTTAGAGTGCCTTGATGGCAGCCCAGGTGGCCTAGATTCTCTAGGCCTTCCTCATTTTCTTTTTTTAAGTGGTTTTATGTGAATGAATTAATTTTTTTTTTAATAAGCCATTTCTTCCTTTTTTCTTTTCTTTTTTTTCTGAGACAGGGTCTTGCTCCATTGCCTAGGCTGGAGTACAGTGATGCTATCATTGGCTCACTGCAGCCTCAAACTCATAGGCCTAAGCGATTCCCCCACCTCAGCCTTCTGAGTAGCTGGGACCACAAGCATGCACCACCACACCCAGATAATTTCTTTTCTTTTTTTTTTTTTTTTGAGACGGAGTCTCGCTCTGTCACCCGGGCTGGAGTGCAGTGGCGCAGTCTCGGCTCAACTGCAACCTCCGCCTCCTAGGTTCTCCTGCCTCAGCCTCCCGAGTAGCTGGGACTACAGGCGCCTGCCACCATGCCCGGGTAATTTTTTTGTATTTTTAGTAGAGACGGGGTTTCACCGTGTTAGCCAGGATGGTCTGGATCTCATGACCTCATGATCCGCCCGCCTCGGCCTCCCGAAGTGCTGGGATTACAGGCACGAGCCACTGCGCCCAGCCCCACACTCAGATAATTTCTGTGTGTGTGTGTGTAGAGACAGATCTCACCGCATTGCCCAAGCTGGTGTTGAACTCCTGGCCACAAGCAACCCTCCCTCCTTGGCCTTCCAAAGTGTTGTGATTACGGGCATGAGCCGCCACACCTGGTCCCATAATATTGTTAATAATCCAATGTATCCCTTTATCTGTTTTTTGTTCATTGGAATTTTTTAAATTATGGCAAAATATGCATAACATAACATTTACCATTTTAACCATTTTTAAGTGTACATTTCAGTGGTATTAAGTGCATTCATGTTGTTGTGCCTGGGCCCTCTTCTTAAGTGTGTAAAACCCTTTCTTATGCCTCATGCATGCCCCAGTCCATATGTCAGTCTCTGGGACAAATCCAGGTTGCCAGTGAGCCACTATAATAGGGAACAATACTTGAAGACACTATGCTGAGTGAAATAAGCCAGTCACAAAAGGGCAAATGCTGTATGATTCTACTTAATATGAGGTACCTAGAGTTGTCAGATTCATAGAGACAGAAAGTAGAATGGTCCAGGCATGGTGGCTCATGATTGTAATCTCAGCACTTTGGGAGGCCAAGGCAGGAGGATCGCTTAAAGCCAGGAGTCTGAGGTTGCAGTGAGCTATGATTGCGCCACTGCACTCCAGCCTGGGCATCAGATCAAGACCGTATCTAAAATAATAATAATAATAATAATAATAATAATAATAACGTAGGGAACTATATACCTTTGTATGGTAAAATTAAAGTTGTTCTTATTTACCATAAGCAATAATAGCTGTTTCCACAAAACTTATTTTATCTTTTATAATTTATGACGCAGTATACCTCTTTAGATGCAACTTGAAATTGGATCTCTATTACTCATCAAAGAAGGGTCAGTTAGCATGAGCAATATAGTGAGACCTTGTCTGTACAAAAAAAATTTTTTTTTAATTAGCTGAGCATGATCATCCTGTAGATCCTGTTAGCATGAAAAGTCTGTATGGCATGACAACAACGACTTTAAGGGGAAGATAAGATTTCTTTCTACTTCTAAGTGATGCTGTGATACCTTAAGCACTAAGGCAGAGCTAGTAATGCTTTTTTAGTTTCACAGATCAAAGTAATCTTATTTTAACAGATCAAGGTAAAATGCTTATTTTAACAGATCAAGGTAATCGTTGTAAGATGTATATAACATGATGTTAACTTGGTAGTCTAAGTGTTTAGCTATCAAGCCGGATTCCTTAGTAGACCAAATCTTGTTATCGAAGTGTTCTTGAGCTATACCCTTGATGTTTAGAAAAAAAGTATTTGTTACCTCTTGTAGGGTCTGCTTTTTGAACTTTTCTTCCCCTGTAGTTGCCAATTCTGCATGTACTAGTCCTCTAGAAATAGGTTAAACTGAATCAACTTGATGGAAGGAACTCTCCACAGGGCTTGTTTTCCAAAGAAAAGTATAGTTTGGAGAAGCAAAGTTACAAGCCTACCTAAGCATATCATAAAGCTGTTCAGAAATAACTCAGAGCCAGTCTCGTGGATGGAAATGTAGTGCCTGAGTCACATTCTGCTTAAAGTTGTAACAGACACAGAGGAGTTAAAAAAATAGCTGAGCGTGATGATGTGTGCCTGTGGTCCCAGCTACTCAGTAGTAGGCTGAGCTGGGGGGATCACTTGAACCAAGGAAGCAGAGGTTGCAGTGAGGTATGATCACACCACTGCACTTCAGCCTGGGTGACAGAACAAAACCCTGTCTCTTTTTTAAAATTTTTTTAAATTTTTGATTTTTTTTATTTGTGTGCTTTTCATTGTCCAAACCCAGACCCTGTCTCAAAAACAAACAATCAAAAAACACAGAAGTTCAATGTATGTTTCCCCAAGCATCTTACTCAGGGTTGTCCAGAAAAATAGAACCAATGTTTTATATATATATATATATATATGTGTGTGTGTGTGTGTGGGTGTATATATATATGTGTGTGTGTGTATATATATATGTGTATGTGTGTATATATATAATCATAGATATGTAGGAATATAGGAAGAGACTTCTTATAAAGGACTGGCTCATGTGACTGTGGATGCTAAGAAGTCCCACCCTCTGCTGTCTGCAAGCTGGAGACCTAAGAAAGCTGATATGTCCAGTCTGAGTTCCAGACTGGGTCCAAAGTCCTGAGTACCAGGAATGACAATGTCTGGTGTCTGACAACAGGAGGAAATGGATGTCCTAGCTCATGCAGAGAGTGAATTTGCTCTTCCTCTGCCACTTTGTTCTTTTCAGGTTCTCAGCAGATTGGATGATACCCACCTGAATTTTTGAAGGCAAATCTTCTTTATTCAGTCTACTGATTCAAATGCTAATCTCTTCCGAAAACACTCACGGACATACCCAGAAATGATGTTTTACCAGCTATCTGGGTCTCCCAGTCAAATTTACACATAAAATTAACCATTACAACCAAGGAGAATGAGACCATACAGCTAATATTTTAGGATATTGAATTTTATTTAGCATTCTGTCTTACACTTGGCATTTTATTACTTTTCTGCCTTGTTATTTCTTTTGCAGGAGAGGAGTTCATTACTTCGGAAGTGGTACAATTTAATGATACAAAATAAGGATGACCTTGCCAGAATAATCACAGCTGAAAGTGTAAGTTCAGGGTTCTGGCTTGGTGCACTGAGAAATTCTCCAGGAATTTTTACACTAAACTTGGGAAAGCCGCTGACTTCCCTTCACTGCTGGCTGTAGCTGAAGAATATGTGATTCCTTCTCTACTGATCAAATACCAAATCATTATTGTGCCAGGGTACTTAGATTTGCTAAAATAATATTTGTATGTTCTAGTTTATTCTTTAATAGTATCCAAAAATAGATTTTGTTTGCAACTATATGAATAACTGCTGTTTCACCATTCTGATTTTTTTCCATGTTACTGTTTTGGTTGTTTTTTTTTTTAAACTTGTTTTTGTACATTTTTTAATGTACCAATACTTCTTCCATAGATATAATAAATTATTTCATATCGTGGTTACAATACTTAGAAGATATTGAAAGGAGGAAAAAATTAGATGTTTCCTAATTTGTAAACATATTGAGAATGCAATGACTTGTGGTTTAGGGTGATACATTCATCATTGTAATTCTGCTTTTTAAAACTCACACCAAAGTCAGAAATTTTCCCCACTCTATGGGTATCGTTATAGGAGACTTTTCTACTCTTGTTGCATCTTGAAGAATTTAGGAACACAGAGCCATGCTTTTATTATTAGAAGGTAATACGTGGGTTCTTTTCTGATTTAATTTAGGGAAAGCCACTGAAGGAGGCACATGGAGAAATTCTCTATTCCGCCTTTTTCCTAGAGTGGTTCTCTGAGGAAGCCCGCCGTGTTTACGGAGACATTATCCACACCCCGGCAAAGGACAGGCGGGCCCTGGTCCTCAAGCAGCCCATAGGCGTGGCTGCAGTCATCACCCCGGTAGGTGACAGGATCAGCAAGATCCTAGGGTGGGAGATTGGATAGGGAGTTGGGAAACAATTCATTCTTCCTCGTGAGCAGGTGTGCTCATCCTGTTAGTTTTGTCACCTGTTCCTGGTTTCCTGATGCTTTTGCTGGATGTGGAAGTGTGTTTCCTAGTCCTCTGTGATGATGTTAGGTGTGGTGGCAGTGAGTGGAATGATGCATTTCTAATGCCTGCAAAAGTGGGATGAGCCGCAGGAGGACCCAGGGGCTCTTCTGACTTGGCATGGAGGCTTCTTCCTGGCATTGCCTAGCACCTCTGAAAAGATCTTCCAGTATTTATCATTTTTAAAAAGACTTAAGATATGATACATTTTTAAACTTGCCATAGTTTGGAAAAAAGTGTTATGCTTAATTGATGGTTATCATCAATAACAAAGCATTTGTGGACCCACTAGCAGGCACTGGGCCAGGTTCTAGAGGTAAAAAGGCTAAGAAATAAGGTATCACATCTGCCTGGATGGGGCTGCAGTATATTTGTGGAACGCCCAGCTTTCCTTCTGGGTCCTGCCTTCTACTAGGTCCCATATTAACCTCTCTCCTGTATCTGTCAGCTGGTCTCGAGACGTCTGTGTTTTTCCTGCTCAGCATAGTTACAGACAGAATCCCCCTGATTGCCTAGACTGGCTAGGTTTGACTTGAAGGTCACTATTTACTAAATGTGCAACCTTGGCCAAATTACTTAACTGCACTGTCTCCGTTTTCTTGAACTTGCAAATGAGGTTAATATCAACCTCATTGGGTTGTGATAAGGATTTAATTAATTTTAATTTTGAAGTACTTAGAAAAATACCTGATACAGAGTAAGTACTATATAATAGAGTTTTTCAAAATAAAATAAAATACTGTTATTATAGGTATATGTATAGGCATTTATAAATATGTATGTGGAAGGAATAATAAATCATCTGCCATTTTCAAAACCATTGCTAATACTTACTCCCATGGGCCTCAGGCCAAATCCAGCCCACTGCCTATGTTTGTAAATAAAGTTTTATTGGGACACAGCCACACCCATTCATACACCTACTATCTGTGGCTGTTTTCACAATACAGCTGCAGAGTTGAGTAATTGCCATAGAAACCATACATTCTACAAAGCCTAAAAAATTTACGATCTGGCCCTTCACAGAAAAAGTTGGCTGACCCCTGGTCTAACTAATTTTTTACTGTGTTAAATTCTAAAAATATTTCCTGTCTTCAAGAGCCTTTATCTCAGAGTCCCTCAAGTTGGCGGGGGGGTCAGGTGTTCTGAGAGCTCACCTGTGCAGCCAAACGGGTTTGTCAATCAGTTGTGCAATGAAATTTGTTCACTGACTTCCCAACATGCCTTCCTTTGCACTAAGGAGGTGGTCCTTCCTCTCACATACTTCCTCTGCTCTTCTAACCCCAGTGGAATTTCCCCAGTGCCATGATCACCCGGAAGGTGGGGGCCGCCCTGGCAGCCGGCTGTACTGTCGTGGTGAAGCCTGCCGAAGACACGCCCTTCTCCGCCCTGGCCCTGGCTGAGGTGAGCCGCTCTCCCTGTGTTTGTACAAAGCAGACAAAGTTCAAAAATTGATGTTTATCTGGGACAGAAAGAAGCAATTTTGGAGCCTACTTCTTTGCTTACGCCTCCTGATGCATGGTGTTGTGTATTAATCTACTGGTGATTACTTTAAGTCAGCTGTAGCTCTTTTGGGAAAAAAATGGATGAGGGATCTTCTGACATCTGCAGGCCATATGTTTTCAGCCTACTGTAAAATGGTATCTATCCATCATCTTCATAAACTAGGCACTTAAACATGGGTGTTTCTCACATTTAGGAAACTTCTTATTTCCCATTCCCATTCCCAGTTCAATCTGCATTCCATTAGATCTTATTCTTTTGTTTGAAAACCTCAAGTGGCCTCTTGTGTCACTCACTCAGAGTAAAGTCCAGATTCCTTAGTGGCTTTCAAGGTCCTATGTCACTTCCCACCCCCCCAGTATGTCTCTGACTTCGTCCATCACACTGGAACCCCTCACTCTTCATTCATCTGCTTGGACCACTCTGGCCCCTGCCGCTTTCCAGACCCCGCCAGCCTTGCCCTCCACTCAAACTTTATACTTTCCCTCTGTCTGGAGCAGTCTCCCCCAGATACCCCTATAACTTGCTTCTTCACGTCTTCACTCAAATTCCTCTCTCCCAGGGAGGCCTTCCATGGCCACCCTGTCTAAAAATCACAATTTGGCTGGGCGTGGTGGCTCACACTTGTAATCTCAGAACTATGGGAGGCCAAGGTGGGCAAATCACTTGAGGTCAGGAGTTCGAGACCAGCCTGACCAACATGCTGAAACCCTGTCTCTACTAAAAATACAAAATTAGCTGGGCGTGGTGGCATGTGCATGTAATCCCAGCTACTCAAGAGGCTGAGGCAGGAGAATCGCTTGAACCCTGGGGGCGGAGATTGCAGTGAGCCGAGATGGTGTCACTGAACTCCAGCCTGGGCAACAGAGTGAGACTCAGTCTCAAAAAAAAAAATCACAACCTCACACTCTGATCCTCCTGATCCCCTCCTCTGCTTTGCTTTTTCCCCCAGAACACCTAAAACTACCTACCCTATCACTATTTGTAGGCCTTTTCAGTGGGCAGGGCTAGGAGATATACATATATGTGTACACATGTGTACACACACAATAAAATGCTGCAGAAATTCCTATAGAAACTTCGAATTCAAATTCAGTCCTATAGAGTTTTTACTTAATTTATTTTATATTATATCTGCACCTCCTTCTTTCCTGGTTCCTTTTTTTTTTTTTTTTTTTTTTTTTTTTTTGAGACAGTCTCGCTCTGTCACCCAGGCTGGAGTGCAGGGTCGCAATCTTGGCTCACTGCAACCTCTGCCTCCCAGGTTCAAGCAATTTTCTGCCTCAGCCTCCCGAGTAGCTGGGATTACAGATGCCCGTCACCACACCCAGCTAATTTTTGTATTTTTTGGAGAGACTGGGTTTCACCATCTTGGCCAGACTGGTCTTGAACTCCTGACCTCGTGATCCACCCGCCTCGGCCTCCCAAAGTGCTGGGATTACAGGCATGAGCCACCACGCTCGGCCTCTTTCCTGGTTTCTAAAGACTCAGGAAATGACTGAATTAATATTCTGTATGTACTCATTATACAGAACAACAGCTTCTGAATATCAATTTTATTTGTTTTAAATATTAATTTTAATATCACCAATGTGCCTATTGAAAATGGTTTACTTTTTTGGTATTTTCTCTTTCCATTCTCATTTTTAGTAATAAACTTTTATTTTAGAATAGTTTTACATTTACAGAAAAATTGCATAGATGGGCTATTTCCCACATACCCCACATTCAATTTCTCCTATTACTAGCAGCTTACATTAGTATATTTGTTACAATTAATGAATCAATAGTGATACGTTGTTATTAACTAAAGTCCATACTTTAAAATCCATTCTCAGATTTTATTAGTCTGTACCTAGTCTCCTTTTTCTGTTTCAGGATCTGGTCCAGGATATCCCATTACATTTAGTTGCCTTGTCTCCTTAATCCCTCTTGGCTATGAACATTTGTCTGTATTTTAAAATAGTTATACTGTATCTGTGTTGCCAAAACTACAACCATTACATGCTCTACTCTCTCCAGTTTAACCCTCCTTTAGACTTAGTTGAACAAGCAGTTGTATGTTTATGCTTACCACCAGTGCTTATGTTAATGTCTCTCTGGACATTTGGTGATCCGAACCTCAGTCTGTAGTAGATTCCTTAGGAATATTTTCCCTTCTTAAATGTTGACAGTAGTCTGGGCCTATCGTGCTTATAAATCAGTTTTGCTAGGTATAAAATCCTTGGCTCACATTTTTTTTTTTTTACTTGATTATCTTAAATGTATTCTCTATTTTCTTCTGATATAAAGCATTGCTCTTGAAAATTCAGATGGTAACCTAAGTTTCTTGCCCTTATAAGTCAACTTTTTTTTTTACCTAGATACACAAAAGTGTTTGGTTTGGTTTTTTTCCCCCTTTATCTTTAAAGACCAATAATGTCACTAGAATATGTCTTTGTGATGATTGCTTTGAGTCCATACTCTAGGTATGCAGTGTGCTCTTTCAGTATGTAGTTTCCAGACTTTTTGTTTTATATCTCTATAAAGTTTTCAGGATTTGTTCCTCACCATTGGTTTGGTTTTACTCCCTTAGGAACTCCTGATATCCATGAGTTGAATCTTTTTTGTCACTTTCTCTTGTATCTTTTTCATCTTTTCCCTAATTTTTAAAATTATCTTTTATTTCTGGGTGTAAAATGTCTGATTTTATTTTTATTTTTTAATTTTTATTTCCATAGGTTATTGGGGAACAGGTGGTATTTGGTTACATGATTAAGTTCTTTAGTGGTGATTTGTGAGATTTTGGTGCATCCATCACCTGAGCAGTATATACTGCACACAATTTGTAGTCTTTTATCCCTTGCCCCCTTCCTACCCTTTCTCCCTGAGTCCCCAAAGTCCACTGTGTCATTCTTATGCCTTTGCTTCCTCACAGCTTAGCTCCCACTTATGAGTGAGAACATATGATGTTTAGTTTTCCATTCCTGAGTTACTTAACTTAGAATAATACTCTCCAGGCCAGGCGCGGTGGCTCACGCCTGTAATCCCAGCACTTTGAGAGGCTGAGGCGGGCAGATCACAAGCTCAAGAGATTGAGACCATCCTGGCCAACATAGTGAAACCCCGTCTCTACTAAAAATACAAAAATTAGCTGGGCATGGTGGCACGCACCTGTAGTCCCTGCTACTTGGGAGGCTGAGGCAGGAGAATCACTTGGACTGAGAGGCAGAGGTTGCAGTGAGCCAAGATCATGCCACCGTACTCCAGCCAGGTGACAGAGCAAGACTCCATCTCCAAAAAAAAAAAAAAAAAAAAAAAAAAAGATTAATAGTCTCTAATCCTCTAATCTCATCCAGCCCACTGCAAATGCCATTAATTCATTCCTTTTTATGGCTGAGTAGTATTCCATCCTATGTATAAACCACATAGGATACAGTTTATCCACTTGTTGATTGATGGGCATTTGGGTTTGTTCCATGCTTTTGCAATTGTGAATTGTGCTGCTATAAACGTGCATGTGCAAGTATCTTTTCTGTATAATGACTTCTTTTCCTCTGGGTAGATACCCAGTAGTGGGGTTGCTGGATCAAATGGTAGTTCTACTTTTAGTTCTCTAAGGAATCTCCACACTGTTTTCCATAGTGGTTGTACTAGTTTACATTCCCACCAGCAATGTAGAAATGTTCCCTGTTCACCACATCCACACTGACATCTATTATTTTTTAATTTTTTTACTATGACCAACCTTGCAGGAGTAAGGTGGTATTGCATTGTGGTTTTGATTTGCATTTCCTTGATCATTAGTGATGTTGAGCATTTTTTCATATGTTTGTGGGCCATTTGTATATCTTCTTTTGAGAATTGTCTATTATGTTCTTAGCCCACTTTTTGATGGGAGTGTTTTCTTTGTTGTTAATTTGTTTGAGTTTGTTGTAGATTCTGGATATTAGTCCTTTGTCAGATGTATAGATTGTGAAGACTTTCTCCTGCTCTGTGGGTTGTCTGTTTACTCTGCTGACTGTTCCTTTTGCCATGCAAAAGCTCTTTAGTTTATTTAAGTCCCAGCTATTTATCTTTGTTTTAGTTGCATTTGCTTTTGGGTTCTTGGTCATGAAATCCTTGCCTAGGCCAATGGCTAGAAGGGTTTTTCCAATGTTATCTTCTAGAATTTTTATAGTTTCAGGTCTTAGATTTAAGTTCTTGATTCATCTTGAGTTTATTTTGTATAAGGTGAGCGATGAGGATCCAGTTTTATTTTCCCACATGTGGCTTGCCAATTATCCCAGCACCATTTGTTGAGGGAGGATTCCCTCTTTCTCTATCTTGTGGAATAGTGTCAATAGGATTGATACCAATTCTTCTTTGAATGTCTGGTAGAATTCTGCTGTGAATCTGTCTGGTCCTGAACTTTTTTTGGTTGGTAATTATTTTACTACCATTTCAGTCTGTTCGGGATATCTCGTTCTTCCTGATTTAAGCTAGGAGGGCTGTATATTTCCAGGAATTTATCCATCTCCTCTCGGTTTTCTAGTTTATGTGTGTAAAGGTGTTCAGAGTAGCCTTGAATGATCTTTTGTACTTCTGTGGTGTCAGTTGTAATATCTCCCATTTCATTTCTAATTGAGATTATTTGGATTTTCTCTCTTCTCTTCTAATGGTCTATCAATTTTATCTTTTCAAAGAACCAGCTTTTTGTATCATTTATATTTTGTATTTTTGTTTATTTCTATTTCATTTAGTTCTGCTCTGATCTTGGTTATTTCCTTTCTTCTGCTGGGTTTGGGTTTGGTTTGTTCTTGTTTCTCTAGTTCTTTGAGGTGGGACCTTAGATTATTTATTTATGCTCTTTCAGACTTTTTGATGTAAGCATTTAGGGCCATGAACTTGGCTCTTGGCACCACCTTTGCTGTATCCCAGAGGTTTTGATATGTTGTATCACTGTTGTCATTCAGTTCAAATAATTTTTTAATTTCCATCTTGATTCCATTTTTGACCTAATGATCATTCAGGAGCAAGTTATTTAATTTCTATGTATTTGCATGGTTTTGAAGGTTCCTTTTGGAGTTGATTTCCAGCTTTATTCCACTGTGGTCTGAGAGAGTGCTTGATATAATTTCAATTTTCTTAAATTTATTGAGGCTCATTTTGTGGCCTATCATATGGTCTATCTTGGAGAAAGTTCCATGCACTAATAAATAGAATGTATATTCTGCAGCTATTGGATAATGTTCTGTAAATATCTGCTAAGTCCATTTGTTCCAGGGTGTAGTTTAAATCTAGTGTTTCTTTGTTAACTTTCTGTCTTGATGACCTGTCTAGTGCTGTCAATGGAGTATTGAAATCCCCCATTATTATTGTGTTGCTGTCTATCTCATTTCTTAGGTCTAATAGTAATCATTTTAGAAATTTGGGAGCTCCAGTGTTACATGCATATATATTTAGGATTGTGATATTTTCCTGTTGAACGAGGCCTTTTATCAATATATAATGTCCCTCTCTGTCTTTTTTAACTGCTGTTGCTTTAAAGTTTGTTTTGTCTAATATAAGAATAGCTACTCCTGCTCACTTTTGGTGTCCATTTGATTGGAATGCCTTTTTCCACCCCTTTACCTTAAGTTTCTGTGAGTCCTTATGTATTAGGTGGGTCTCTTAAAGGCAACAGAAAGTTGGTTGGTGAACTCTCATCCATTCTGCAATTCTGTATCTTTTAAGTGGAGTATTTAAGGCATTTACATTCAATGTTTGTATTGAGATGTGAGGTACTATTCCAGTCATCATGCTATTTGTTGCCTGAATACTTTTGGGTTTTGTTTTGTTTTGTTTTTTAATTGTATTTTTGTTTTATAGGTCCTGTGAGATTTATGCTTTAAAGAGGTTCTGTTTTGATGTGTTTCCAGGATTTGTTTCAAGATTTGGAGCTCCTTTTATCAGTTCTTGTAGTGTTGGTTTGGTAGTGGCGAATTCTCTCAGCATGTGTTTGTCTGAAAAAGACTGTATCTTTTCTTCATAAATGCAGCTTAGTTTCTCTGGATACAAAATTCTTGGCTGATAATTGCTTTGTTTGAGGAGGCTGAAGATAGGGCCCCAGTCCCTTCTAGTTTGTAGGGTTTCTGCTGAGAAATCTGCTAATCTGATAGGTTTTCCTTTATAGGTTACCTGGTGCTTTTGCCTCACAGCCCTTAAGACTCTTTCCTTCGTCTGAACTTCAGGTAACCTGATGACAGCGTGCCTAGGGGATGATCTTTTTGTGATGAATTTCCCAGGTGTTCTTTGTGCTTCTTGTATTTGGATGTCTAGGTCTCTAGCAAGGCTGGAGAAGTTTTCCTCGATTATTCCCCCAAATATGTTTTCCAAACTTTTAGAATTCTCTTCTTCCTCAGGAACACGTATTATTCTTAGGTTTGGTTGTTTAACATAATCCCAGACTTCTTGGAAGCTTTGTTCATATTTTCTTATGCTTTTTTCTTTGTCTTTGTTGATTGGGTTAATTTGAAAACCTTGTCTTTGAGCTTTGACGTTCTTTCTTCTGCTTGTTCAATTCTATTGCTGAGGCTTTCCAGAACATTTTGCATTTCTATAAGTGCACCCATTGTTTCCTGGAGTTTTGATTGTTTTTTATTTATGCTATCTATTTCATTGAAAACTTCTCCCCTTATTTCTTGTATCTTTTTTTTTTTTTTTGTGACTTCCTTAAATTGGGCTTCGCCTTTCTTTGTTGCCTCCCTGATTAGCTTAATAAATAACTATCTGAATTCTTTTTCAGGTAAATCAGGGATTTCTTCTTGATTTGGATCCATTGTTGGTGAGCTCATGTGATTTTTGGGGGGTGTTAAAGAATCTTGTTTTTTCATATTATCAGAGTTGGCTTTCTGGTTTCTTCTTATTGGGGTAGGCTCTGTCAGAGGGAAGGTCTAGGGCTGAAGGCTGTTGTTCAGATTCTTTTGTCCCACGGGATGTTCCCTTGATGTAGTAGCTCCCCCTTTTCCTAGGGATGTGGCTTCCTGAGAGCCGAGCTGTAGTGATTGTTATCTGTCTTCTGGATCTAGCCACCCAGCAAGTCTACCAGGCTCCAGGCTGCTACTGAGGGTTGTCCGCACAGAGTCCTGTGATGTGAACCATCTGTGGGTCTCTCAGCCGTAGATACCAGCACAGTATTTGGGGTGTCTCCCAGGTCCTGCAGGAGCAATCTGCTTCCTTCACAGGATCTGTATGCTCTCCCAGTTTTCCTGATTTATTCCTGCAGTCGTTCTGGAGCAAAAGTTCACAATGCAAGCCTCCACATGCTGTTTTGTCCATCCGAGTGGGAGCTGCAATCTAGTCCTGCTTCCCATCCACCATGATCTCTAAAATTATCTTTCTTTTCACCTTCGATTTTTCTTGAGGTTATGTGTTGTGTTTGTTCATGCTTGTGTTCCTTCTAATTTGGTTTTCATTTCTGAAATGATTTACTTCTTTCTTCTGATTCTTTCCTATATTCCTTCACCTCATTTCCAAAGTTTTCTAGCCTCAGTTCATGTTGGTTGTTCTTTTGTGTCTTGATGTGATTTTCTTGTCATCTTTTACCTTGTTTTGAAATTGTAAGTTACAGTTTGGGTCTGGTTTTTAATGTTGTTTGTTTTGTTTTGTTTTGTTTTGTTTTTGAGACAGAGTTTCACTCTTGTTGCCCAGGCTGGAGTGAAATGACACAGTCTTGGCTCACTGCAATCTCCGCCTCCCTGGTTCAAGCGATTCTCCTTCCTCAGCCCTCCAAGTAGCTGGAATTGCAGGCACACACCATCATGCCCGTCTATTTTTTGCATTTTTAGTAGAGACGGGGTTTTGCCATGTTGGCCAGGCTGGTCTGGAACTCCTCACCTCAAGTGATCCACCCACCTTGGCCTCCTAAAATGCTGGGATTACAGGTGTGAGCCACCGCACCTGGCCCAGTTTGGGTCTGTTTTGTGGGCATGTCTTTCTGGTATGCTTTTGTTGTCTATAGGGATATTATTCTACTTCTTATTATTTTTTCTATTTTTTTCTTTTTTTTCTTGAGACAGAGGCTGGAGTACTGTGTTGCTATCACGGCTCACTGCAGCCTCGACCTCCCAGGCTCAAGCGTTTCTCCTGCCTCAGCCTCCCAAGTAGCTGGGACTACAGGTGTGCACCACCATACCCAGCTAATTTTGTTTTTTATTTTTTCGTAGAGATAGGGTCTCACTATGTTGCGTAGCCTGGTATAGAACTTCTGGGCTCAAGCAGTCCTCCCACATCAGCCTCCCAAAGTGCTGGGGTTACAAGCATGAGCCACCACACCCAGCCTCTTTTCTTTTAACAACTTTTTATGGGATTTGACCTCAGTGTTCTTGTCAGAATTTTATTTTTATGTGAAGTTAGTTTTCTGAACTTTTGGAAGAAGGCCCAGTTAGGAATATAGCTTCTTTTCCTTCACAGTGTACCTTTTGCTTCCTTGTGTATCGTGTTCAAAGATAAGGTAGCTTGCTTCCTGGCTGGCTCCATCCCCTTCCCCTGTTTTTATCAGGGCCTCCTCATCTTTCATCACACGGCTCCCAGGGGCTGGACTCTCCATGCCCTTCATTCCTTATTGCAGCATCCCATGTACTCACCTACTATTGACATTGCAGCATCCCATGTACTCACCTACTATTGATAGGGCAAGGCCCTCCCACTTACAGCTGCTGTTCTCAGAGGAACAGCTGTGGACTATTTGGGGTTCTCTGTTATTGGGTATACCACACGGCCCGTTGCTGCCCCCTGCTTCCTCTCACACAGGTGCTGATATGACGGTCAGGTCTTGTCAACACAGGTGGTATATTCTTACCCACTTGTAATTTGTGGTTTGTGGAGATACCTTGTTGTAAATGTTTGTTGTAATTGTCTTGTGAATGTCTCTGAGATTTGGGGTTTGCTGTCTAATTGCTGTTTTCATGAGGATATTGAGGGAGACTCACAAACTCATCTTCCCAGAATCTCCAGTCAGATTTATGTAATAAGCTAATTGTTAATGGAATCCAGAAATTAAAATAATTCAGGATATGTCTTATCCAAAGGGAATCTCTATGGAAAGAGCATGAGTGTCCAGATCAGGTAGCTGTGGGTTTGCATGCGGGTTCTGTTACTAGCTGTGGCCTTGGCTGCATTCTTCTCTGCTATGCCTCCCTTTCTTCATCATCCCCCTGGGAAATCACCTATGGAAAGGCTTTGCACTGCTGCCCTGCACCTAGTAGGTGCTCATTAAATGCCCCTTTTCACTTTCCCACCCTTGATTCTACAGGTGAATCAAGTAACTTTTTTCTTGGCATCTCCTTTGATTTTTCTCAGGGCAGAAATTCAGGTTTTTTTATTTGCTTCTTTATTAGTTTGAACAGACCGTGGCATTGAAATGCATGCTCTGGCCAGGCCCGGTGGCTCACAACTGTAATCCAAACACTTTGGGAGGCTGAGGTGGGCGGATCACTTGAGGCCAGGAGTTCGAGACCAGCCTGGCTAACATGGTGAAAACCGTCTCTACTAAAACTACAAAAATTAGCCAGGCACGCACCTGTAATCCCAGCTACTCGGAAGGCTTAGGCAGGAGAATCACTTGAATCTGGGAGACAGAGGTTGCAATGAGTGGAGATTATGCCAATGCACTCCAGCCTGGGTGACAGAGCAAGACTGTCTTAAAAAAAAAAAAGAAAGAAAGAAACTTATACTCTAAGAATTTTGTTTGTTTGTTTGTTTTTTTGAGACAGGGTCTTGTTCTGTTCCCCAGGCTGGAGTGCAGTGGCGCAACCTTGGCTCACTGCAACCTCCACCTCCTGGGCTCAAGTGATCCTCTCAACTCTGCCTCCCAAAGCGCTGAGATTACAGGCATGAGCCACCATGTCCGGTAGAAATTTTATTGTAATGATCTTTAACAACCCATTAATATTAACGTGACTTTAGCACTAATAAGAATTATATTTAAACTTCAAATATATTCTTAGTCTGTCCCCAGTGTCAGCTTAATTTTTCTTCCATTACTTTTTGGGTTAAGTATCTATTTATTTCTCTTTTCTTTTTTTTTTTTTTTTTTTCAGTTTGGTAAATTGTTGGCACATGTTTGCTGTTTCTCTTTATAGCTTGCAAGCCAGGCTGGGATTCCTTCAGGTGTATACAATGTTATTCCCTGTTCTCGAAAGAATGCCAAGGAAGTAGGGGAGGCAATTTGTACTGATCCTCTGGTGTCCAAAATTTCCTTTACTGGTTCAACAACTACAGGAAAGGTATGTGACTCAAGTTTCAAAGAAAACAAATGTCTTTCTAATATTTTATCTTGATAGGTTATAAAAATACTATTTCATCCTGATCACCAATTTTGGAAAGATTTCCAGCAGAGTGTTAAAAGCTCTGTCGCAGGCCAAGCACGGCGGCTCATGCCTGTAATTCCAGCACTTTGGGATGCTGAGGTGGGCAGATCACTTGAGGCCAGGAGTTCGAGACCAGCCTGGCCAACATGATGAAACCCCCTCACAGAAAATACAACAATTAACCAGGCATGGTGGTGCACACCCGTAATCCCAGGTACCCAGGTGACTGAGGCATGAGAATCACTTGAACCCGGGAGGCGAAGGTTGCAGTGAGCCAAGATTGTGCCACTGCACTCCAGACTGGGTGACAGAGCAGACTCTGTTTCAAAAAAAAGGTCTGTTGGTTGAATAAAGTAATATCTGACCATCCTCTGGGGATATTTTGGACAGTTCTTTGTGGCACGACATAGGTTCCTGCTTGACAAAACCAAAGAAATTGGGGCAGCGAGGGTCCCATTATTTTTGCATTATTTGTTGTATATGAAGTGGGTGAAAGTTCTCCACTGTATTTTTTTCAATTCTGGAATGCATCTTTCTTTCAATAATCTAGAGTTAGAGATTCCAGAAACACACAATTAATGTTGAAATGGATGTTTTTGAATTGAACAAAAATGTGTTTAGTCTAAAAGTACTTAGAGAAATGGAAAGGTCTTTTTCTTTGAGTTTTTTTTCCCTTAAATGATGAAATGTTCTTTGCTAAAAACTTAATGTGTATGCCTGTAAGTAGATGTTTATTTATCCTTTTAAATGTCCAAAAGAGGGCCGGGCGCGGTGGCTCACACCTGTAATCCCAACACTTTGGGAGGCCGAGGCAGGCGGATCACAAGGTCAGGAGATCAAGACCATCCTGGCTAACACGGTGAAACCCCAACTCTACTAAAAATACAAAAAATTAGCTGGGCGTGGTGGCGGGCGCCTGTAGTCCCACCTACTTAGGAGGCTGAGGCAGGAGAATGGTGTGAACCCAGGAGGCGGAGCTTGCAGTGAGGTGAGCCGAGATCACACCACTGCACTCCAGCCTGGGCGACAGAGTGAGACTCTGTCTCAAAAAAAAAAAAAAAAAAATTAAAAATTAAAAAAAATAAATAATAAAAAAATGTCCAAAAGAGAAAAAATCAAGGTGGAACAAAATTTTTGTTTATGGTGTTTCTCTTCAGATGGTGTGCTTTTTTCTACTAGTTTATATCTAGATATACACATATATGTATCTGTACTCACATTGTTCATGTCCATAAACACATAACAGATAAAATATATAAATCTGCCCAGGCGTGGTGGCTCACACCTGTAATCCTCACACTTTGAGAGGCCAAGGCAGGAGGATCACTTGAGCCCAACCTAGACAACCTGGTGAAACCCTGTCTCTACAAAAAAAAAAATTAGCTGGGCTTAGTGGCACACACATGTAGTCCCAGCTACTTGGGAGGGTGAGGTGAGAGGATCACCTGAGCCTGGGAGGTTGAGGCTGCAGTGAGTTGTGATCATGTCACTGCACTCTAGCCTGGGCAATAGGTGTGAGACCCTGCCTCAAAAAATAATAAAAATAAAAAAGTCTAATTTCAAAGATTTTGTGCATCTATGGTCATTTTAGAAACCATGAGAAGCAGGAGGGAATAATTTAACTTTTTTTTTTTGAGACAGTTGCCCTGTTGCCCAGGCTGGAGTGCAGTGGCGTGATCTTGGCTAACTGTAACCTCTGCTTCCTGGGTTCAAGTGATTCTCGTGCTCAGATTCTTGAGTAGCTAGGATTACAGGCATGTGCCACTACGCCTGGCTAATTTTTGTATTTTCTGTAGAGATGGGGTTTCGCCATGTTGGCCAGGCTGATCCGGAACTCCTGGCCTCAAGTGATCCTCCCTCCTTGGCCTCCCAAAGTGCTGGGATTATAGGTGTGAGCCAGCGTGCCCAGCTGGAATAATGTACTTTTAATGTCTCCCAACCATAATCACTTTTGTCATGCTATAAACTCATACTCAGGGAGTAGTGCTGTGGAATCCTACCATTCATTCATAATAGAAATAGGAATTTTTAGATCCATAAACTGCTATGCCCCTGATCAGTGGGTCTTACAATGCAAACTTATCCGCAGAAAGATTCAAATGTTACTACGAAGTAGTTAGAAAGAAAGAGGGAAGCCTGGGAGAAAGCGTTGTAAATCCTTCTCATTCAAGCCAGAGAAATTTCCAGGATACTGGGCGAAGGGCAGCAACTCAGTTTTCTCAGCAAACTATCCTCATCTAACAGGGCTCCAGGAAAATATCAGCCATGACCCTGCCAAGTCCAGCTTTGCTCCTCTTGACCCAGGACAGTGATGCACCTCTAGTGACTGAACAGGAAATGTGACAAGTATAGCTGAAGGGATAACTGATGCATAACTAAGCAAGCACCTCTGCTGAGCTGGTCTTCAGAGATTAGGGGCTGAGCTTCTGGTCCTGGGGTGGAGAACCTTGCCTCATAACTGAGGCATACACAGCGAGCCTGTTCTAGGCATGCCTGCCCTGCCCTTGCCACTTTCTAGGGGGGCCACCCCTCCCAGGACCCCGCTGAGAGGACAGCAGCCATGTTGTAAAGCATATGATACCTCATCTCTTCCTCTGTTCAGAAAACTGAATCATGAGTGGTCATTGACTTGAGCGAAACAGAAATTGTGGGCTGGCCAGTGACCTAGGACAAGTAGCCTGGCATAGAAGGGTGGGCTAGGTCAGGGCCTTTTCCTCTAGGAATTCCCCTCTCCTTCACTAGAGAAGAGAGAGAGCTGTTTTGCTTTCTGTTTCTTTCTCTTTCTTTTGCCTATTAAACTTCTGCTCCTAAACTCAAAAAAAGAAAAAGAAAGAAAGGTAGGCTGGGCCAATCACATGCTGTCTTTGGAAGCTGAGGCCCTGAGGAGGTCAGCCCATGGGAACTGGAGCTGGGAAAAGATTCATTAAGACATGACAGGAGTTTACACTATACCCAGTGGCCAGGGCAAGCCGCCTTCCTGGAGAAGCAGAGACTGAGTGGGGAGAGGACACTGTCAGAGGACACAGAGCCAGTGCAGGTGGAGGGACAGACACCAGAGACAGGACCTGTGCTCAAGGCCAGGTGGAGGCAAAATGGAGTGACCCAACAGTGAGAATCATTTTTGCACTGAAGCAAATCCAGGAAAAGTCAATGACGTTTCTTAAAAATTTTTAAATAAAAACATAAAAAAAGTTTAAATAGTTATGTTGCGTCCGATAAAGAAATATGTTTAGTCTTAAAACTTGAACTACTTTGTTGAACAGTAATGTTTCAGAGAAGATTGTTACTACCATTTGATTGCTGGAATATTAACATACAGACACATACACAGTACCCACACAGGCCTAGCTTTCCAGCCATTCTGTGTTTTTACCAAGAACCGTGTCACAAAACTCATGACCTCAGAATGTACAACACTTGGGGGGCAATCCTAGAGCCACCTTGGGCTTGCGAACACCGTCTGTTTCACTCGAACTATCTCAAGTGTGGTCCCATCTTTCCTGCAGCCATGACTAGACAAAGACCTACTATCCTTAATAAAGCATTTAAACATCCCTAAGCAGCTTCTTAGGCTATGAAATCTCTTACTGGATATTTAAACTATAATAGCTATAGGTACCAAAAGCCTTATGATTATACATTGAGCTAGCAATTCTACATGTTCATCCTGACAGAATCATCACAGTGTTTTTGTCTTTTGTTTTGTTTTGTTTTTGAGATGGAGTCTCGCTCTGTAGCCCAGGCTGGAGTGCAGTGGCGCGATCCACAGCGTTTTTTTAATGGCAAGGATGGAAACAACCTAAATGTCCAACAGATGGGGCCTGAATAAATAAATTACAGAAGAGCCATGCAGTGGAATACTATGCAAGCATCTAAAGGAATGTTCTAGGCCGGGCACAGTGGCTCACACCTGTAATCCCAGCACTTTGGGAGGCTGAGGCAGACAGATCACTTGAGGTCAGGAGTTCAAGACCAGCCTGGCCAACATGACGAAACCCCATCTCTACTAAAAATACAAAAATTAGCCAGGTGTGGTGGCACATGTCTGTAATGCCAGCTACTCAAGAGGCTGAGGCTGAAGAATTGCTTGAACCCAGAAGGTGGAGGTTGCAGTAACTGGAGATTGCGCCACTGCACTACAGCCTGGGCAACAGAGCGAGACTCCATCTCAATAATAATAATAAATAAAGTTCTAGAAACATATGTGCTGACACAAGAGGATCTTCACATTAGAGTGTTACATTAAAGGAGCAAGATATAAAGGGTTATGAAAATTTTAAGATAGACGTCCCAAATATGTGATTCATTGGGAAGATAAAGCAGGTTACGAAACGGTATAATTATATAATTATACCATCCTGTTTTTTTTTTTTTAAATGTACATGTACCTGAATCTGCATGGCTACATTCTAAATGGATGTACTTTAAAATGTTATCAGTGTAAGCTGTGGGTTGTGGGATTCTAGGTGATTTTATTTTCTTATCTCTATGATTTTTAAGCCCATCATATAATTGTTTTGAATAGATAAACACTTACTTATATGGTTGAAAAATTAAGACAGTATTAATGTTTACCATGACAAGTCTCACCCTACCCCAACCCTGACTCACTCCCTCTTTCTATAAATAATGACTTTTAGTGTCTTGTCATCCCAGTGTTTATTTTACTAATTTATTTATTTATTTAATTTTTGAAATGGAGTCTCCCTATGCTGCCCAGGCTGGTCTGGAACCCCTGGCCTCAAGTAATCCTCCCACTTCAGCCTCTTAAGGTGCTGGGACTACAGGTGCACACTACCACACCCAGCCTCTTCCCAATGTTTCTTTATCAAATACAAGCAAATGTAAATATATATTCTTATTTCTCCGTTTTCTTATGCAAAGTTATCCCATGTACACCACTGTGCACCTTGCTTTTTTCACCATTTGGTAATTTTTTTAAACAAAGGCTTAACAATCCTGGTAATGGATTTCTGTGCTCACAGCTTTCTCTCCTCTGCTCACAGATCCTGTTGCACCACGCAGCAAACTCTGTGAAAAGGGTCTCTATGGAGCTGGGCGGCCTTGCTCCATTTATAGTATTTGACAGTGCCAACGTGGACCAGGCTGTAGCAGGGGCCATGGCATCTAAATTTAGGAACACTGGACAGGTGAGTCCTGGAGAGTATTTCAGGATGTGTGTTTGCGTGTGCATGTGTGAGTGTGTGTATGTGTGTGTGTGTGATATGTGTGCATGTGAGTGTGTGTGTGTGTGCGTGTGTGTGTGTTACAAAGATCCCACCACCTCTACTGCCTTATATCCCATAAGGAAACTTTTGGGTTCCTTCCATTATTCATTCTTTATTCATTGACTCTTTCAGCAAATATTTAGTATATGCCTTACTTTTTATTACCAGGGTTATACTAGGCTCAGAGGGGCCCCCCCAAAATAAGGTACAGTCCCTGGCTTCAAATAATTTTCTGAACAGCAGATGTCCTTTAGTCAAATTGTTCTCTGTTTTCTTCTTTCCCCTATCCTTTTAATCTGGTTATTTTTATAGTTTTCTTTCATTGATCTTTTTTCTACTGAACGGATATAATCTCCTCAGACACAGAACAGCCTTGAACAATTGGGGTCTCTGAGGCCAAGGGAAAGAAAGTAAGAAAATGTTGAGGAGGGTGGTGGCTGGAATAACTCAAAACCCTGTTGCCTGCTATGACCCAGTGGGGCCTCGCTGTCCCGAGATGGAGGGAGCCTCAGAGGTGCCCTCTACAGGGCACAGGCCCACGCCAGCAGTGTTTTAGAGGAGCATCCAGGCTGTCCTGGGAGACCAGAGGCCTGAGCTCATGTCTTCCTAGGAAATCCTGGAATATTTGATCTGTCAGGGACCTTCACAGTTATCAGCTCTACAAACGTTGCATTTTAGAGATGAGGAAATGAAACTCTAGAAAGAAAAAGTGACTTAGAGATCAGACGTCTTTGGGCCACAGTGTCAAATCTGCTGAGGAGCTGGGACTCTGAGCCAAGGCTCCTGTCTTCCAGTTCTATCCAAGCTGCTGCCAGGGTCCTGCCTTCTTAAATATTCTTAAGCATTCATCTTAAAAGTACCATCAATATGTAATTTTAAATGCATTCTAGAAACAGAGTAAATATCCCTGAAAGGTTATATTGTGAAAAAACTGAAATGTGTGATATTCTCTATCAAATAATTTTCATCCTTGCCTTGGCCTTTGGTAATTAAGTTTTTCCCTTCCACATAACCTAAATAAGCTTGGTTTTGTCTGAAATAAGTATATTTTCCTTCATAAATACAAAATGTCAATATATGTTACCATCAATTACACTGTAAGGCTACAACTTGGGGACAGGTATGGTGGCTCAGAACTGTAATCCCAGCATTTTGGGAGGCCAAAGCAGGAGGATCACTTGAGCCCAGGAGTTGGAGACCAGCCTGGGCAACAGAGTGAGACTCTGTCTCTACAATTTTTTTTTTTTTTTTTTTTTTTTTGTGTGACAGAGTCTCACTCTGTTGCCCAGGCTGAAGTGTAGTGGCATGATGTCAGCTCACTGCAACCTCCACCTCCCGGATTCAAGAGATTCTCCTGCCTCAGCCTCCTGAGTAGCTGGGACTACAGCTAATTTTTCTATTTTTAGTAGAGATGGGTTTCACTATGTTGGCCAGGCTAGTCTCGAACTCCTGACCTTAGGTGATCCACCCACCTCAGCCTCCCAAAGTGCTGGGGTTACAGGCATGAGCCACTGCGCCCAGCCAAAAAAAATTAAAAATTAGCTGGGCATGGTGGCAAGTGCCTATAGTCCCACCTACTTGGGAGGCTGAGGTGGAAGAATCACTTGAGCCCTGGAGGTCAAGGCTGCAGTGAACTCATCACTACTGCACTCCAGCCTGGGCGACAGAGCGAGACCCTGTGTCAGCAAAACAAAAGACTATAAGTTGGTGTTGGACCACATTCCTCTTAGCCTCTGCTGTTGCTGCAGCATCACAGTCTCCTAGGAGAATTGCACTCTTTCCCCACCCCCCAGGGAAACAAAATAAAAGCCATTTGAAAAAAACATGGATTGGGTGGCTTTTTTTTCTTTTCTTTCGTGTGTGTGTGTGTGTGTGTGTGTGTACAGGTGCTTATTGCCAACTAATCACTGATGCATAGCAGCTGTGTAGCATAGCAGCTGTGGAGGGAACTGGAGGGGAACATGCACTGACTCAGTGCTTTTATCTTTGGGGCCAAGCCCACGTGAGGAGGAAAATGGCAGTTTGAGCACATGACAACCACCGAGGGAAGTGTTTTCACAGAGAGGCGGTAGCAGCCACACGTTCACTGGTCAGGTCTGCAGCTTCTGACAGACTGTGTGGGTTTGTTTTTGTCTCCTGTCCAGACTTGTGTTTGCTCAAACCAATTCTTGGTGCAAAGGGGCATCCATGATGCCTTTGTAAAAGCATTCGCCGAGGCCATGAAGAAGAACCTGCGCGTAGGTAATGGATTTGAGGAAGGAACTACTCAGGGCCCATTAATTAATGAAAAAGCGGTAGAAAAGGTAAGTATATTGTATTATTTGTGAAAGTAAATTTCATGGTTTCAATATGAAAAGCTTAATCAGCAAAAAACACTTTGGCTGGAGGGGTGGGGATAGAGAGGGGTGGGTTGACAGAATATTACAGCTAGACAGAAGGAATAAGCTCTGGTGTTCTACAGCACTGTAGAATGACTGTAATTAGCAACAATGTATTGTATATTTTCAAATAGCTATTATTAGAAGAGTAGATTTTGAACGTTCCCAGTATAAAGAAATGATCAATGTTTGAGGCGATAGATGTGCTAACTATCCTGATTAGAGTATAGAGTATGAGAGATCTACATCTATACATGGAATCGAATGGAATTTTCAATGATGTTTTCATACAAAAACCACAAAGGTTAAAATAAGTAAAAAATTAATAATAGCTAAAAAAAATGATGTTAAAAGGCAAAAAAAAAAAATGAAAACAAAAAAGTCATTTTGGTAAAGTGCCCAGCAAGCCTATTTTGTAAACAATGGAGAAACCTGAGAAAAGTGAATTCTGCCTACCAGTTATATGAATCGGGTTGTTGTCTGGTCATGAGCTGCTATAGCCCTGCCATTGCACCAAGTCCCCATGCGGTCTGTCACTGTAGCTCTTTACTGTCCTCCCTAAATTTTGTTATAGTGATGATAATTCTATCCCTCACTGCCTCAGCAATTAGGATCTTGAGACAAAGTTCATTCATCTTTTGGAACACCTATGGAATGGAAGACTGGCTTGGTTTTGAGATGGTTTGCGTTTCGGCTGTAATGCTGATGTTGTCCTGTTCTTTCTTCTCTTGATGACAAAATCCCTGTCTAAAACAGTCCTTCATGAAAGTATCCCAGCCGGGGGTGCAGAATCACAGATGCCGCGTTCAGGATTTAGAGATATTGAGGGGAAACTGCTTTTAGGAAAGATTTGTTTGTTTAAAAAAATGTTATAATCCATACTACTAGCTATATGAGACTTCTCTCCTTATTCTACTGTTTTAAAAAAATCCATTTTGGAGTCACAAGAAAGTTTCTTGTAATATCAAACATCCAGTTTTTTGTGTTTTTTTTTTTTTTTTTTGAGACGGCGTCTCGCTCTGTTGCCCAGGCTAGAGTATAGTGGTGAGTCTTGACTCACTGCAACCTCCGCCCCACTGAGTTCAATTGATTCTCCTGCCTCAGCCTCCCGAGTAGCTGGGGTTACAGGCACCCACCACCACGCCTGGCTACTTTTTGTATTTTTAGTAGTGCTGGGGTTTCACATGTTGGCCAGACTGCTCTCGAACTCCTGACCTCAGGTGATCCACCTGCCTCGGCCTCCCAAAGTGCTGGGATTACAGGCGTGAGCCACCATGCCTACCCAGAAATGGTTTTAACGGAATATTTTAAATCAGGAAGACAGTAGAAGCTGAAGATTGTGTGTGGGAAAGAAGGGAGGAGAGGTGGTCAGAGGGAGACACACAGTGGAGGCACAGCCAGCCCCTGGATGCAACTGAAGAACCAGAAGCAAGTGACAGCCAAGTCAGTACTCATCATGGGAAGCACAGCCCCACCGCTGTTCCTCAACCTCCTCAGAGCCTGAGAACCAAGCCCTGACTCCATGGCTGCCTCCACCCCGTGGGCAGTCAACTCAGCTGAACCCACATCCATTGCCTTGGGAAACCCAGGGAAGCCTCGAGGTTTGACAGAGCTCTGATAAATTTCTAGTTACTGTCTTGGGATTACTCTAGATAAAGAAAATACATTAAAATTTACATTGGAACCACCTGCATTTTAGAGGTGACTTTGGACCTTGGGGACAAGGCAGGGGTATTCACTTGTCTAGTGAAGGCAATTTGGGTCTAGGCCAGCTGTGGTTCAAGTCCTAGAGTGGTGGTCCTTAACTCACACCGTGCCTTTATCGACTACAGTTGCCTGGGACCCATCCAAGAAGACTAGGTGTTAATTTATGTGTAGTCAGCCTAGGCATTGGCATTTTCTAAGTGCCCCAGTATGATGCTAGTTTGCAGCCAGTCTGGGAAACCACTCTGTCTTGAAGATTTTTTTCCCCAAAGGGAAGACGCAGACATTGTCCTCCAGATGGTGCTGTACGCCAGGACTTCAAACAAGCAGACAGCGAGATTTCTTTTTTGCTGGAGAGAAATTTGGTGGAAACCACCTTGTTTAAAAACACTTCATTGTGTTGGCTTTAGTGTACATACTGTCATAGAGTGGGTTCTAGGAAAAAAACACTGCATCTCACATTAATATGACAAGAAAAGGGCAGAGCAGATTATATTTGGGGAGGAAGGGGGTATTTTTGTTAAGTAGAATTATTTTTATAATATAAAATTCATAGAAAGTAAGCCATCCTAGCCGATGGGGATTAGTTGCAGGTGATGCACTATGAGAGCATTGCAGGAGGGGCATGGATTTCAAAAGAGTCAGTCTCAAAGACAGAATGCACTCACACCTATATTTACCTTCCTGAAACCCTATAGAAAATTCAGCTGAGGGCCGGGCACAGTGGCTCACGCCTATAATCCCAGCATTTGGGAAGCTGAGGCGGGTGGGTCACTTGAGGTCAGGAGTTTGAGACCAGCCTGACCAACACAGTGAAACCCTATCTCTAAAAAAAAAAAAAAAGAAAAGAAAAATTAGCCAGGTGTGGTGGCAAGCACCTGTAGTCCCAGCTACTCAGGAGGCGGGGGCAAGAGAATCTCTTGAACCCACGAGGCGGAGGTTGCAGTGAGCAGAGATCGCACCAGTGCACCCCAGCCCAGCCTGAGCAACAAAACAGAAGTCAAAACAGAAGTCAAAATAGATGGGTCTACCCAGGGGAACCCTGCAGAGGAAATTGGTGCCATTTTAAACGACAGAGCCTTTCTAGAATTGGTGGCTACAGAAAGTAGGAATAGGAGGAGGGGAGGAGATGAAGCTGGTTGATTCTACTTCTGCACAATTTTCTGGGTCATTCCCACCATCCCTTCTCACCACGACCACCACCAAGACACATGAGACAGCAGAGGCATTTGTTCTGGGCAGGACAGCTTTTCTGAAGAAATATAGTAGGTATCTAGGCAGACTACAGCTTCAAGAGCGAGGCTAGGTACCTCAGGGTAGGGCTCTCTCGACTTTGCCTTTTGGGGAAGGGAGCTGCCCTTATGTGAAGCCTGCAAGTTAGAATAAACCCAAGCTTAAAACAGCAAAGACCACTCATGCCACACATCCCCAAATTGATCAACCCAGTCCTTGTGTGTGTGTGTGTCCCCCAAACACACTGCTGGAGCTGAGAAGGAGCTGACCAGGTTAGTTTCGACAACTCAGTCCTTCATTCAGAAAGATGAACAACCAAGGATCATGATGGGAAAACCACCAGCACATAAGAGGAAAGGTCAGGAAGAACAAACAGAATAGTCCCTGAAGGAAGCAGATAAATTAGGGAACTGGAAGGAAATTTTCTAAAAATCTCATAGTGTCCTGCAAGAGTTTTGGGAAGATAGTACATCTGTAAACTGTTAATAAGAAGTATGTTCTAGGCTTAAAGTATAATAATAATAAAAAAAGAAGTATGTTCTAGGAAATGAAGCAATGAAAACAAAGAGTCTGTAGAAATTAGACATATGACTGTCACAAGATTCGGTACCTGAAGTAGATGATAAAATTTCGGAGATCTTATGGAGTTTAAAGCAAACTATAGAGAGGCAAAAAATATAATAGAAATGCAAAAAAAAATCAGAACTAATCTGAACTCCTGTTAATACCCGTCCAGTAGTAGGAGTTCTGGAGTGAAATAATTGGGAAAATGGAGGAAGTGACATTACCAAGTAAATAATAGATGGAAACTTCTCAGAGTTAGGGGAAAATAATTATTCTGCAGATTGAAAGATTTCACTGCTTACCAAGTAGGATGAATGAAAAGGGAATATATATATATCTTCTCTATATATATATATTCTATATATATATATCTTCTATATATATATTCTATATATATATCTACTATATATATATTCTATATATATCTACTATATATTCTATATATATATCTAATATATATATATGTGTGTGTGTATATATATATATATATATATATATATATATATAGTATTGCTAAAATTTTAGAATATCAGAGCATAGAAGATCCTAGGAGATTTCAGAGAGGAAAAAGCTATCAAGAAGAAAAAGGGTGAGAACCATTTTTGGCTCAAACTTCCTCAGCAACACCGGAAGTGGAGAAGTGCACTCAAAGTTCTGAAAGTTATTTTGTATCAGAATTCTGTACTCAAGCAAATTATCAATCAGGTGGAGTACAAAACACCAGAAACTTGGTGTATGAAAATTCAGAAACTAGACCACATCCAGTGCATCTTTTTTAAAACAACTACTTGGCCAGGCCTCGTGGCTCACTCCTGTAATCCCAGCACTTTGGGAGGCCAAGGCGGGTGAATCACGAGGTCAGGAGTTCGAGACCAGCCTGGCCAAGATGATGAAACCCTGTCTCTTCTAAAAATACAAAAATTAGCCGGGCGCGGTGGTGGGTGCCTATAATCCTAGCTACTCGGGAGGCTGAGGCAGGAGAATCGCTTGAACCTGGGAGGCAGAGGTTGCAGTGAGCCAAGGTCATGCCACTGCACTCCAGCCTGGGTGACAGAGCGAGATTCCATCTCAAAAACAAATAAATAAATAACAACTACTTGAGATTATGTGTGTCAGAAAGCAACAAAAACTCAGTTCAGGAAATAGGACAACATGGGATCCAAGAAGCTAGAAATAACCGCAGAATGCAATGAAAGCAAATCCAAGCAAACGGCTGAGCCGCAGGCCTAGAAAGAAGCGAATATATATTAGACCATTCAACAAATAGGAAGATCAAACAGCTAGAAGATATCAAAGACCAAGGAGGAAGGTGGCACTCTTGCTTCTGAATCTCTGCAAATGTGGTTCCTTCTACAAAAGGAAACCAGCATGCTTTATTGTTAACCTACTTTTTTTGAAAAAGAAAAAAAAATGGAACTAGTTATAGTTTTCTGCAGTTTAAACATTCTAAAAGATTGTATCATGTGGAAAGCTTTTTTTCTTCCTCATTACACAGGTGGAGAAACAGGTGAATGATGCCGTTTCTAAAGGTGCCACCGTTGTGACAGGTGGAAAACGACACCAACTTGGAAAAAATTTCTTTGAGCCTACCCTGCTGTGCAATGTCACCCAGGACATGCTGTGCACTCATGAAGAGACTTTCGGGCCTCTGGCACCAGTTATCAAGTAAGATCCTCCAGCCAGCGGGGAGATGGGAGGAAGAATAGAAGAGAACATAGGAAACCCTGAAAGAGATTCCTGGGCTGCTTTGAGGTCTGGCCAGGAGGCAGACAGTTGTGTTGAGTCCATTGAAGAGCAGAGTGCAATTTATGGGTTTTTAAAAAAATCATAACTTATTTGGACCATAAAATTTATCAAATTCTATTTTTTTTTTCTTTTTGAGATGGAGTTTCACTGTGTTGCCCAGGCTGCAGTGCAATGGTGCGATCTTGGCTCACTGCAACCTCTGCCTCCTTGGTTAAAGCAATTCTCCTGCCTCAGCCTCCAGAGTAGCTAGGACTACAGGCACCCACCACCATACCAGGCTAATTTTTTGTATTTTTAGTAGAGATGGGGTTTCACCATGTTGGCCAGGCTGGTCTCGAACTCCTGACCTCAGGTAGTCCTGCGTTGGCCTTCCAAAGTGCTGGGATTATGGGAGTGAACCACCATGCCTGGCCTCAAATTCTTTAATTTACTTTTTCTTACTTTCTGCTGAACTCTTTTTTTTTTTTTTCTTGAGATGGAGGATGGAGTCTTGCTCTGTCACCCAGGCTGGAGTGCAGTGGCATGATCTCAGCGATTCTCGTGCTTCAGCCTTCCGAGTAGCTGGGACTACAGGCACGCGCACCATGCCTGGCTAATTTTTTGTAATCTAGTAGAGATGTGGTTTCACCATGTTGGCCAGGCTGTTCTTGAACTCCTGACCTCAAGTGATCCGCCTGCCTCTGCCTCCCAAAGTGCTGAGATCACAGGCATGAACCACCGTGCTCAGACCTGAACTCATTTTCCTTCTTAATGTATTATACCTCAAAGGATTCTTTCATTGGCCTCCATAGGACATGAACTTTCTGTGTCGTTTTGTGGTCTTTTATCTCCCATTCACAAGTAGATAATAATTTACCTGGATAAAATTTTAGGTTCAACCCTTTGGAGATATTACTCCTTTATCCACTTTTTTTTTCTTTTTTTTGTTTTTTGTTTTGATATGGAGTCTAACTCCGTCATCCAGGCTGGAGTGCAGTGGTATGATCTCGGCTCACTGCAACCTCCACCTCCTGGGTTCAAGCGATTCTCTTGCCTCAGCCTCCCGAGTAGCTGGGACTACAGGCATGTGCCACCACACCTGGCTAATTTTTATACTTTTAATAGAGACAGGGTTTCACCATGTTGGCCAGGCTGGCCTCAAACTCCTTACCTCAAGTGATCCAACAGCCTCAGCCTCCCAAAGTGCTGGGATTACAGGTGTGAGTCACCACGCCCGGCCTCTTTATCTACTTTTATCCAGGGTTATTGCCAAGAAATCTGATTCTTGCTTCTTTGAAAGAAATCTATTTTTTCTCTTTGGAAACATTTAGAATTTCTCTTGATCTTTGATGTTCTTAAATTTTACTATCTGGTATGGCACACAGTGAGGTTTTTCAGTTGAGGTCCTAATATCTTTAATACGGTTTTTTTGTTTTGGTTTGGGTTTTTTTTTTTTTTTTTTTTTGATGGAGTCTCGCTCTGTCACCCAAGCTGGAGTGCAGTGTTGCGATCTCAGCTCAGTTTAACCTCTGCCTCTTGGGTTCAAGCGATTCTCCTGACTCAGCCTCCTGAGTAGCTGGGATTACAGGCGCCCGCCACCAGGCCCTGCTAATTTTTGTAGTTTTAGTAGAGACAGGGTTTCGCCATGTTGGCCAGGATGGTCTCGAACTCCTGACCTCAAGTGATCCACCCGCCTCAGCATCCCAAAGGGCTGGGATTACAGGCGTGAGCCACCATGCCCAGCTCATTAATATCTAACAGGTTTGTTTAGTCCTGGAAAATTTTTTGTCATTATTTTTCCAGATATTCTTCTTCCTTTCATTTATGCTTTTCTAGCCTTCCAAGTAGTCTATTATTGTGATACTTCTACTTCTGTGCCCTAGTTCTCTTGTCTCTTCATTCCATCTCTTCATTCCTGATTCATTCCTGATGCCTTCTGCGAGTCCCTCCCCTCATCTGCCAGCATATTAATGCATTCTTCAGATATACTCATTCTGGCTTCCATCCCACCCACCAAGATCTTTATCTCAACAATTGTTTTTCCCATCCCTGATATCTCCAGTGGGTTCTTCCCCATAACTGATTCTTCCTGCTTCATTATTCTCCCCTACTTTGCTGTGGCTATTTTTCCTTTTTAAAAAAAACATTTTTATTCTCTTCCACCATTTCTGTCTCCCGTGGTATAGGTTGTGCTGCTTTATCTTTCTTAGTCTCAGAGCTCCTCAGACATCTTGTAATTTTCCCTGTGAGCTCATCTTTAACCCCTTGCACCGTCGGCAGCCTTGGCTTGTAATATCTCCCATGGGTTGTGGTAAAAAGCTTAGGCCTTGGTTTGTGCTCCTCATACATTTGGAGGGCAAAGGGTTGAGCCTCACTGAGGATGGCTCTAGTGTTAAAATCCAGTCTCAGTGCCACTCCTCCACCCCAAGTATCCTTTCCGCTGGGGTATTTTGCAGTTCCCTCTATTGGAATAGGTTGGGGAGAAGAGGCTGCTGGTGTTGCCATTGCCTACACTTGTTTCCCATGGCTGGTGTACCTGCTGGGCACGAGCACTGGCTCACTGCCCCAAGCCAGCCCTGCTGCTTTTCTACCTGTAGCAATGTCGCATTGATCCAGGGACCCAGGTTTGTAGGCAGGATCACCTGGAACTCACAGGCGTGGTAGGAGACGTGCAGCCCTGCCCTTGCCCTGCCCACTCCTGCATGGGTGGTCTCGAGCTCGCTCTCACGTGAGGCCATCATTCTCCCCCAGGATCCAACCAATTTATTGGCCTCCAGAAATGTCTTGCATTTTTGGTGCTAGTTTCCGATTGAGGTTTTGTTGCTGTTGTTGTTGGTTTTGACTATGATTCTCTTTCTCTGTCCTCTGGCATGTCCAGCATTGGGTTCACAGAGACAGCTGGCAGCTGGTGCTATCTGTACCGTCTTATCCAGGACCAGAAATCTTTCTTATTATGTACTTCACTGGCCTTGTTACATCTTGCTTATGAAGTTTATTTTTATTCCACTGTTGGGGAAATGGACCCTTGAAGAACTTTCATCTTCTTTGTTTTAATAAAAACTTTTTACATAAAATGTGAACTGGACATTTTCACAGGAAACCAACGGAAGGCATTGGTTGAGAATGCAGGCTTTGCAGTTGACTATGATGTAGCTCTAGACTTTGCTACTTCATAACTGTGTACCCTTGGACAAATTGACTTTTCGGAGCTGGCTCTACCCAGTCCCCCTTTGCAAGCCCTGCAGAGAGACAGCTGGTTCCAACTGCTGGTAGATCTCTGAATTTAGAAATTGGGGTGCTTAGAACTTTTTGCCCCAGTTACAATTCTGGAACAACAGAAAAATATCACTGACATCTTATTCCTGAAATAAAATTTTAAAGCTAGAAGAGATGGCCTGGGCTTTGGTGCATTCCTTCATTTCAGAGAGGAGGAGACTCCAAGCATCGTGCCATTGTTAAGCAGTGGTGGAGGACACATTAGAACCTGGCCCCAACCCCTTCTGAACGTTTTCTTTCTGCTACATCAGGCTTGCTTCTAAAGTAGTTGTTATGATTGTTATATATTCCCAGTGGGTACCAAGAATAGTAATCCTTTTTTTTTAAAGGGATTTTGTTTGATATTCTGGATATGCCACAGTTCCCTACATGTTGGTCTGCTTTTTTCTTGTTCTCTTAGGAGAGATGAAGCCAGTATTGATTTGAGCATGCTAGCCTTAATCGCTGAGTTATATCGGGGAATGGTGCTGCTTTCTTCTGCAATCTGCTCTTGGATCTCTTTGCAAAACTCTGATTTACTCCTTGTGATTATTTGGGAAACAAATCAGAAGAAAACAAAACTGGTTTCCTTTCCTCTCCCCCTTACATTTTTTATGACCTATCTTAACTTTGGCAGGTTCGATACAGAGGAGGAGGCTATAGCAATCGCTAACGCAGCTGATGTTGGGTTAGCAGGTAGGTGTTTGTCCTTGTTCAATACCAGTCATAATCATTTTTCTCCAGCTCATGCCAGATTTACCCTTTTAAACATCACCCTGGGTTTTGAGACAGAAACTTCAATGAGGTATGTGTTTTGTTGCTTTCCAAGTGGTGGAATGGATTTGGATTTGTGCAAGTATGTGTACTTTTCCCTTGTCCCCATGATACACATTTGGGAGCTCTCTAATTACAGCTGTGGGAAGAAGAGAAGGTGCACATTATTCTACTTTTCTAGGTGGAGAACTGCACACATCTCAAAGTCCCACATTCTCAGAGGCTTAATCCCCAGAAATTCCAAATGCTTTTTCTTCCCTTTTGCGTGGCTCCTGTAAGCCTGAACAGAAGAGGAAGGGCATCAGCAAGGAGTGTCAGGGACAATGAAAGGAGTGAAGATGGTGTGTGCAGAGGTGCCTCTCTGATGGCTGACATTCCTTTAGTTTGGAGATGGGCCAGGTGGTCACTGCATGTACTCTATAACCCTGAGAAAATTATGTAATAGCATCCACAGCAAATGAAGTACTGCAGAAGATACAAAGACATACAAGATGCCACTATAGCTCTATAGAAGCTTCCCCTCTAGCTGTAAGAGAACTATTTATACCAAGAGGAATGATAAGCATGCTATGAGGTCCCTTAGAGTTATCGTAAAGCTGGAGTAAGATGTGTGCACAAGGACGTTTATAACACTGAGTTCAGCATTTGTCTCTTCCTTCTCGATGGGGTGATGGTGGAGGAAGACGTACCCTGAACTAGGTCATAAATGATGGGCAGAATTCTGGTTGTGCAGAAGCTGGAGGAGAGAGATTCTGGGCAGAGGGCACCAAGGGAGTTGAGAAGCAAAGTAAGAAAGGGTGAGGAGAATTTGGCTGACAGGTTTGGAGAGGATGGTTGGTGATTGGAGTAATGGAAGATGAAGCCAGAAATGTTGATTGAAACTACTTGTGGGGGAGAGGGTGTTGAATACCCACTAATGAATTTAACCTTATTTTATAATCAGGAGTCATCGAAAGGCTTGGGCAAAAATGTCGTGTGGAAATCTAACAGGTGTGCAGGTGGATTGAATAGTAGAAAACAGGAAGAGGGTCTCGATAGGAGATAGTGAGAGTAGAATTGAAGCAAGAGGTGACTTTCAAAGGTTTTGAGATGAAAAAGTGGACAAGACCAACCTGGGACTTTATCTGGGAGCAGGGAAGACTCCAGGCCCAAGTGGCTGGACAAAAAGTCATCAATGGTGCCCTCATCTTTAGGCATGATGTCTTTAATGACTCTTCTAAATGCCATATATGTCCTTTTATCCTGTGACAGGTTATTTTTACTCTCAAGACCCAGCCCAGATCTGGAGAGTGGCAGAGCAGCTGGAAGTGGGCATGGTTGGCGTCAACGAAGGATTAATTTCCTCTGTGGAGTGCCCTTTTGGTGGAGTGAAGCAGTCCGGCCTTGGGCGAGAGGGGTCCAAGTATGGCATTGATGAGTATCTGGAACTCAAGTATGTGTGTTACGGGGGCTTGTAGGATTCTTTGGTTCTTTAAAAAAATTTAAAAGGAGACTTATCTACATATATAGGTACATGCCATCCATTATTTTAAATAAACTAATAGGTTTTCAGAATTATGAATTTTTCAGAACTCATCCAGTCCTTGTAATCTTAAACAGATGCAAATCCTACCCCTGCCCTTAATGTAACTAGGGACCAATATGTGCCACGTGCCTGTGGCTGCAGACTCCCAGAGAACCAGCACTGGGTTTACAGAATGAGGCCCTGGCTCCCCACCACAGCCCCAGCTGCCTCAGAGCAGGCACAGCACAAGGCAGGCCCAGCCCCATGGGCCGTCACAAAGGCTTGATCACTGCCTGGGCAGTGGCACAACCATCCCCCATGTCGCTACAGAACATGGGCCCAGAGCACCTTGAAGGAGACCCTTGACTGTGACTGGCAGGCAGGTGAGGGGCACAGCACCCCTCCCCGGCATCTGCCAGCTCAGCACAGAAGACACCGAATGTGCATCTGGAGGTGTTGCGGCAGAGGTTTGAGTGAACCCTCTTTCAAAGACAATAAATAGCACAGAATTGTCCGTGCTTCTGTGAGGCACGAAGGAGCACCTCTCCCTATTCCTGAACCATATTTTAATTGATGCCTTTATTGTCCCAAATTTACCACTTAAAGAATTCTATTTTCATTTCTGTCCTGTTTGCCACTTCATTTCATTTCCTTGAGTAAATGAGCTGAAGTGTAAAGCAAAGAATAGCAGAAGCAGCTTGGTAGGATGGAAGGCACGCAGTGGCATGGCCTGGCTCCTTCCCTGAGTGGCCTTGTTGCCTTGGGCGTGTGTTCAGCACCTCCCATCCCATGGATACAGTGGAGATTCCATACAGGCCTTACTTAGCTCCTTGCGATACTGTGAGCCAGAGAGAAAGTAAAAGCACTTCACAAAAAAATGAAAATTCTAAGGACATACAAGAGCCATTGTTACGAGCAGCACCGCCCAGCCCTTCCTTGCCTACTGTCAGTGGCTTTGCCAAGATGGGAGGAGGCCAGTGCCCACTTGCCCACCGACCTGAGCCTGAGTAAGTGGCTGTCACCTGAGCCTGTTCTTTCTGTCCTGGTGTGGTGCTGCTCCCTCACCTCCAAAAGAGCAAAAGTACTTTCACCACAGTCAACCCAAAAGGGAAAGAATTTCTGTAATTGCCAACCCACTTTGTAGAAGAGGCATGAGCCCTTGAATTTCAGGCACCTTTTATCTAATGAGAGTTTTTACAGCTCATCATTCAAATAACGCACAAAAAACAAAAGCCGCTATGACCGGCGTTGCCTCTCACTTTGAAAGAAAGACTCCGTAATCTTAAACAGATGCAAATCCAATTAGGCGGCCAAGTAGGTGGAGACGAAGCACCTTCCTTTCCCCATCTCTGTCTGTGTAGACTCCACTTACATCTTGTGGTTATTCTGGGTTGTGGAAGGAAAATGTGAATGAAAGTAGTGCTGGATGCAATTACTCCTGAACCCCACCTAGGATTTAACATCCCTCATTGAGCCACTGGGAAGCTATGGTTGAGTAACTAAAGGTCTGGCAAGACCCTGGGCACACAGGGAGCTGCCTAGCATCTGGCCTGGAGTGTACTAGCCACATTCCCAAGGTCCCAAGGAGAAGGAAGAGCTGAAATTCATCTCCTAGTGACAGTGCCCCGGCCCTGTCAAGAATCACATACTCAGCATTTTGACAGTTAATGTCTTCTCTTTATTTGTGTAGTTTTTAGGTGGTTTTATATAACATTTTAATTACTTGTGATTTAGATGTATCCATCCTTTTTCTATTAAGAATACAAATGCTGGGCTGGGCACAGTGGCTCACGCCTGTAATCCCAACACCTTGGGAGGCCAAGGCAGGCAGATCACGACATCAGGAGATCGAGACCATCCTGGCTAACACGGTGAAACCCCGTCTCTACTAAAAATACAAAAAAAATTAGTCGGATGTGGTGGCAGGTGCCTGTAGTCCCAGCTACTCTGGAGGCTGAGGCAGGAGAATGGCGTGAACCCAGGAGGCGGAGCTTGCAGTGAGCAGAGATCACGCCACTGCACTCCAGCCTGGATGACAGAGCGAGACTCCGCCTCAAAAAAAGAATACAAATGCTCCAACATTATTTTTTATAACTCTGGATTACCGATGCTGAGATGTGTGCAGGAATACTTCCAAATAAATTTTTAACATTGTAAGCCAGTAGATTCTTTGGCTGGGTGGCAAATTTTGAGTCTTCTTGCATATTTGGCTCATGGGTTCATAAATTGAGGCCAGAGACTCATTGTATATCCTTGATCAATTTTCTAATTAAAGGAAATAGCTTATTGTTTAGTAAAATGGCCCTTGGTTGTGGGAAGAAAGAGAATTATTTTTAACTGAACGTTTTTGTTGTTTTTTAAATAAAGTAGCCATATGTAACGGGATTTTAAAAATATATACATTTTACAACATGGACTAGAAAAGGACCATTAGATCAGGGGTTGGCAAACTATGGCCCACGAATCAAACCTGGCCTGCCACCTGTTTTTATACAACCTGTGAGCTAAGAATGGTTTATATGTTTTCAAATGATTGGGCAGAAAATCAAAAGAAGAACAATATTTCATGACACCTGAAAATTCTATGAAATTCAGATTTCAGTGTCCATAAACAAAATGTTATTAGAGCATAGCCACACCCATTCATTTATGGTATTGTCTGGGACTGCTTTCTTGGCAGAGTTGAATAGTTGGGACAGGGACAGTATAGCCTGCAAAGCCTAAAAGATTTACTACTTGTCTCCTTAAAGAAAAAGTTTGCCAGCTCCTGATCTAGACCAAGAGGGAGATATTGACCTTACTTGCATTTATCCGGCATTATTTCAACACCTCCTGTGAAGAAAGTACTTTTCTGGCATAGCTACCGTGAGTTCTCAGCAGGAACTTCCCAGCGATGATAATGTACATGAAATTAGCCACGTAACAAGAGTCTATTTGCCTTGAAAAAACAATTATCCTTGAACTTCCTCCAGCTATGCAGGGATTCTCATTAAAGAGCTGATCTGCATCTGTTTATCCATTTTAGTAGCTTTTAAATATGATTTTATGTGAAGTGCCATTTCTTTATTCTACTAAAGAGAGACAGCAGAAATAAAGATCAGAAGCAAATGTGAGCAAATCTGTTTTACTGTTAACTTCAATTATGAACTTGAAATTGTGCCACATGACTTTTTCCTCTAAAAACTGGATCCTAGTGTTTTAATTACCTGTGTGCAGCTATTTTAAATAGCATTTTACTTGAATAATATGTATGTTGTCATTGTTTCATGCTATACTTTGTGGGATAAAACTTGGGAATGAGTGTGGTAAGAAATTTATAAAGTTTTGCTTTTAAAACGTGGACATAACTCATTTTTCTAGTTTTTGACAATTGTGTGTTTTAGTGTCTAGTCTGCAGAGAGCTGTGTGATTAATAAACGTGGAATTAACAGAATTTCCTCTCCCTGTATTAAGGTGTCTGGTTGTGCTTTTTTCCCCCTACTTGGTGATCTTTTGAGTTTTTATTGGATGATATTAGACCAGTTTGCATTTGTGTAAATAGCACTCCCTCCCCCAGAGAGCCGTAATCAGTGAGTGCCTTGGGGAAGGAGCCAGCATGTGAAATGATGTGCCCTAAAACCCAGAGAAGGGCCTGTCCATGGTGTGCGCTTATAGAATGTTTGCTAAGCTGAACTGAGAATTTACCTGGTTTGCAGAGGTGGCGGTCACAGAAAGGTGTATAGGCCAGCCGTCACAGATTGGCCTATCTCTCTCTCCTACACGCCCCACTGTTATGACTTCCTGGGCTCAAACAAGCCTCTCACCTCTGCCTCCTGAGTAGCTGGGACCACAGGCACCTGCTACCACACTCAGTTAATTTTTCTTTCATTTTTTGAACAGTCAGGGTCTCACTGTGTTGCCCAGACTGGTCTCAAACTCCTGGGTTCAAGCCACCCTCCCGCCTCAGCCTCCCAAAGTGCTGGGATTATGGGAGTGCACCATTGTAGCCAGCCCTCACCATAATTTAGAACACAGACAGCACTGCTGCCCAGTGGTTAGTGGACATTTTTGCAAATGTCGTCTCACATTTTACAATCACGTATTGCTCGACAACAGAGATATATTCTGAGAAATGCGTCATTAGGCAGTTTCGTCCTTGTACGAACACTGTAGAGTACTTACACAAACCTGGATGGTACAGCCTCCTACACAGCTAGGCTATACGGTCTAGCCTATTGCTCCTAGGGCTACAAACCTGCACAGCATGCTACTGTACTAAATACTGTAGGCAGTTGTAAGACAATGGCAAGTATTTATGTATATAAACATAGAAAAGGTACAGTAAAAATCAAGTATAAAAGATTTAAAAATTACACTTGTAAAAGGCACTTACCGTGAATGGAGCTTGCAGAACTGGAAGTTGCTCTGGGTGAGTCAGTGAGTGACAGTGAATGTGAAGGCCTAAGGTATGACTGCACACTACTCTAGACTTTACAAACACTCTACACTTAGGCTACACTACATTTATTAAATAATATTTTTCTTTCTTCAATAATAAATTACCCTTAGCTTACTGTAACTTTTTACTTTATAAATTTTTAAAATTTTTTAACTTTTTGACTCTTTTGTGATCACACTTAGCACTTAAAGCACAAACTAATTGCACAACTGTATAAAAATATATTCTTTTTTTATATCCTTGTTCCACAAGCTTTTTTATATTTTAAATTTTTTTAAACTTTTTTGTTAAAAACTAAGACACAATTACACACATTAGCCTAGGCCTACAAAGGGTCAGATTCATGGATATTTCTATCTCCCACCTCCTCATCTTGCCCCGCTGGAAGGTCTTCAGGGGCAATAACACGCAGGGACAGCTGGGCCCAGTGGCTCACGCCTGTAATCCTAGCACTTCAGGAGTCCAGGGCAGGCGGATCGCTTGAGCCCAGGAATTTAAGACCAGCCTGGGCAACACGGCGAAACCCTGTCTCTACAAAAAATACAAAAATTAGCCAGGTGTGGTGGCACGTGCCTGTCGTCCCAGCTACTCAGGAGGCTGAGGCAGGAGGATCGCTTGAACCCGGGAAGTCAAGGCTGCAGTGAGCCGTGACCGCACCACTGTACTCCAGCCTGGGTGACAAGGTGAGACCCTGACTCAAAAAAGAAAAAAACGTGGAGCTAGGATAACAAGACCTACCTGAGGTTCTTAGGAGATGTCATGCATCAGAAATATGTCCATGGTGGTTTGCTTGCTTTCCTTTTTCATCATAGATTTGCTTGTAAGCAGACAGTGCATAAAGAACATTCCTCTCTGTTAATGAAACCCTTTTGGTGTTGAGGGGCCCATGTTTTCAGAATTTTTAAGGCGCTTACTGAGGTCTGCAAAAACTTCTCAGCTCTTCACTGTGAATTTTCATGGGGATTCTTTTTCTTCTGCAGTTTTTTCTTCCTTGCCTCTTCTTGAGGTATGTGTTCCTGTTCCAGTTCCAACAACTCCTCATTAGTCAGTTCCTCAGGAACCACCTGTAGGAGCTCCTCAATGTCTTCTTCTTCCACCCCCAGGTTAAAATTGTTTGCCATCTCAACCACAGCCTTGTTGGTTTTTGCAACCTCCTTGTCCTTGGCAAATCCTTTGAAATCACGGATGAACCTCTTGAGTGTCTTCTTCCAGATGTCATTTATACGTTCCTTGGTAACATCACCCCAAGCCCAAGCAAGGGTCCTGATGGAGTCGTAGATGTAATCCTTTCAGAATTGCATCAGCGTCTTCTCCGTGTCTTCCTTTGTTGCAGTAATAACCTGAGCAAAGCTGCTCCTCCTCAGGCAGTGGGCCTTAAAAGCTGCTGTAACTCCTTTACCCATTGGTTGGTAATCCTTAATCTCTTGTTTCAAGATCAGTCACTTGATGTGGCCTCTTACTGGCAACAATAGCCGTGGATTTTCTATGACAAAGGGACCGTGATGAACAAAGCAACACGAGATTAATTGAAGCACAAGAGAAAATAATGCAATCAAGAGGCACAGTAAACAAGACACGTTTATACTGCTGGTATAACCCAGTATTTCTTTTGTTTTGTTTTGTTTTGTTTTTGAGACAGGGTCTCACTCTGTAATTTAGGCTGGAGTGCACCGGCACCATCACAGCTCACTGCAGCCTTGACCTCCTGGGCTCAAGAGATCCTCCTACCCCAGCCTCCTGAGTAGCTGAGACTACAGGCATTCGCCACCACACCCAGCTAACTTTTAAACATGTTTTTTATAGAGATGGAGTCTCACCATGTTGTCCAGGCTGGTCTCAAACTCCTGGGCTCAAGCAATCCTCCAGCCTCAGCCTCCCAAAGTGCTGGGGTTACAGGAGTGGGCTACTGCACCCAGCCACATACTGTTTTACAATAAACTGTTTTTAATAAGTAGAAGGAGTACACTGTAAAATAACAATGAAAAGTACAGTATAATAAATACGTAAACCAGTAGCATAGTCACTTATTATATACTGTACATAATTGTATGTGCTATACTCTTATACAACTGAGAATGCAGGTTTGTTTACACCAGCATCACCACAAACATGATTAATGCATTGGGCTGCATTGGACTTTATGATGGCTACGACATCACTAGGTGACAGGAACTTTTCAGCTCCATTATCTCATGGGTCCATAAATCATATATGCAGTCCATCACTGACAGAAATTTCACTATGCCAGGCATGACCGTATAAGCCTATGTGCTCTCTTCCTGCTGCAATAAAGTCTCAGTCCTGCAACTCTGGGTTCATCATCTTTAGGAGAATGGAGGTGATAATACTCTCCATGTAGGCTTCAAATAAAGGAAGCTTTGCTGCTTGCTAATCTCAACTCAACAAGAGAGGCTCTAGGGACCAATTAGTTGGAGAAATGGTGACTTTGTTTCTTTTTTTTTTTTTCCTTTCTTAACTTTGTTCCTGATTTTAATGGAAATGCTTATTTTACTGTTGATATGTGGATCTGGCCTTTCCTTCTCAACATCTTTAAACTTTTAATTTTGAAATAATTATAAATTCATAGGAAGTTGCAAAGATAATGCAGAGTCCCGTGTACCCTTCACCCAGTGGTTCGCTTATTACCTATGTAATACAATTATCAAAACCAGGAAACTGATACCAGTGCAAAACTGTTAATCCAGGCCTTATTCCAATTTCACTCGTTTTTATGTGCACTCATTTGTATGTGAGTGTTTGTACACCTCTACCTAATTTGATCACATCAATAGTTAGATTTGTGTAGGCAGCACCTGAATCAAGATACAGAACTGTTTCATCTCTACCTAGGAAATCCCTGGCAGTACCTCTTCATAAATGACTTTGAAAGTAACTTGGCAAGATTGGTAGCTTTTTTAAACTTTCCTTTCACTATTATATACATGCAAAAAAAAAGGATACATAATTGAATAAGTGAATCGCTCAATGAATTCTCAGAAGACCGAGATCAAGGTGTCGGCAGGTTTGGTTTCTCCTGACGCCTCTCATCTTGGCTTGTAGATGGCCGCCTTCTTGCCATGTCCTCCCATGATCTTTCCTCTGTGCCTGCGTGCCCCAGATGTCTCTCTGCAGGTCCTAATCTCTTCTTCTAATAAGAAAACCAGTCGATTGGATTAGGACCCATCTTAATGGCCTCATTTTACTCATTTTAACTTAATTAATCACATCTCTTTAAAGGCTCTATCTCCAAATACATTTCAGGTACTGGGGGTTAGAGCTTCAACCTATGAATTTTGACATAACACGATTAATTTAGTCAGCTGGGCGCAGTGGCTCACGCCAGTAATCCCAGCACTTTGGTAGGCCGAGGCTGGTGGATCATTTGAGGTCAGCAGTTTGAGACCGGCCTGGCCAACATGGCGAAACTCCATTTCTACTAAAAATACAAAAATTAGCCCGTCATGGTGGTGGGCGCCTGTAATCCTAGCTACCTGGGAGGCTGAGGCAGGAGAATCGCTTGAACTGGGGAGGAAGAGGTTGCAGTGAGCCAAGATCATGCCACTGCACTCCAGCCTGGGTGACAGAGTGAGACTCCATCTCAAAAATAATAATTTAGCCCACAACACTGAAGGAATATTTTTTTAAATGCCTTTATTTTCTGGCTGGTCATGGTGGCCCATGCCTGTAGTCCCAGTACTTTGGGAGGCTGAGGCGGGCGGGTCATTTGAGGCCAGGAGTTCGAGACTAGCCTTGCCAACATGGCGAAACTCCGTCGCTACTAAAAATATAAAAAGTAGCTGAGTGTGGTAACACACATCTGTAATCCCAGCTACTCAGGAGGCTGAGGCACAAGAATCACTTGAACTGCCAGGAGGCAGAGGTTGTAGTAAGCGAGATTGCACCACTGCGCTCCAGCCTGAGCAACAGAGCAAGACTGTCTGAAAAAAAATAAAATAAAAATTCCTTTAGTTTCAGTAATGGAAAGTCATCCTTGTTGAAATTATAAAGATTTTGTTCCTTTACTTAGCCTAGTATTTGCTCTCTCAGTAAATACACAACTCTTACAGGATTGAAGATGATCCAGGAGCCACGTAATTAGTTTAACTACAATACCCCATTCCCATTCTCATACTTCAACAAGCATTTATCTCAACAAAATTATGTGAACAAATATGAACTTGAAAGAGCCAATCCTTTAAGATAAATCCCCATTGGTTAACTAGGCCTAAATTTAAAATAGACCTAAGTGGGACCTGGCACTGTAGCTCACATCAGTAATCCCAGCACTTTGGGAGGCAGAGGGAGGTGGATCACTTGAGCCAGGAATTTTTGAGACCAGCCTGGAGAGCATAGTGAGACTCCCCCATCTCTACAAAAAATTAGTCCACACCTGTAGTCCCACCTACTCAGGAAGCTGAGAGGTGGGAGGATCACTTGAGCCTGGGAGGTCCACACTGCAGTGAGCCGTGATGGTGCCACTGCACTCCAGCCTGAGTGACAGAGCAAGACCCTGTCTCAAACAAACAAAAAACACCTAAGTGAGCATTTGTTAACTAGATGTCACACACATGTACTGAGTTCCCCCCAAAACCCACACCTTTGTTCAGTTTGGGAACTCCAGAGTTCACCTGAACCAGTCAATCAGAGCTCACCTGCCTTAACCAATCAGGACTCAGATGTATCAACCAACCAGGCGTCATCTGTATCAACCAACCCAAACTGAGCTACACTGACCAATCAGAACTATGCAAGTTTCAATCCTTCATTTACATATGGACCTGATTGGAAACCTGGGTAGAATTTTGCTATAAATCCAGAACGCTTGCTTTGTTTTTTGAAACCCATCTTTGTTTTACACAGAAGACCATAACTCTGTGGTTTGGAAACTGTTCACGGCAATAAAGTCTCTTTCCTTCAAATTCCTTTTCAGAGAACTTCTGTTCACAGTTGCTAATGGAGTGAGTTAAAACAGCCTGGAAAGGAAGGAACTACTACCTGTTTGAGGGGAAAGCTCCATACAGTACTACCATATATGAAACTCCAGAAAATTCAAGCTAATCTCTAGTGATTGCCAGGGGAGAGGGGGATTACAAAGAGCCACGAGGAAACTTTTATGGGTAATTATGTTTGTTCAACAGCTTGATTGTGGTCATGGTTTCACAGATGTGCACACATATCAAAGCATCAAATTGTATTATGTGCAGTTTACTGTAAGTGAATTATACCTCAATCTGCATTTTTTTTTCTTTTTTTCTGAGATGGCCTCCTTCTGTGGCCTAGGCTGGAGTGGCCCAGTCTCTGCTCACTGCAACCTCCACCCCCAGGGCAGAAGCAATCCTCCCACCTCAGCCTCCTGAGTAGCTGGGACTACAGGCATGCATCACAATGACCAGCTAAATTTTTGTGTGTGTGTTTTTTGAGACAGGATTTGGCCATGTTGCCTAGGCTGGTCTCGAACTCCTGGACTCAAGTGATCCACCTGCCTTGGCCTTCCAAAGTGCTGGGATTACAGGCATGAGCTACCATGCCCGGCCCTCATTTTAAAAATGGCTTTATTACTGATAAGAGCTAGATTAGAGGATGCAGTGTAAGTATACTCTCTCCAGAATCTAATCACCCTACCATGCTGTGGGCCTTCTGGCACGAGGGACAGACTGCCTGTTAATTGCAGAGAACCACCCACACAGAGGAAGGCGAGCTGACTGAGCATGCTCAGTTCTTCCGGAACACTTGTCTTCCCACAGGGAAGGAGCAGGGGATGTTAGTCCAGCCTTCTGCAAATTTTTTTCTTTCTGTAAAAGGCCAGATAGTAAATAGTTTAGGCTTTGCAGACAGTCCCTGTCAAAACTCCTCAACTTTGTTGTAACATAAGAACAGCCATAGATAATACATAAATCAGTGAATGTGGATATGTTCCAATAAAACTTTATTTATGAACACAAATCTGAATGTCATATAGTTCACATGTTTCAAATTTTTTTATTTATTTTTAACCATTTGAAAACATAAGACCCACTTTTCGGCTCATGGGGCGTGCACACACAGGCTGTAGGCCACAGTTTGCTGACCTATACTCAAGGGAAATCCCTCTACCCTGAAGCATAAAGAAAACAAATTTCCCCCTAAAAATAAGCATTACAGAAAATACAGACACCTTTATTTAGATTAGTGCATATATTTAATAGTGTGATATTAGAAATACCTTGTCAACACATAGGGAAAAATAATATATTTTAAGCAATAAAACCAAGATTAAAATAGTCCATGATAGCTTTGTCACACAAAAAACAATGGTAGTCACTCTCCTCCCCGCGCACAAAAGGTGGCATCACTGGCTTGTTGAGTGGTACATTTTCTTACCTTGCTGCATGTTTTTCAGATAGTTCCTTAGTCATACACATGCTTAGCCTTGTAATGCCATGGGTATGAATCCTCCTTCATTGAATGTAAACCAGCAACTAAAGTGCTTGTTAGCCTGTGAGCCCTACAAACACCCACTCCCATATTCTAGGGCCTGTTTTTCTCTGTCCAGAGCTCTTAGCGTGCTTTATCTCCCAAAGATCCTCAATGATAAGCAGTCCACCATGAAGAATGCTGGTTGGTCATTCCATCTCGTGCTTTGTTCTGATGAGAAATGGGGTGACAAGACAGGACTCACTTTCTGATCACTACTGTGATGTTTGATTTCCCAGAGATTCAAGATCCTTCTGTGATGGAAGGATCAGAGAGGCCAGGCTGAGATGGCCAAGGACAGAAAAGGAGGAGGGGCAGAAGAAGTCCACTGTAAACCTAGAGGGAGGGGTGGCCCGGGTGTGATCCACAGGAGACTATGCAGGCCATCTCTCCCTCTGACCTTGGCTCTCTGGATCCATTAAAAGAAATTCCTCTTAGTCCTGGGAATAGAACTTTCAGGTGGCCCAAAAGTTCCACCAGAATTTGCCCTCCATCCATCAAGGCAGGAGTTCTTTGTTTAGTGGAAAGCAGAACTCTACAGTTTAAAAAATTTGCATTCAGTTCTTGGAGCCACTACTTCTTGGCCATGACCTCTGGGAAGTTATTTAACCTCTCTGGGCCTTCAGAGGGCTATCTGCAACATAAGAATGATAGTATCTCCTCTTCAAGGTTGATTATAAGGATCAAATGAGTATGTAAACTGCATATGTTATGTACATAAAGCGGTAAATGTTCACTCCCTTCTTCCTCATTACGCCCGATGACTTTACATTTGGGCTGCTGTCCCCTATGCCAGAAATTCACATTTGCATGCAAACAACCATAACCCTGGTCACCTGATAAGGCAGATTCTAGGCTTATGAAGCTCAATACTGGTTAAAAAAAAAAATCACATTTTCCTTCTAACACTATAGACAGTATTGAATTGGCTAGTTATACAGAAAGTGTAGGCATAAGCAAAGCAATTATTTTAAAAATAAAATGACACACTTTTTAGTTCTGCCTTTCCCCAGTAAATTACAATAAGTAAAAATAAGATGGTCCCATGAGGATGAATACTGCGGGAGATGACAAAAGCACCTAAAAGCTGAATTTTTTTTAAGAACCCATGGGGAAACATTTTCTCTGGCACTCCTGCCCTGGTGTTTAAATACCTTGCTTCTTCATCAGCAATGCATTCCTAGTTTTCCCATGTGTTAAAAAAGCATTGTGCAACAGGATATTGTTTAGGTGTGCTCACACTTGGTACCACAACACTGGTTCTATCTCTCATTCTAATCTTCCCACAAAAAATGCCAAGGGCACCACCAAGGCCACCAGCCTCAGGACCAAGGGTGGATGGGGAACTACCCTGAACCAGTCAACGTAGCAGGCTACAATTAACTCCAGTTAATTGCTCGGGAGTACTGCTTTGTGGGTGGGAATGTTTTAATTGTCTTTCATGTTTGAAATAAGATTTATTCGGTAGAAAAACTTAAATGTATTTTTAAACATATGAAGTGAATACATCTATGTCAAGTTATTTTGGAAAGTACCTGTCGGGGACCAGAGTATCATAACCACGCCATCCAAGTTAAGACTGACTGTATTTCAGAGTTTTGGAATATATACACAATTGCTGAGTCGTTATCCCTATCTATGGCAGTCCAAACGCACAGCCTACAGAACATAATAAATGCTTAATGAATTAATCACTTCTATTGCATTTAATGTAAACTGGGGATCCGTTTACATTAGAGAACTATACTGCTAAACAACACCGAGAGGAGTCAGTGTAGTTTTTCTTAGAGAAAGAAAAGATAATGTTACAATGCTACCTTCAACCTGCACGGCATTAAGCTCCTCCTCCCCTTTCTATTGCCTCAGTCCTTAGAATACGATTCTTCCTTAGCTCTTGAATGGCCAACAGCTGCTTTCTTGAGAGAGATGAAAACTGCCATTGACATAGCACAGAATTAAAAACCAGGAGGGCTTGGCACTGTGCGAGTGTTGCCGTCAGCACAGAAAGCTTGCTACATGCAAGACTCCGTACCTCCACAGATGGCCCGTGCCTCTTAGACAAGCTATTTTAACATACACAGCCATCTGACTGCAGGTCCTACAAGAGAAACCGTGTTTAGAATGCTGTTCCTTAGAGGCAATCACAGCAGCTAAGACAGAAATCATCCCTTTTTAAAACCTTGTTTCATTCACCTTCTCTAAGGTTCTACAGATAGAAATCGTTGTTCATCTTTAATATGAGATTGTGCCAGCTACAAAAACTCAAAACTCTTTTAAGTATATACCTTAGAGTTTTACCCAGCCTTTATTTCTATTAACAAGCATCTCAGTTAAAAGAGCAAAGTTTTTGTTTTGTGCCTTCAAAAACCGGTCTTTTAGTACGTGGGGATACACATCTAACCCACTGGGGAAGAAGGTCAATGAACTATTCTAAAAGAGTGGGTTTTGTGCTGTAACTCCCACTGACTGGTCTTGGATTCAAGGGGTCCTTCCACTTTACAATGAACTGCGCCATTATCTGTCCTTTGAGCAATAACTGAAGGAAGCTCCATTTCTGATGGAACCATTCATGGAAACCTTTGGATTCCCTCTCTCCATCTTTTCTCGGCTGAAGATTGTGTCCTGGTCACTGTCAAACTCAGACTCGGATACCATCAGGCTGGAGTTGTGCTCTGTGCTTCGGTGCTTGATACCTAGAGAGAAGCACAGAAGCATCTGAGGAGGAACGCCGTGATTCACTTCCAGCTGTCAGTCGTTGTGGTTGCAGGTCCTGTGATGGGCACGGAGTGGTGCTCTCCGCCCCTTGAAAGCAATCACTCAAAACAGCAGGCGGTTTGGGTTTCCTAGCAAGTAACTGCAGGGGCTTTGATGCCTCACCCGAGCTTCTGTCCCAGCTTTGACACTCGCCAGATGCTTGAGCCTGGGCAAGATACCGAACCTCTCTGAGCTTTCAGTCTCCTCCTCTATTCAACTGGAAGATAACAAAGCATCTACCCCATGAGTTTATGCTGAGGATTAAGTGAAATAGTGCATGTAAAGCTCTCTTGGCCCAGCCTTTAGTACATTGTAAGCATCCAACAAACGAAAGCTTCTGTGATTTTACCATTTGGTTAAAATATTTTTGGTAGAATATTTGATTTCAGGGGGTCAACCTAAGATACAGAACAGGTATAAGATTCAATTCCTACTCTCAAAGGATTTATGGTGTCTAGCTAGGGGTTTAAGACATAGACTTGGCTGGGCATGGTGGCTCACGCCTATAATCCCAGCCCTTTGGGAGGCTGAGGTGGGAGGATCACTTGAGGCCAGGAGTTCGAGGGTACAGTGAACTATGATCGTGTTGCTATGCTCTAGCCCAGGTGACAGAGCAAGACCCTGTCTCGGGAAAAAAAACAAAAACAAGACATAAAAGGCATAGACTCATGAGAAGATGGCTCATAACAGGTTAGATGTTTTTTAAATTGTATATGAATTAGGAGATAAGCACATATACTTATGGCAGGGGTTGCTTCAGTAATGTTTCCCATAGGGTGATGTTGCAGAACTTTCTCCTTAGTTCAGCTAAAACCAGGCTCTTGTCACACTACCAGGAAAGATTAGGCTCACGGAAACATAGAGGGGTGAGAAAAATGGAATTTATTGGTCAAAAAGGAAACAAAAACTCTCAGCAAATAGAGAGGGGGTCTTGCCAACAACCTCCTGCCTCACAGATTGAATCCCAGGTTACCACACAGAAACTGAAGAGGCCAGGCTCCTCCCCACTGCAAATGACACGAACTTCCTGTGGCTCCATCCTCTTTCCCCAGTGCGCAGGTGGACATTACTTAGGGAGAATCAGCTGGGAAAGGGCAGGGCCTTCACTGGGGACCAGCAGTCCAGTTTTTCAGCCTTCAGGCTGTTTTAGGCTTGGAGGTGGGGTTTCGCCAGGGACTCTTGGCTGTCTCCTGTCTCTATCAGTGAGATTTGAAGAAGAGATTTTAGACAAGAGGACGGGGAAGGTCATGGAGTATGCAGAAGCATCCGGGAATATTTAGAAAAAAACTGGTTTGTTTGGAGCAAATGATTCATGTAGGAAATAATGAAGGAGAGAGGCCGGAGAAAGGCAGGGACCTCACAGAAAAGCACATGAATACAAAGTAAACCATGAAGTTTGGATTTTATCCTAAAAGCAGAGAAATGACACTATTAAAATGTTGTTCTGAGACATTAATAAAACCACAGTGTGCAGGATGGAAGACGGACAGTAGACATAGAGGTTGCTGTGGTCTGAATGTTTGCACCCCCACAAATTCATGTGTTGAAATCTAATGCCTAAATGGTGGTACTAAGAGGTGGGGCATTTGGGTGGTGATCGAATGGGATTAGTGCTCACATAAAAGAGGCACCAGAGGCCAGGTGTGGTGGCCCACACCTGTAATCTCAGCACTTTGGGAGGCCGAGGCGGGTGGATCACTTGACGTCAGGAGTTCGAGACCAGCCTGGCTGACATGGAGAAACCCTGTCTCTACTAAAAATACAAAAAAGATTAGCTGGGCATGGTGGACAGGTGCCTGTAATCCCAACTACTTGGGAGGCTAAGGCATGAGAATTGCTTGAACCTGGGAGGCAGAGGTTGCAGTGAGCTGAGATTGCACCACTGCATTCCAGTCTGGGGGATAGAGCAAGACTCTGTCTCCAAAAAAAAAAAAAAAAAAAGAGGCACCAGAGGCTGCCTTGCCCTTTGCACCATGTGAGGATGCAGTGAGGAGGCACCAACTATGAGGAAGCGGCCCTGCCCAGATGTTGAATTTGCCTTCCCAGCCTCCAGAACTGTGGGTAATAAATATCTGTTGTTCATAAGCCTCCTCTTCTGTGGCATTTTGTTAGAGCAGCCCAAACAGACCAAGGCAGAGGCAGTGCAACATAGAGGAAGAGCCCAGCCTCCACCCCACCTTCAGCACTCACCAGCTATGTTACTTGGGCAAGTTGCTAAACTTTCCTTTGCCTCAGTTTCCTCATGTGTAAAATGGGGATAATCATTGCACATACCTCGTACCGCTATGGGCAGGATTAGAATTCAATGGGTAAAGTACTTGAGATGTACCTAGTACATATTCAACATTAAATACCTGTTTATTATTACTATTAGTTCACGGGTGAAACTGTAAGGACCTGAACTGGGGTGGTGATGGTAATGACGAGGAAAGAGGGCAAGAGTCTAGCAAGTGCGGGTGTCTGGAGTGGGGGGCGGTGTGTGTGGAGCACCAGCGACTGAGGTTTCAAACTGGGGCAGTGAGAATGGGGGTTCTATGAATAGAAACAGGAATGTCAGAAGGATGAGTGTATTTTAAGACAAAGATGGGTGAGATAATGCAACCTAAAGCACGTTGAGCTCTTAGGTAAACGTCACTATAATACTTCTGATATTATGCAATGCAAATGGTGAGCACTCAATGTATGCCACTATTTGTTCTTCCTGTGAGGCTCTTCCTGCCAAAGCCCTATTAGCTACACTCTCTGTACACGATCAGTCATTCTGACCTGAGTGTTCCTACCCGGCATCGTCCATGCACTGATAGAACTCCTTGCACTCCAGTATAATTACCCTCCCTCAGGCTGTGAGCTCCTGTAAAGGCAGGCTCTGTGCTTCCTCCTCTCCCAGTCTCCAGGGCCTAACCCGGTGCCTGTGCACAAGGTAGGCATTCAACACTCACTGTGAACAATGTTTTGCACCTCACAACTCTGAAAAAGATTATATCTTCCATAAAAATTATCTTAGTCATAAGCCCAGAATTATGGAAAATCTATAGAATCGGTGTTTAGCAGCCTCAGAGGGCCAGAGAAGTTTCATTAAGTATGCAACAGTTAATAAACGAGAATGAAAAAGTTAACCGAGGTGGGCAACAGGTGCTCCTAAGCATAGGGATCAATACACTTTGTGAAGAAAGTCAATTTTCTGTAAAGCCTTTGTGTCCATCTTTATCAATGGCTAATTAGATAACGCAGCTGCTGAAAAATGTTAGGCTTTAAAGTCCAAATGTCCTCTTGCTGCATTTCTGTCCTAGCAGACCTAAAGGGAACAGCGTTCAGAGCTGAGCTGTGGGAGTGTCTTCAACTGCCCCCACCCTCCACCCGCGAGTAGAAAAAAAAGCAGGTGCTGGGGACATCTCTGTTTAAAAAGCAGTCTTTGCCCTGTGGTCATTGGTAGGTGCCCAGCTGATAACATTTCATATCCCTCATCCATTAATGCCTCAAAGTATTACACCAAAATTTCATTAAATTTATAATGAACCCACTGCCTTCTGCCCCCACCCCCGCATTAGCATATCCTCAGGATTGATGAAGGTTATTTTTCTTTTTCTTTCTTGAGACAGAGTCTCAGTCTGTAGCCCAAGCTGTAGTGCAGAGGTGTGATCTCAGCTCACTGCAACCTCCACCTCCCAGTCTCAAGCTATTCTTCTGCCTCAGCCTCCCGAATAGCTGGGACTACAGGCGCACACCACCACGCCCGGCTAATTTTTTTTTTTTTTGTATTTTTTAGTAGAGATGGTGTCACCATGTTGCCCAGGGTGGTCTCGAACTACTGAGCTCAGGCGCCTTGGCCTAAGTGCTAGGATTACAGGCATGAGCCACTGGGCCCGGCCTGAAGGTTGTTTTTCATCACAGAATCCCAGCCTCACTCTTCCTTCCCAATTAAAGTGCTGACTCCAGCAAATCGTTCTCCCTCTATCCAAGTTAGCCCTCAGGCCTACCTAGGTTAAATCATATAAAGGTGCCAGGCAGTCATTCTGCAGACTGTCTTACCATATTTGGGCCTCAGTTCCATTCTTTCCTGTTCATCCATGTTATCCAGGATGGTGTACTTTGTTTTTTTCCTGATTTTAGTCCTTTTTTGTCTGAAAGGAACAATGAAAAGCTCAACTCAGATCTTTAGAAAGGTAACTGAGAGCTAGGATTTAACGCACAGTAAAGACACTAAAGGAAACATTTTGCCTTTATGATGTGATAGTTGGCGTCTTTTATTAAAGAAACATACACAAGGCCAGGTCAGAGCTCAGAGGGCCATTATGCATCTTGGAGAAACACATTTCTGGGTATAAACAGCCACATCACTCTTGCCCACCTATCTACAGGTCTCAGCTAAGCCTCAGGCTGCAGTGCCAATTCTCAACACTTGTGTGTTGGCCCAGGGAGCTCTTCTTCCTGAGTAATTCCTTATTCAGAAAAGCCTGGATGAGCAAATGTTCCCCTGAACCTGTATCACCCTGCTATGTCCAATGCTGCAGTAATGAAAAGGTGTCATGAACTAGCAATCAGAAAAAAATAGCAAAAATTATAATAAATTCCCACAATTAATTAGCAACAGCTGCTCCCCACCTTTTTCTTTTTTTTTTTTCCTCAACACATGAAAATTATGCTGGTCCCATGTGCCTCATCCTATGTACAGAGACTATTTGAAAATACACATCCAAACCATGCCAAGGCACGCAGAGAACAAAATAGTAATTTCATAGTAAAAAAGCAATATTCTGGGAGCATGATGATCAGAAGCATAGGTCTCAATTTAGCACTTGCTAGCTGGTGACTTAGAGAAAATTAATTGAGACTTTTGTGCCTCCATGTCCTCACCTGTAAAATGGGAGTAAGAATAGTCCCTTTCTCACATGGTTGATGAGAGGACTGAATAAGATAATACAAACAAAGCACTTAGCCATTAATCACAATGGCAAATACTTCATAAATGTTCACAGTTATCACTACTAGCATCATCATCTTCTACTTGATAGACATGTCACAAAGCTGCAGATGTTTAATGCCATACACAGTAGGGTCACATATGGCTCTGGGAAAACTTAACGGGATTTAGGCCTCTAAGTGCCTGCACCTGGCTCCCTTTCACCAGTCTTACTTTGGGAACGTAATCACAAATAAAACCAAAATAATCTATAAGTGATTTCTGAAAAATAACTATTAAAATACACTCCTTTTTTTTGAGATGGAGTTTTGCTTTTGTTGCCCTGGCTGGAGTGCAATGGTGCAATCTCAGCTCACTGCAACCTCTTCCTCCCGGGTTCAAGCGATTCTCCCGCCTCAGCCTCCCAAGTAGCTGGGATTACAGGCATGCACCACCACGCCCAGCTAATTTTGTATTTTCAGTAGAGGTGGGGTTTCTCCATGTTGGCCAGGCTGGTCTCCAACTCCTGACCTCAAGTGATCCACCCACCCTGGCCTCCCAAAGTGCTGAGGTTACAGGCATGAGCCACCTAGCCCAGATTAAAATATACGTTTTTTAAAAATCACACCTTTGGAGAGCAGTTACAATGTTTCACATGAAAGAGTGGACCTGATGCTCTCTTCTAAGGACAGAGGGTTGAGCATGGGGTTCTGGAAGATTTGGCCAGTGAGGTAGCTTGAGGCTTCTCAGGGGTCAGCTCCATGGAAAAAGGAAACACCTAAAGCAAAAGTTCTCTTTGGCGGTGTTATTGCCTCGCTTACAGTTTCAAATTTATTAAAAATGATTCAGGTGGATTCGATTATTGCTTTACATAATGAAAATAATCAAAACCTACCATTTGTAACAGTATACTTCCAGAACTCCTTCCTCTATTGAGACCTGTAAGGCCACTTAGGTACTTGTGAGATAGATATATATATATATATATATACACACACACACACACACACACACACACACACACACACACACGCACATATATATATATATATATCTGTATGTATGTTTTCATCACAGTTCCTGGCTAATAACTCCCACGGCCCTTGTTATAATGCTGGGGCACTTTAGGCCTCAGAAAACAGAATCTCCCTCTCTCTCTCTGACCTTCTCCTGCCTTCTTTCACCTGCTTTTTATTCTCCCCAAAGCAAGAAACTTCCCCTGCCTTTCTGTCTCGGAGCTGGCTAGAAAGACATTCTCTGACCTACTTTGTCTGATTATAGGTCATAAAACCCTCATTTCAGAAAGAGTTCTGCCTCCTACGAGGAGAATGGAGTGCTTTACAGAGAGGCTGAGAAGAATCTGGACAGGCCTTGCTGGGCTTCCCCACTCAGCCTGTTAGTATCACATCATACCCTTTTTGTCCAACTACTTTTCTATAACTATCCAATGAAGTCTTCATAAAAGACCCAAGACGACAGGGTTCAGGGAGCTTCTGGACAGCCAAACATGTGGAGGTTCCTGGAGAGTAGCATGCCCAGAGAGGGCATGGAAGCTCTAGGCCCCTTCCCCATATCTCACCCTATGCATCTCTTCATCTGTATCCCTTGTAATATCCTTTGTAATAAATAACCAATGTGTTTCCTTGAGTTCTTTGAGCCACCCTAGCAAAATAACTGAACCCAAAGAGGGAATTGAGGGACCCAATTTAGAGTCAGTCAGAAGCCCAGGTAAAACGACCTGGGGTATGCAACTGGCATCTGAATGGGGTGGGCAGCAGTCTTGGGGACTGAGTCCTTAACCTGTGGGATCTGACGCTATCTCCAGGTAGACAGCGGCAAAAGTGAATTGGAGGACACCCAGCTGGTGTCCACTGCAAAGCTGTTGCTTGACTGGTGTGTGCGAAGAAACTCCCAAACAATGGTCACAGAAGTCTTCTGTATTGATTGTGGTTGAGTGAGAAAACAGTACCACTCTAGTGAATATAATGTAAGACTGATAGAGAATAACATTAGATATGATACAGAATCGTTGACCCTCCTAGAAAACACAAGAGCTGCAATGAGAAAAAGCTGCCTCTAATATTCCATTTATTTAGGCACTTATGCTTTGTGGCAGAAAGTGCATTATTATAATAAACAGCTTAGTGGTTTAACAAGTCCAAGTAAACAATTCCTAAGCTGTCAAAACACACTTAGTGTAGGGTCTCTATTTCCCAGGAATAAGCACTCTAGGTACCTTTTGCAGCAGCAGATGCAAAGCCAAGTGAAACCTCCTGTTAGCACAATAAGAGTAAAAGCCAACACTGTCACATAGAATATACTCCACTCTGAAACACAAGAAAACCAAAGTGGACATAGTTACAGGCTATTTGTAGAACAACTTTATTTTGATGATTCATAACAACTATTTCTGAATCCCTACAAGGAAAGGCCACCTGTGGAGTTGATAACATCAGACTGGTAGCAGAGCAGAGCAAGGTAAAATACAGATAAATCAAGAACTGTAAAACTAAAACTGCCCTGTTTTTATCTATTGGGTTTCAGGGCCTCACGGAGCACATATTTCATGCGAACTTGGGAACAGAATAATCTGAAATAACTAAAATTAGTCAATTACATAGTAATGCCTCTTATATAAACACACATGTATACCACATCAAAATATTCATTCCAGAATGCCAAAAATCACAACCCCTACCCCTGAAAGTTCTGGCTTGGTTTTAATAAAGCATCTATATGGCTGTTTATGGCATGAAGACATTTTTCACGGCCAGAGAGCAATTCAGAAACTACTTGACCCTCATTCCTTCCACATCCTTACAGAAATCTAACGTGAAAAGCTTTCAACAGTAATTCAGAGACAGAGAAGCCCAGTTTAAATCTACTAGGGAGCAAAGTTTAACTCTATTAGGCAGGGTGCGGTGGCTCACGCCTGTAATCCCAACACTCTGGGAGGCCGAACGGGGCAGATGACTTGAGGTCAGGAGTTTGAGACCAGCCTGGCCAACATGGCAAAACCCTGTGTCTACTAAAAATACAAAAATTAGCTGGACATGATGGCACACACCTGTAATACCAGCTACTTGGGAGGCTGAGGCAGGAGAATTGCTTGAACCCAGGAGGCAGAGGTTGCAGTGAGCTGAGATTGCGCTATTGCACTCCAGCCTGGGTGACAGAGCAAGACTCCATCTCAAAAAAAAAAAAAAAAAAAAAAAGGTTTAACTTTATTAAATGTTATATAATTTCATTGGAATAATGATCCAAGGGCTGGCTATTTTCTGATTTTTATATAGTATTAAATGGGAATATACTTTGGCAGTCAGCTCTTACTATCCTTGGTGCCAATTATGTCCATCTGGTTCCCCAAACAACAAATTTACTTAGTAGACTGCCATTAAAATATAGTTTTCTCCCCAGAAGGGGCACCAGCTTGCCCTGCTGTGGCTCCAGTTTTTGGTGCCTGCCTGTGTGAACAGCTGGAAGAGTGGGCCAAATTCTCTTCTTTACCTGATTCTAGAAGATCCATACCAGGGGCCACTTCACCAGAAAATCACACTGAGCCTAAGCCAAGGCAGGTGTAACCTGGAAATGCAGCCCGTGGCCCAAGCAATTCTTTCTTAGAAATGCCAGCAATAGTGAGCCAATTCTGCTCTGCCAAAGGGAATTTTCTCATTAGGAAGTTTTATGTAAAAGCCTAAACACATCCCACAAAGTAGATTGTAAGAAGGGTCTTAACTTACTACCAAGTGAGCTGGTTCACTTGGCTTCAGGTGAGAAAAGCACTGAATGTTTATAACTGCAGAGCTAGGCAGATAGTTCTCTTTTTCTATCTTTTCTCTTTTCTTTCCCTCTTTCCCTCCCTTCCCTCCCCTCCCCTCCTCTGCCCTCCTCTCCCCTCCTTCCTTCCTTTCTTCCATTTTTTTTGAGACAGGGTCTCACTCTGTCCACTCACTGCAGACTCAACTTCCTGGGCTGAAGCAATTGTCCCAGCTCATCCTCCTGAGTAGCTGGGACTACAGGCACACGCAACCACACTCAGTTAATTTTTTAAGAAAGGGTCATACTATGTTGTCCAAGCTGGTTTGGACCTCCTCTCAAGCAATCCTCCCACCTCAGCCTCCTGAGTAGCAGAGACTACAGGCATGCATCACCATGCCTGGCTTATTTTGTTATTTTTTTGTAAAGGTGAAGTCTCACTATGTTGCCCAGGTTGGCCTCGAATATTAGGCAGATATTTCTGATACCTGAGAATGAGCTGCCTTAAGGCTCCTCACCCAAAGCCTCCTCTATACCAGAACTCACCACAGTTGCTCTCTCCATCCCAGATATAACGCTGTATAAGGTTCTCCATCCATAAGTGAGAGCAAATGCAGCGCTTTGTGAGGGGGTCGCAGTGACCATGGCCAGAACACTTCAGAAGGCAACCTGCAAAGAGGTGTGTAGGGCTGAGGGCAGCATGCAGAAAAGGGAATCCCTGGATTCAGCTTCTTTTGTATCTTCAGTAGCATAGGTCCCAAATAAAAGCATCTTGTTGAATTAAGAGCCTCTTACAGTGTGGACAGGGGTTCTGGAGATAGTCTCTCATCACTGACAATCTCATCAGAAAGCAAATGGCAGAAAAAGCCAGTCCACACCACGCAGCAAAAGCCTTAAAAATATTGGGAGGCCGAGGTGGGCAGATCACAAGGTCAGGAGATCCAGACCATCCTGACCAACATGGTGAAACCCCATCTCTACTAAAAATACAAAAATTAGCTGGGCATGGTGGCACATGCCTGTAGTCCCAGCTACTCAGGGGGCTGAAGCAGGAGAATCACTTCAACCAGGGAGTTGGAGGTTGCAGTGAGCCGAGATCGCGCCACTGCACTCCAGCCTGGTGACAGAGCAAGACTTTGTCTCAAAAAAAAAGTTTACTGGCTGGGTGCGGTTGCTCACGCCTGTAATCCCGGCACTTTGGGAAGCCAAGGTGAGTGGATCACTTGAGGCCAGGAGTTTGAGACCAGCCTGGCCAATATAGCGAAACCCCACCTCTACTAAAAATACAATAAATTAGCTGGGCGTGATGGTGTGCGCCTGTAATGCCAGCTACTCAGGTGGCTGAGGCACGAGAATCACTTGAACCCAGGAGGCAGAGGTTGCAGTGAGCCGAGATCACACCGCTGCACTGCAGCCGGGGCAACAGAGGGACAGAGCTAGACTCAAAAAAGTAGCAAAAACATAACATTGTCTGGCCTAAGAAAATAATTCTAAGTATTTATCTGGAGTGCAATGGCAATTATTGAGGACATGCCCAAAGATTTATCTACATTATAGCATTATCTTTAAAACCAACCCTAAAACCCATGGATAAGAAACTGGTTGCATAATTATGGAGCATATCCAGGGTAGAATACTATGTGGCCATAAAAATTTTATTGAAGAGAAATTTTAAAGGATTGGGGAACATAATCATAATATACTTTTTTTTTTTAAGAGACAAGGTCTTGTTGCTATGTTGCTGTGGCTGGTCTCAAACTCCTAGCCTCAAGACATCCTCCCTCCTCAGCCTCTGGAGTAGCTGGGATTACAGGCATGTGCTACTGTTCCTGGCTCATAATATGATTTGAAGTTAAAAATCAGATTAAAAATATATATCATGTCATCCTGATTGTAGAGATGGTGGAACTGGAAAAACATATATCAGAGTATTAATAAAAATTTTCTTTGGATGGTGAGAATTTTGGACCTAGAATTTAGAGAATTATTTTCCTCTTTGTGCCTCTCTGGATATTCTAAATTTTGTACAATAAATAAATATTATTTTTGTAGCTAGAAAAAAAAAGGAGTTATTGGCTGGGCGTGGTGGCTCAGCACTTTGGGAAGCTGAGGTGGGTGGATCACTTGAGGCCAGGAGTTTGAGAACAGCCTGGCCAACATGGCTAAGGCTCTACTAAGCCATGATGGCTAAGGCCATCTCTACTAAAAATACCAAAAAAAAAGAAAAGAAAAAAGGAGTTATTAAAAATTAAGTTACTCCATATTATAATTGAGAAAGTCAATTGTAGATGGATATATATATATCTAGATAGATAGATAGATAGATAGATAGATAGATAGATAGATATCTGAAACAAATTAAATTTTACTGCCCAAACATTATCATTTCCCTTGTAACTCTCATTTCCCTGGAGTCTACTGAAATAACCACTTCAACATAACAAGAGATTCATGTTACTCATGAAATAAAGATAGAAACAATGGGACTATGAATCATTTGAGTACCCTGGAAGGGGTGGTGAGCATGGAGCTAAGAAAAGAGGCACACCTGGAGAAGGCATTTGCAAGCTGTCTTAAATTTTCAAGGAGCTACATGACATTATCATCACAACCTAAGGCATGATGTCCAAGGTAAATAAATTATATAAACATGGCTTTTGCAGCCAGTAACACTTATTTGTCTTTAACACTGTTCTTTCTGCCAATAGCCATTATCTTGTGAGTATAATCTTAACTTTAGGCCCATAATTATTATTGTTTTCCATTTTTCTTCCAAGACCAAGAGTAGTTGGCAAATGCATGCTGCAGGAAACTCTATTGGAGAAATAAATGTAAAACAAGTCCCTGGATGCTAAAGTGAAAATGTTCACATGTCACTCCTCTTCTATGTTTGTCAAACTTATCCATGATTGGCAAGTCTGATTGTTTTAGAATATTCCATAGGAGACCTACCTGCTGTATCAACCCTCAAGACCTTGAAAAGCAAGAAGTCAGCCTTCTCCTTTGAGAGCCGCATGTGCAGATTTCGGGCCACTTCAGCAGCTTTGAGAACCTTGAAAGGCGGCCTGCTCTGTACATAAAACACAATCACGGTGCTGTGGAGGAGACAATGAGAGAGGACAGCCACATGGTCAGATGGTGACTACCATGACACGCCCACCACAGCATCTGACCTGTGAAACTGGGGAGGTAGACGGCTACAGCTCTGTGGCTTGCCAAGGACAGGGGCGTATCTGTGAGCCAAGGAATTGATGTTTCTATTCACAAAGCCTCTTCAGTCTCAACGTACAGCTGATCAAAGACAGACAGATCTTCAGATAAAAGAAGCAATGTGTAAATTATGTATCAGTTTTTGAAAATCCTAACCAAATGGGTCTGGAGAGCTATCAGGTTAGTGAACAAGAATGCATCTATGTGCTGGGATGTATGAAGTGTTACATCCATGGGGATGGAAGCTCCCATGCACAGGACCCTTCTAGATCTTGCCCTATGTACCTTTTCATCTGGCTGTTCATTTGTATCCTTTAATATATTCTTTGCAATAAATCCATAATAGTAAAAAAAAAAAAAGGAGCAATGTATAAATGTGTGCAAAAAGACAAATATACACAAAATAACTTGCAGACATGTCTTTCTTTTTACCTTTTTTTGATTGAGATATAACTTACATATCATAAAATTCACGCTTCTAAAGTGTAAATGGAATGGCTTTTAGTATATTCACAAAGTTGCACAACCATCACCACTATCAAATTTCAAAACATCTTCATCACCCCAGAAAGACAATCCACACTCATTAGCACCTCCTCCCCACAGTCCCGGGCAACCACTAATCTGCTTTTGGTCTCTATGGATTTGCCTCTTCTGGACACTTCAGATAGATGGAATCATACAATATGAGACCTTCTGTGTGTGGCTTCTTTCACTTACCATCATGTTTTCAAAGTTCATCCATGTTGTAGCACACATCAATACTTTATTCCTTTTTATTGCCAAATGATATTCTGTTGTATGAATATATCACATTTTGTATCCACTCATCAGCTGGTGGACACTTGAGTTGCTTCCACATTTTGGCTATTATGAATTTGTGCTATGAACATTCATATACAAGTTTCTGTGTAGACATAAGTTTTTCATTTTTATTGAGTATATACCTAGGAGTGGAATTAATGGGTTATATGGTAGCTGTATGCTTAGCATATTGAGGAACTGCCAAACTGTATTCCACAGTGGCTGTACCATTTTACATCCCCACTAGCAATGTATAAATGTTCCAGTTTCTCCACAGGCTCGCCAGCACTTGCTATGGTCTGTCTTGGATTCTAGCCATCCTAGCAGGTGTGAAGTGATATTTCAACATGGGTTTGGTTGGCATTTTCCTGGTGGCTAATGGTGAGCACCTTTTCATGTGCTTATTGGCCATCTGTATATCTTCTTTGGAGAAATAGCTACTCCAATCTGTATTCATCCCCTAGGGTTGCTGTGAAACACGTCCCACGAAGTGGCTTAAAACAACAGAAACCTCTTCTCACAGTTCTGGAGGCCAGAAGTCCAAAATCAAAGTGTTCTGTTAGCTCTGGTGCTGCCAGCAATCCTTGGTATTCCTTGGCTTGTGGAAGAATCTCTCCAGTCCCTGCCTCGGTCGTTACATGGTGTTCTTCCTGTGTGCCTCTCTCTATGTCTCTTGTCCTCTTCTTAGAAGAACACCAGTCATATTGATTTAAAAGCCCACCCTACTCCAGTATAACTTCTTAACTAATTACATCTGTAATGACCCTATTTCTAAGTAAGGTGACATTCATAGGTACCAGAGGTTAGGGCTTGACTATATTTTGGTGGGGGGCAGGGGGTGGATATAATTCAACCCACGGCAAGTGTTTCATCATGAAAGGGTGTTGGATTTTGTCAAATGCTTTTTCTGTGCCTATTGAGATGATCCTGTGGTTTTGTCCTTTATCCTATTAATGTGGTTTATGACATTTATTGATTTTTATATGCTGAACCACACTTGCATTCCTGGGATAAATCCCACTTGGTTATGGTCTATAAACCTTGTAATAAGTTGCTGGATTCAGTTTGATAGTATTTTGTTGTAGATTTTTGCTTCTATATTCACAAGGGATATTGGTCTGTAGTTCTCATTTCTTGTGATGTCTTTGTCTGATTTTAGTGTCAAGGTAAAACTGGTCTTACTGAATGAGTTGGGAAATGTTCCCTCCTCTTCTATTTTTTGGAAGTTTGTGAAGGACTGTTCATTCTTTAAACATTTTGCAGAATTAATCAGTGAAGCCATCTGGTCTTGAATTTTGTGGAAAGTTTTAACATTACTAATTCAATCTCTTTATTTGTTATAGGTCTATTTAGATTTTTAAGTTCTTCTCAAGTGAGTTTTTGTAATTTATGTCTGTTTAGGAATTTGTCCACTTAATCTAGGTTATCTAATGTGTTGACATACAATGATCCATAATATTCTCTTATAATCCTCCCCCACCCACATTTTTTGGAGACTGGGTCTCATTCTGTTGTCCAGGCTGGAATGCAATGGTGTGAACATGGCTCACAGCAGCCTCAACCTCCCAAGTGATCCTCTCACCTCAGCCTCCTGGGTAGCTGAGACCATGGGCGTGTGCCACCATGCCTGGCTAATTTTTTTTTTTTTTAAGATGGAGTCTCGCTCTGTCACCCAGGCTGAAGTGCAGTGGCGCGATAGCTCACTGCAACCTCTGCCTCCTAGGTTCAAGCAATTATCCTGCCTCAGCCTCTTGAGTAGCTGGAATTACAGGTACCTGCCACCACACCCAGCTAATTTTTGTATTTTTAGTAGAGACGAGGTTTCGCCATGTTGGCCAGGCTGGTCTTGAACTCCTGACCTCAAGTGATCTGCCCACCTCGGCCTCCCAAAGTGCTGGGATTACAGGCGTCAGCCACCGCACCTGGCCACCTGGCAAGTTTTTTGTGGAGATAGCATTTCGCCATTGCCCAGGTTGGTCTCGAACTCCTGGGTTCAAGCTATCTGCCTGCCTTGGCCTCCCAAAGTGTTGGGATTACAGGTATGAGCCACTGCATCCAGCCCTTTTTATTTCTATAAAGTCAGTAGTAATGTGCCTTATTTCATGCCTAATTTTAGTAGTATGAGTCTTCTCTATTTTTTCTTAGTCAATCTAGCTAAGGATTTATCAATTTTGCTGATCTGTCCAAGAAACAACTTTTGGTTTTGTTGATTTTCAGACATGTCTTTGATTCAGTATTTTATATTTTACGAGGGAAATATATGATCCATTTTAGAAAGAGTTCCTTAGAAAATAATTAGAACATGTTTAAATTTGGTGTTTTTCTAAGTGAACTTCAGTTCTCTGGAAAACTAACCAAAGTGGAAGAGCTGACAATAGCTAGGCAAATGGAGTTACTGTGAATAGTGGGTTTTCATTCCCATATTCTTTTTCTCCCTCCTCCCACTCCACCCTGAGCTAGATAAGACTTTAAAAGTAAAATTCAGCCAGGCATGGTTGCTCACACTTATAATCCCAGCACCCTGGGAGGCCTAAGTGGGCGAATCACTTGAGGTCAGGAGTTTGAGACCAGCCTGGTCAACAAGATGAAACCCTGCCTCTACTAAAAATACAGAAATTAGCCGGGTATAGTGGGGGCACCAGTAGTCCCAGCTACTCAGGTGGCTGAGGCAGGAGAATCACTTGAATCTGAAAGGCGGAGGTTACAGTAAGCTGAGACCATGCCACTGCACTTTAGCCTAGGCAACAGAGCGAGACCCTGTCTCAAAAAATAAAAATAAAATAAAATAATAAATAGATTAAATAAATAAAACTCAATTAAATACAAAGATGTCATGAAAAATAAAGGCCAGAGTTTCAGCCTCATATACTCCCAGGAGATGGCAAATGGTAATCAGTGATCCTTTCACATTGAGAGAAGCCTCAGTCCCCATGAACGTGGGGCAGGGATGCAGCCCAGCTGTGAGACATCCTCTTCACATGCTCCAGACCCCTTGCCCAGCTCTGAAGACACCAGAGCTAACAACCGTCTCCCCTGCTGTTCCCCAGCACCTCCTTCACTCAGAACATTCCCAATCAGCAAACATTTACTGAGAATTTTAGGAAGGACCTAGCATGATGTTGGCCATACTACTGCCCTTTGAGAAAAAAAGTATATGAATGGGATAAAAGTGTGTCAAAAATACAAAAGTAGCAGAGGAATGAACAGTTTTCTACTGGACTGGGATGAGGTAAGAGCTGGAATTTTGTACGGCCAAGGCCCCGCCTTGAGTGTGCAGCTCCTACCTGAGATCCGAGTGGGCCCGAATCTTCTGGACCTTAATGTCCGAGTCCAGCACGTTCAGCAGCACAGCCAGCTGCCTCACAAGGGTGTCCTTCCGCTGCTCTGTCAGCTGCCCAACACCAACCTGCAGGGTCAGCTCCACCAGGCCACTCTTCCTAGGGTCTGGGGAAAGAGAAGATACAGGATTTGCACTTGGACATTTGCACAGGCTTTAGAGCATAAGGAGCGAGGTTTCTATAGGAGCTCAAAGTTACTCCTATGCCATTTCTACATTTGAGTTGTAGCACTCAGGTAAATTCTTCTAAACACCGCAAAGGCCACTATCTGGGAGTACTTTCCCTTGTTTTATCACAGTTTGTTGTTTATAATTTTTTTTCCAGAAGATAATCGGGTGTACCTAATTAGCCTCTGGGCTAGCTGAAAATTTCAGCCTCTTCCACATTTTCCCAGGACCAGAAAGAGAATTTTGCTTCCAAGTGCCAATGGGCACTTCCCAGTCCAGTTTATGCTGAGGTCGTTACAGCCACTTCACTGGAGCTGCCTCCCTCTGTGCCCTGGTATGAGGCCCTTGTGTCCACTTCACATTAAGTCTTTGTCTTCTGGCAGGAAAACAAACATGAAAAGAAAATCTAGTTGCCAGATAACATTCTCTTTTAAAGAGTGATGAGGCTGGATCTATCTGGGGATACACAACAAGGTGTAAGAGACATCCTCAAAGTGGGTCCAGCCAAGAGCTGGAGCCAGCCACAGGAGGCCTCCCACACTGGTCACATCTGTCAGCGTAAAGACCCCAAAGGCTGACCAGCCAGAGCCTGCATGGCCAGCTCCAGAGCCCAGGAACTCACCTGGCTGCACTTCCACAGTGGCAGTGTCTGTGTCCGAGGCCCCCTGACTGTCGGTGACTCGCAAGTGGAAAGTGTACACCCCCTCCACCAGATTCGTAAGCTGCAGAGCCACACTGTGGTCAGAGCCATCGATGACATCCTGCGAAAGAACACGGATCACAGGGCAGCTGTCAATCCTCGGGTCCCAATTTCTGGGCTTCTGTTGATCCTAAACCTCAGTGTCCCATCTTTTTAACACAGGCGTGACTTTAAGAGGGAGGCTGCAGGGAATGAGGCTGGCGGGATAGCTAAAGACTGGAGAAATCCTCAGCATCTCTTCCCCAAAAAGCACCAGGGGGCACATCCTCAGACAGTATTTCCTGAACTGAACTAAGTTTACCAAGCACTTTCCAGGAATTACCAAATAATTAATTGTATCCAACAAAGGGAAAGACCATTTGAATTAGGGCAAGGACGCTGAGAACAAAGCACAGGTTTTCTGGGTCTTATTTTCAAACATAGCTTTACAAAACTCTCATCTTGAATTCCCTCATAATGTATCATGTTCACCTGAAATAACCCAAGACCCTGTGTAGCGTCCTCTGTTCTGTGGGCTTCTAAGCTCCAAAGAATGAGAGAAGAACCTCCCAGACTCCTGCTAATAGAAGGGGTGATAACGAATATGTGCTGTGAACAGAGACTCATTGTTATTACATTTAGAGGCTAATCCCCCATCTAGTTGAATAGTGTTAATTCTAGAAGTGCTTAGAAAGTATAAAGCATTTGGCAGGGCATGGTGGCTCACGCCTGTAATCCCACCACTTTGGGAGGCAAAGGCAGGCGGATCACGAGGTCAGGAGATCGAGAACATCCTGGCTAACAAGGTGAAACCCCGTCTCTACTAAAAATACAATACAAAAAAATTAGACAGGCGTGGTGGTGGGCACCTGCAGTCCCAGCTACTCGGGAGGCTGAGGCAGGAGAATGGCTTGAACCTGGGAAGTGGAGCTTGCAGTGAGCCTAGATCGCACCACTAAACTCCAGTCTAGGTGACAGAGCGAGACTCGGACTCAAAAAAAAAAAGTATAAAGCATTTTCAGTTCCTTCCCTGTGACCACTCCTTAGTACATCTCCAAGACTAAATCTGTATCTCTCCAGTCCTTAGAAATGGCAGGAATGAAGACGTACATACATTTATGTCCTAAGAGGCAGAGTGATCTAATGGGGGTAAAATGCCTGCCAGGAGCTAAAAACCTAGGTGTGTCTAGTTTGATTAAAAATGGATTAGTTAAGGCTGGGCGCGGTGGCTCACGCCTGTAATCCCAGTACTTTGGGAGGCCGAAGCGGGTGGATCACAAGGTCAAGAGATCAAGACCATCCTGGCCAACATGGTGAAACCCCATCTCTACTAAAACTACAAAAATTAGCTGGACGTGGTGGCACGTGCCTGTAGTCCCAGCTACGCGGGAGGCTGAGGCAGGAGAATAGCTCGAACTCGGGCAGCGGAGGTTGCAGTGAGCCGAGATTGCGCCACTGCACTACAGCCTGGGCGATAGAGTGAGACTCCATCTCAAAAAAAAAAAAAAAAAAAAAAGAACAAAAGAAATGGATTAGTTAACCTCGGCCAAGTCACTTCTCATCTCTGCATTTCGCCTTCTGCATCTATAAAACGTAAATAGCAATCCGTGATCTATTGACTCATCTGGTACAATATGAGGAACAGAAAAGAATCCACTTGGACCAAAATACGAAGGATGGAAAAGCATCCTGCTGGAAGACTTGACCTCAAAGTGCTTCCAAGCTATGGTTTCCTGCCCCATCCAAAGTCTGTTCAGGAAAAAGTCAGAAAGGATTTCAGCTTTTGGCTAAATCTCAAAGCAGCCTACTGCCTCCAGCCTTCAGAACATTCTAATGTAGAAGCATAAGCACCTTACAGGGAACAGGGAAAGAGAGATGAGGTCATTATAGAGACACTGCCGTGGACCGAACTGTGTCTTTCCCAGACTCCTGTGTTGAAGCCCTAACCCCATATGACTGTATCTAGAAATAGGACCTATAAGGAAGTAGTTAAGGTTAATTGAGGTCATAAGGGTAGGCCCCTGATCCAATAGGATTTACTGTCCTTATAAGAAGAGACACCAGAGTGCTCTCTCTTCCCCTGCTATGGGAGGACATGGTAAGAAGGCAGCTGTCTGCAAGCCAGGAAGAAAGACCTCACTGGAAACTGAATTAGCCAGCAACTTGAGCCTGTCTTCCCAGCCTCCATAATGGAGACAAAATTAAGTTCTGTTGTTTAAGCCTCCTTATACTTATATCCTTTCCTTAGAATATACCGTGATATATTGTTTGCAGCCCAAGCTGACTAATGCAGATGTAATGATAAGTGGTCTAGGAGCAATTCTCTCTCAGTACTCACTCCAGCTGCTGGACTCTGGCCATCCCGGATCCACAGATAGGACACAATTCTTTGGTCATCAGTAGACCTTGAACCATCCAAAGTAATGGAATTATTGGGAAGCACAAGAACATGTCTGCCACCAGCCCGGGCTCTGGGAGGACTATTATTTTCTAAGTCAAATATAGCAAAATGAAAGCAAAGAGATTGATTTAAAACACCAGTGATAGAATAAGTGTGTCATAAAACATCCACAACTCTTCCACCTTGCAGATACAGTATGTAGAATTAAAATATCCAAAAAGGCATTTTTTTCCCCAGATGCATATAAGATACAGACTTCCTTAAAGCTCCATTTGTACTTAGTTAGCTATAATTTGGGATGAAAACGGTAAAGCAGGTGGCAAGCTGTACCTTGGGAATTTTTCTAATATTGTTATACCTTTTCTGTCCTTGAAAAATAGAAACAATGATTTTACCAACATTTAGGGTATTGAAAGTGGCAATATTTTGGTTTACAATATACTTTGGGTCATTTTGTACTGGTCCACACTATCTGGCCAGAAATATTTCCACTTCAAGTACTGCCAAATCTTGACTCTCTAAGACAAAAAAAAAGAAAAAAAAAATTTGAGTAAAAAGTAGGCTGGGTGCAGTGGCTCACACCTGTAATCCCAGCACTTTAGGAGGCCAAAGCAGGAGAATCACTTGAGACCAGGAGTTTGAGACCAGCCGGGGCAACACAACAAGTCTCCATCTCTATGAAAAATTAAAAATTGAAATAATAACAATGATAATTAGGCCCTCACTTCTCTGACTAGGTGTTAAATATAAATGAGGCAATGGCCAGGCATGGTGGCTCATAACTGTAATCCTAACACTTGGGGAGGCTAAGGCAGGATGAGTGCTTGAAGCCAGAAGTTCAAGACCAGCCTGGGTAGCAAGACCCGTCTCCACACACACACAAAATTAAAAATCAGCTGGGCATGGTAACACACACCTGTAGACCCAGCTACTCAGGAAGCTGAGGTGAGAGAATCACTTGAGATCAGGAGTTTGAGGCTGCAATGAGCTATGATCACAGCACAGTACTCCAGTCCGAGCAACAGAGTGAGACCCTGGGTCTATTTTAAAAATAAAAAAATGAGGCAATGTAAAAGCCATTTCTGATGTAATAACTTCAGAAAAGAGGGGCCAGGGAGCACTAACAACACTGGGGTACAGTGGGGAGATCATAATAAGACACAGCCTCAATTTGGAGATGAGGCTGCTGTGAGGCAAATCCTGCTTGTCCAGAAGGGGCTCTGGGACCCAGCCTGATCCCTCCCAATTTCCCCTTAGAAACAAGTCAAGATGCCTGTTCAGACTATTCTCTCTACTTTTATGCATGGTTGAAAATCTCTACAATAAAATCTTTTGAAAAATCCAAATCTATATCACTTTGCTGTTAAAGTTGCTTCAGCCTCTCCCAGCTGCCCAGAGGATAAAGTCCAAACCCCTAAGCATGGCCCGTGGCACATACAACCCTCCATGGCAGAGCCTGTGCCTCAGGCTGCAGCCACTCTCCCAGCGTCCCACACTCTTGCCATTCTACAATGCTTGAACCTTTCCATCCAGCCAGGCTCTTATACTCCTCTGCACTTCAACACGTTGTAATCATCCATTCACTAATTCATTCAACACCTCTGATTTGCCATGAGTCTAGCACTCTGCTATACTGAGGCTATACTGAGGATACAGAGATGTCTGAAGCAAAGACACTCAGGCAGTTCACAGTCAAATGGGAAGACAGACAAGGAGACAAGTACCTAAAGCAGTATTCACTAGTCTAGACCACAGATTTCACACTAAGAAACGATATGGAATTTGAAAACATCTCTTTTCTTGAATTTCCAAGGAATAAAGGAAAAAAAGCATAATGGTGTCATTTGGACGTGGGTCTTTCATTACTAGTAGTCACAGAAGAGTGAAGTCATTAGAAGATATGCTCCACAAACAAAAGGAAATGTCTGCTTGCAGAGGGCGACTGAGAAACAGCTAACATGAATAGAAGAAAGTTGGCTTTTTTTCAGCCAGGCAGGGTTCGGCATCTGCTGCGAACAAATAAGCAAACACCAACATCTCTGAATAGTCATGGCCTGGCTGAGGGTCCTGCAGACTCGAAAGCAGAGCAGGCCCAGCCCTGTCCACCTCAGACCCACTCACCCTTCTTCACAGCCACAGTGAGGGTGGACGTGCTGCTCAGTCCCTGCTGGTCTTTCACTGTCAAACGGAAGTGGTAGGTCCCCACCTGGAGACCAGTCACAGTGGCTATTGCTTTGTCAATATTTTCCATCTCCACTGCACTGGGGCCTCTATAAAACATAGAAGTGGTTAACATAAGGGAGGGGGCATGGGGTTTTGAATATGACAGGCATGCGATTTGTGCTCTTATAAATGTTTTGTTCCAGCTATAATATATACCATTTAGAGAATTCTAAGAAAACTCCATTCATCTGTACTCTCTAGTTCAGTGTAAGAGTCACAAGCTAAAACCTATCTCAGGCAGAGTCTGCTGGATTACTGGGAAGAGAATATTTGTTCTCGATTTTTTTAAGTCAAGCTGCCAGTGAAATGATCTATCCTTGGAAAATGAGCCTTAGAAACGACTCCCATTTCTTCTTTGAATAAAATTAGGTGAAATCCTCATCTATCTTTAGGGAGAGCATGGAAGAGGAGGGAATAAGCCAGATAAGCCCTCTCCTAGGAGAGAGATCACAGTATAGTCACTAAGATCGGGGCTTGTCAAAAATACCTCAGTTTGGGTCCAAGCTCTTTCTCTTACTATCTGGGCAACCTTAGTCTGTGTGGTCTCATTAGTGTCTACAAGCCTCAGTTTCTTCAACTTTAAATAGGAATAATATTCTTATTTATCTCTTACAAACTGATACAGGGTTCTATGAGACAGAGCATGTAAAGCTCAGAAAATGTTAGATGATATGGGTCGCCCCTTACACTGCACTTCTGGTGTCTACAGTCACTGCAGGATGGGTTGAGTGTAGACAGGATCACACACAGGTTTCCCTGAACCTCTTCTGTCATGAGCTCGCCTCACACCAAGACAGCCCTGTTCAACTGCCCCAAGCTCTACCTCCCTCCGCTGTCAATGATGTCCATCCACACTTAATGTACTCTTCAATCAATAACGCCCAGCCACTTCTAGAAACGTGCTTAAATCCCGACTCCTCAAAATGCGCAAGCTGATTGTTTACTACAGATCCTCCAGAGAAGGGATAATATTAGCATTCAGCATGGGCATGAACCTAGCTCAGTGGCGAGACAGACTACCTGACGTGCTCCCAGTGGTAGAAGACAATGCCGTGGTCATCGCTGCTGCTGCTCCCATCCAGGGTAGCACTTTCCACTGGGAAGATCAGCTCTTTATCAGGGCCGGCCACAGCCACTGGAGGTCTATTGTTTTCTGGAATTACAGAAACAGTGTGAAAAAGTATTATCTCTTTGCATTAAGTCTGCAATCCTGTGATTTCTTGATTTAAGTACATTACTCATCTTCAGACCAGGCAGCCACTAGAGTATGCAGCATCCTTTGGAATCCTGGAGTGAAGCACTGCAGCCTCCTAGCTGATCCAGGAGTTGAACAGTCCAAGTTCAAGACTGCTGTTATAGGCAGCCAAGAAACACTGTCTCTAATAGACACATCTTTGGTTTATTTGGTTTAAAAGATCCTCAGTCGGCCGGGCACAGTGGCTCACGCCTGTAATCCAGCACTTTGGGAGAACGAGGCGGGCGGATCACGAGGTCAGGAGATCAAGACCATCCTGGCTAACACGGTGAAACCCCGTCTCTACTAAAAATACAAAAAATTAGCCAGGTGTGGTGGCAGGCGCCTGTAGTCCCAGCCACTCGGGAGGCTGAGGCAGGAGAATGGCATGAACCCGGGAGGCGGAGCTTGCAGTGAGCCAAGATTGTGCCACTGCACTCCAGCCTGGGAGACAGAGCAAGATCCGTCTAAAAAAAAAAATCGTCATAGGGTGAAAGAGAAGGAAAGGAAAGAAGGGTAAAATGAGAGAGGGAAGAAGGGTTGGGGGAGGAAGGAAAGAGAGAGGAAGGAAGGGAGGGAGGAAGAGAGAGAGGGAGGGAGGGGACAAAGGGACATCACAGAGAGGGAGGGAGGGGACGTTGATGTGAAGAGACCTGCTTTATCAGGTAGGGCTTACTTCCTTTTGTCTCTGTAGCCTCAGTGCTAACACAGTGCCTGGTAAACAGTAAATATTCAAAACATTTTAAATTAAATGTTAAACAAAAGTAAAAGATATAAAGTATTGCTGATATTGGCAGGGCGTGGTAGTTCACGCCTGTAATCCCAGCACTTTGGGAGGCCGAGGCAGGGGATCACTTGAGGCCAGGAGTTCAAGACCAGCCTGGCCAACGTGGCGAAACTCTGTGTTTCTATTAAAAATCCAAAAATTAGCCAGGCATGGTGGCACACATCTGTAATCCCAGCTATTCAGGAGGCTGAGGCACTAGAATCATTTGAACCCGGGAGGCAGAGATTGCAGTGAGTCAAGATCATGCCACTGCACTCCAGCCTAGACGACAGAGTGAGACTCTGTCTCGAGGGAAAAAAAAAAAGTATTGCTAATATTGATATAAATAGATAAAATATGTGTAAACCAAAAAAAAGGGCCAGGTGTAGTGGCTTACACCTGTAATCCCAGTACTTTGGGAGGCCAAAGGTGAGAGAACTGCTTGAGTCCAGGAGTTTGAGACCAGCCTGGGCAACAAAGTGAGACCCTGTCTCACAAAAAAAAAAAAAAAAAGAAGTCATGTAGTCAAAAGCTGTGGCAGCCATTACCCAATGTTTGCACCACGCCACAGCCCCCATGATCCTACTCACTACAAAATAGGGGTTTCCCTTTGCCGTAGGATAGAGTACTTGGGTGACCATACATTTACAAAGCCCTTTAGGATGGTGCCCCGGGCTCTCTTGGGGTCATCTATTGTCATTCCAATCCCTGCCCAACCTCCCCACCACCTCCCATTCCCACATCCCTACCTCTTTTTCTCTCTCTCCAATCACAGTAATTCCTTTTAAATCTTCGAATGTACCAGACTCTCTTCTTTGGCGCCCACGCATACTGTTCCCTCTGCCTAAGAACTCTTCCTCTTCTCCTGTGCTGCCCACCCCTCCCATTCTTCACCGACTAACTGTGACTTGTGCTTCAACCTTGAGCTCATGTACGAGCTCTTTGCAGATGCATCTCACCCAGGTGAGTGCTCTTTCTTTGGGGTCCTGTAGCACCCTGCAGTTATTTTAGTAGAGCGCCAATCACAGAGTTTTATGTGAACTTCTCCATAAGCCCTGCAAGGGCAGAGATCAAGTCTATCTTGTTTAATTCCACATCCCAGGGTCTAACTAATAGAACTTTTTATGTATTAGCGGCATAAATAAATAAGTTGTCTATAGGTTGAGTATAATCTCATTGCCAGGAACTGGATAGAGGTTCTTGGACTAACAGAACTCTTCTAGAAAAGTTCTAAGGCAAAGACCATTATCAAACAAAGGTATAGCTACCTTTAAGGTTATTTAACTCAGGAGGTAGGCAGAGCCCTGGGTTTTCATGAAACTATTAATGAACAGTGACACTGAACTGCAACGTGTTCCCCAATGTCTGGCTACATCTGAGTGTCAAGCCACACATAAGAACCAGCCCCTTCAAGATCCCCTGGAGCTCTCCAGAGCAGACTGGGGCACGTGTGGAAGCATCCACAAGGCAAATCGGAGCCCACAAGCAGTGCTGTGGATGGCTCTCATTTCATCCTTCATGCCATAGTTTACAGTCAAGGCAAGATTTAGAACCTTGAAATGAAATTAGTTTTATATGGAGCTTTGGCACCCACAGGCCGGTACCACCAAGTGTGGCATCTCCAAACCCCAGAAGCCCAGCTATCATTTCTGCTTTAATCTCTGAGGCCAAATCTCTTTCTCCTCCACCTACCAGGCTGGACAATCACAGTCACCACAGCAGTAGACTGTTGCCTTGAAGAATCTGTCACCTTCAGCTGAAATGTATAATCTCCTTCCTGCATTGCAGATAAATGAAGGTATGGCGTCTGTACTCCCTAAGTAATAGCAAATACAAAAATAAAAACAAAACAAAACAAAAAAGTAAAGAAGCACAAGTAAATAGTATGACAGAATGAAAAACTAACAATTTTACTTAATACAGAGATCTTGCTCAAAAAAGAAATGTGTTTGGCCAGGCACGGTGGTTCACATCTGTAATCCCAGCACTTTAGGAGGCCAAGGCAGGTGGATCACTTGAGGTCAGGAGTTCGAGACCAGCCTGGCCAACATGGTGGAACCCCGTCTCTACTAAAAATATATTTTAAAAATCAGCTGGGCATGATGGCGGGCACCTGTAATCCCAGCTACTTAAGAGGCTGAGGCACGAGAATCACTTGGAACACGGGAGAGGGAGGTTGCAGTGGGCTGAGACTGCACCACTGCACTGCAGCCTGGTTGACAGAAAAAAGAAAAAAATATGTTGGTCCCCAGGAAAGTGCAACTGAAAGTCTACTGTGCATCCTCATACACTATTGAAGGAGTGTAAACTACCATAGGCTTTTTGGAAGCCAGTATGAAAACAGCTATTAAAATATTAAATAAGCACATACTCCAACCCAGTAATTCGACTTCTTAGTATCTACCCCAGAGAAATGCACAAGGAGACTCGTCCATGGATGCTGACTGAAGAACAGTCTATCACAGCAAAACATGGAAACAATCTACACATCCATCAACAGGAGGATGGTCAAACACACTATGATACACTGTGGAATGCTAGTTTAAAAGAAAGAAGTTTAAAATCATGAGGCAGGTTTATAAGTACTAAAATGGAAAATGTCAAAGAAATATTAAGCAAAAAAAAGAAAGTTGGGTCGCATTCAAAAGCAAACAGTAAAAAAATTTTTAAAGAAATCCACACAAAAAAGAAATTTGTGGAACAATGCATACAATGTGAAAGGTATTGCTACATGTACATACGCACACTTACACAGACACATGGAAAAGATTCTGGAAGTGTACACATTAAACTGATAAAAGTAATTATTTCCAATAAGGACACTTGGATGACAGTGGTGATCAATTTATTTGAACTTATTTTAGCAGAATTTATTTGAGCTTTTTTATTATTATTTTTTTTAACCACAAGAGGCAATTCATGTATTAGTTTTGTAATCAAAAATAATTTTTTGGCTGGGTGCAGTGGCTCATGCCTGTAACCCCAGCACTTTGGGAGGCTACGGCGGGTGGATCATGAAGTCAGGAGTTCAAGACCAGCCTGGCCAAAATGGTGAAACCCCGTCTCTACTAAAAATACAAAAATTATTCGGGCGTGGTGGCAGGCACCTGTAATCCCAGCTACTCAGGAGGCTGAGACAGAAGAATCACTTGAACTCAGGGGGTGGAGGTTGCAGTGAGCCAAGATGGTGCCACTGCACTCCAGCCTGGGCCACAGAGTGAGACTCTGTCTCAAAAAAGAAAAAATTAATAATAATAAAAACAACTTTTTGCCGGGTGTGGTGGCTCATGCCTGTGATCCTAGCACTTAGGGAGGCCAAGGCGAGAAGATTTCTTGAGCCCAGGAGTTAGAGATCAGCCTGGGCAACATGGCAAAATCCCATCTTCACAAAAAAAACCACAAAAATTAGCCAGGTGTAGTGGTGTGTGCCTGTGGTCCTAGCTACTCGGGAGGCTGAGATGGGAGGATCTTTTGAGCCCAGGAGATCAAGGCTACGGTGAGCCATAGTTGCACCACTGCACTCCAGCCTGGGTGACAGAGTGAGACCCTGTTTCATAATAAATAAATAATATAATTTTGTAAAACTCTAAGTCAACCTAAGTTTTTACAAAGTCATTTTTTCAACTGAGTATGCAACAGCTACACTTGGTGACCTCAGGTTAATACCCTTTCTTTTTTGTCGTTGGTAATAATTTCAATTATTGCTTATGTTTGAAGTTCATGGCATCATGAAATGGATTTTTAAGTCTTATTACAATTTATTTACTTTTATAGATCCCAAGATTGTCTATAGATAAATGTTTCTATGTGTATTTTTTAAGGTTTTAATGGAAAATTTAAAAAGAAAATTGTTACAAGATCCATTGTGCTACCAGGGGAACTTCTGAAATTTGAAATGCACCCTTTTAAGAACTTTTGAAAAAAAAATACTTTCCCCTACTTTGACTAAGTAAGGCAAAGCACGTTTCTCTGAAAAGTTCAACAGGGAAAGTATAATTTCCCAGGAGTTGCCTCCAAATTGATCTGGTACGAGAATGCTTCTGCACACAATGGAAGGGAATGTTGTGGCAAATGGGAACTGAGCAGACTACTGTGTCTCACCAATGCCCTCAAGGCGGCCACATGTTTCAGGCAATTGCAAAGGTTTCACTTCCTTCCCAGTAAGAACACAGCCTCAGCAGGCTGCTTGGTACAATTTTCAGACAAATATAAAAGGGTCTGATTCACAGACCTCATTTTGTGATTGCCCCAGTTAATACTCCTTTGGACATCTTAATCAAGCTTAAGGCAATAAGGTTGTTACTGTGGATATTCTTCGGGGAAAGAAGAGAGAGGGTGTCTGGCAACTGGGCTGGTGTGTAGAGGCAAGGCTCACAGTGTGGCCCAGCCCTCAGGAACTTTGGATACACATCCAGTATGCATGGATGGATTTTGGAGTATTAGCTTTGGATGCATAATTCCTAATAATTAAGTAAAAGAAAATTAGGAAGATTTTTTTTAACCGTGAAAATAAAAAATATCCCATCTTCCTGTTTTGTATCCAACCCGCCTCTGAATCAGAATTCTTAACACAACAGAAGCAAACATAGCACTTGCTACAACCCTTAGGTAGAGATGGACACCACCAAGAGGGTTCTCCAAGGATATCCAGACAACTCATGGCTCTTTCAAGTTCCATAAATCTACCTAGTCACTTTTAACTCCTCATAATTGCAAGGCATGTTCCAGGAACACTGGAAAGCAAAGCAGGTAAGTTTCCATGGAATGTCCGATTTTATCTTAAATACTAATGAGAAATGTATCTTGGACTGGTGAGGCAAAATTTGAAGGAGAAAAGGAAGATGGAAATGTAAGGTCCTATCTTTTTTTTTTTTCTCATGAAACTCAAATAATAACATAACTTCAAAAACACCAAGCTGGTTAGCAACAAAAACAAATAGCTTTGCCAATCACAAAAAGAAGAATAAGCAAACAGCTCACACACACAACAGAAGTTTCAAGATTATTATGTTGTTAGACAAATATATTTAAAAGATTTGAACAAATCAAAAGGTAGATACAAACAAGGTCCTAAAAAGCGACCAGTGGATGTAGACAAGATAACATGGAGTTTCTATAAACAGGAGAAACAGAATAACAAAAAAAATTCTGATAATCAGGTTTAGATTAGATTATTTCTAAGGTTTCTCCCAATACGAAAATACTTCTCTAACAGATGTGAGACTTTTCCCAAACCGATCTCAAGATCTAATTTTCAGCACAGAGCCAATTGGTTGCTGTCCTGTGCTTATCTAAGTGGGCGAGGGGAAGGGATGTAAACTTGGAAGATTTGTGAGCTTAGGTCCTTTTCTAATAGTTGTAATAGATCAGATAACTTTACAAAATAAATTATCTAAATTTAACTGCCTACCCCAACCAATAGCACATAGCTAGGTAGACAGACAGACAGACAGACAAAAGTCTGAAGGCAGGATGGAGAACTTGCCTGCATGACCACATGTTTGCCCTCACTCCCAGGACCCAGGGACCACTCATAGAGGACAATCTGGTGATCGTCACTGCTCTGGTTTCCATTCAAAGTGATGGAGTTTTGGGGCAAAGTTATGGTGTGATTTGGTCCTGCATTAGCAACTGGTGGGTAGTCCACAGCATTGTTCACTATTAGGGCTGCAGTTGTAGAGTTAGTGGCTCCGTCCGAGTCTGTAACAGTCAACCTACAAAAAGGAGAAGAAGCCGTAGTTGGAAGAATATGCCAGGCTGGGTGCAGTGACTCACGCCTGTAATCCCAACACTGTGGGAAGCTGAGGTGGGAGGATCGCTTGAGCCCAGGAGTTCTGAGACCAGCTGGGCCATAGAAGGAGACTCTGTCTCTATTTAATTAAAAAAAAAAAAATTAGCCGAGTGTGGTCATGCACACCTGTAGTTCTAGCTACTTGGGAGGCTGAGGTGGGAGGATCATTTGAGCCCGGGAGGTCAAGGCTGCAGTGAGCCGATATTGCTCCACTGCGCTGCAGCTCAGGCAGCAGAGCAACAGACTGTCACAAAAAACAACCAAAAAAAAAAGAAAAAAAGTAGACAAAAAAATAATATGCCAAATCTCAAGGTAAACTTAGGTCAATTTAGTCTGCTCATGGAACAGTTCTCGGAACAGGTAAAAATAGAAATTTAAGGATGAAGCAAAGATAAACACAGACTTGATATTTTTGTTTGCTTTTGCTGCTGTTGGCTATTTTTAGTTTTAGTTCATAACATATTGATGTCAGAGTTTCACCTTTATGGATTTCTGATTAGCTTTTGAGATGCTGGGTGAAGAAACCATCCTCACCCAACACAGATGCCACTCTCTTAACGGAGACTAAAAATGGATCAGGTTTAAGTTCTGCCTGCAGGTTGAGCATGCAGAGACAGCAAATCACTCCTGAATTTTCAGCTACAAAGCTTTTTACTTTTTAATCCTTTTCTAGAGGACTTATAATTATGTTTTCAGGATACTCCTTGCAAAGCAGTGTTAGGATTAAGCACTTTCAAATGCGAACCAATGCTCAACCTCTGCAAACAAAAAAGAGAAGTGCGTTAACTTTCCTGCACTAAACTGATTCCTAATGTGGTCCTGAGGACAGTGAATTCACAAATGGGTCACTTCATCCTTCTACGTTAAAGATGGTGGTGGGAGCAGTGATGAGTGCTAAATAATATCAATAGGCATATGACAATGAAGCTGTGGCAAGAATGCAGGCCTTCCTTGCAGGGAAAAGACATGTAGGGGGCACCTGTGCATTCTGAGCTTCCTTCCACACTATCCCTCATACTCCACACAACCAAGATCCAACTTCTACTTCTGGCTCTGACAGCAAACCAAACATCTAAAGTCCTTCCTTCTCAACCAGGCTGAGTCAGGACACTTTTTGGGCCCGTTAGGAAATTTCTTCATGGGTTAGCAGCAGTAAGCTGCTCCAATAAGATGGTAAAGCGTAATTAAATACAAATGAATTAAATGAATCTCATAAAGTACCTTTCACTATATATAAATTTTACTCCAATAAATAAATAAAGTTCCTATTAATTGATGAGGATATCAGAGTCTCCAGCGGCATGCAACCAAAACCCCCATGAAAGCCAAATCTCTTTTGATCAAAATAAGAAGTGCAGTGTTTTATGTGCGTTAATTTAAAGAAACAGTCAAAATGTAAGTAGCAGGCAGCACAATAAAGGCAGGGACCCACTTGCCTGAAACTATAGTTACCAGGATCAAGGTTAGACAAGCGTAAGACGGGAGAGTCAACTGAAGTCTTCTCTTCTATGAAGGGCCCGTTTATTTCTTCCCAATGATAACTCACTATTTCAGTATCATCTGTACTTTCTACAAGATTAAGAAATAAAGACAAGAATGAAATACAAGAAGAGGAAGACATAAGTTTTATACTTTAATTATTGCATATTTAAATTCATTTTTATAAGAAATTATGTACTTGCCTAGATCTCAATGGATATATACTGTATTAGAAGGAGATTCTTTCCTACTCCCGAAATTATATCACTATTTTTCTCCTGGATTTCCACCAGATTTGAATGAGGCTGTTCCCACTCAGTTGAATATTTAAGAAGCACAGTGACAGATGCTTTTGCTTTTAAAAAACAGGAGTCAACAAAATGCAGCACATGGAAATGCTACTTCTGCTCACCTCAGCTACAGCATACTGATCATTTTAAATAGGCACCTGAGCTGACAGGTTCAAAAAGACTTGAGTTGCCTTTCTACAACTTACAAAACATCTTTTACTACCTTAATTATTAAGGGGTAAATCCAGAGAAAGCTCACAGCCTTACATGAAAATCTTCCATTTCTACTTTAAAAGAGAACAAACATAATGTGCCATGCAGATTCATAGAAATTTAGACCTGGAAAGGGGCTAGTTTCATCTAATTCATTTAAGGAAAGAACAAGTTCATGTGACAGATTAATAATCCTGAACAGTTTCCTGTAAATAAGCCATACTGAATTAGAGGAATCAAAATGTGACCTATTTGGTCATGTAAATATTTCCATTTAAAATATGCTTTATTTTCATGGTGCTAAGATGGAAATATGGATTATTTTTGAGTAGATGCAAATGGTCATGTCAATGTGATCTCTGTAAATTTGCAGGCTTGCAAGATAGGGCAGCTTTAATGGCTAACAAGTATTCTTCTTCCAACAACCAAGGCAACCGTTCTTCCTCTAAAGGATTTGGTATTAACTTTGTGATTAAATGTACATAAAATGCAATTACCTGTTACACTGATAAGGTTGAACCTAGTCAACCACAGGATGTTTTCAACCTATTCTTATTTACATGGACACCTGTAGTTAACACAGGGGCCCCTTCCACATATACTCCCATAGAAGAAACGATCTCTGAATGAATTTTAAAAAACCACCACGCTCCCTCACTGAAGACATCCCTTCTAAGAGTTCTTAAAAGTGATTTTCCCATCTGGTGGGGGGCACCTCCCCTCCCAAGTCAGGTCACGGGAGCTCCTCTATATAAAGATATATATATATATATATATCTTATATATCTCATATATATCTTATATATCTCATATATATATCTTATATATCTCATATATCTTATATATCTCATATATATCTTATATATCTTATATATATATACATATATATATACACAAAGTGATTTTCCAACTGCTAACCATATATACCACACCAGAAGGAGATTCTTCAATAATTGCTCTAATTCCCTATCAAATGGCCAGGCGCTAAAGAACTTTCTAATAGAATAGACGAAAGGTGAAGGGAAAATAAGCACAGGATAGAGGAGCTAAAGGAACTAAAGAAGACATAAAACTAAAGAAGGAGGTGATCGTTTATCAAAGTAACAGCCCATAAGTCCTCCTAGCTTTGATGCAGAGCACTCATTACATTTCGTAGCACGTAGAGAAAAAAAGAAATCCCTAAACTATCTCAGGATACACACGGCTGCCATCAATGAGGGCTGACGTCAAAGGCAAAGTGAGCTCTTGCAGTTGGGGAGAAACAACTGCTACAGGTGGCAGGTTGACTCTTCTGGCTGTAACAAAAAAAAGGACAGTGACTGAGCCCATCTTGTGTAGGCATATGTCATTACCCACATAAAATCATCTACTTTAAAAAATTGATTATACATGTCCTGTCAAGAAGGTGTTTATCCTACAGGCCTCAACTATGGAGAGCACTTTTTAAAGTCTGGAGTCTCTCTATGAATTTCAGGAGCTTGTCTGGACATTTACACTTTTGCATGTAAGCCCAGGCTCAGTGAAGATGTACAATAATAACCAAGGGGCTCATCACAGAATGTGAGCAGTAATTACAGAGCAGGAGCAAGGGATGAAGGGATTACAGTTCCAGCTCCTTGGATTGAGTGGATCTTATATCTCTAACTGAAGGCAACTCCCCCCCCCACCCCCCATAACCATATGCAAAAGATAGAGCTGTCAGGCCCTCAGGGTGGGCTGAAGTGGGTACAAGGGAGGTTCACCTTGATTGGGTCGGTTGTGCCCTCAGCACAGGTGAGGGGTTGGTGGAGGCTGAAAGCCAGCCCATGTTCTACTCACCAAGCCAGGGCTGTGCCCACCCAGCCCAAGAACCACCTGTTTCTAATTCACATGAATGCACTGACCGATGGGCATACATTTTCCCCTGACCTCTTGGTTGCTCAGTTGAATGTATTCAACATGCCCCTGCTTCGAAGGTGAAGCTGAATCACGGAGAGTGGAGGTAGAAGTTAGAGTGGATGGTGTAAATGTCAGATAGAGAGGGCTAAGGTAGATTTGCCACCATTCGAGAGCAGCCAGCAATAACCTTGTCAAGCAAGTACAAAGTGTTATGCGAAAGGTAGAAAAAAAAACCAAAAATATAATCTTTGCGTGTTTTCTCTACAATGGAGCCTAATACAAAATAGGTTTTGTCTCTCTAGGTAGATAGGTAGACAGATATAGAGTCATCCAGGCACCAAAAATTGAGATAAATATGTACAACAGGAGGTCATTCTCTTACACCGGCTTACCAGGCTTAACAGTGACATTGACAAATCCTTCTCCAAAGGCGTTTTCACTAGAAACAGTGACTTTGAAGACATAAAGTCCGACGGACAACTGTAACATAAAGAAAAGTTGTACAGTTCAACATGCAAGACGTGATGGGTCCACTACGTAGAAAAAGCTAAAATGTCCCAGAAGCCGCACTCCTAAAGTCAGCATAGAGAAGGGGCTCAGGAGACAGTCTCATTTGGATCTGTCAAGAGGCTGCCGCATGTTTGAAGCCTGAATTCTGGAGCACTAAAGATCACCTAGACAGGCCTTTAGCTTCGCTGCAGAGGGCTTCAAAGAGGCCTGGGTGAGATGGACCAGCAGAGGGCAGCAGTTCTCAAATGTGTGTATGGAACCATGCATTTTTACCACCTAGCTCTGGTGCATTGGTTGCCGGTGGTCTGGATGCCACACTTTGAGAAACACAGCTCCATGACATGAGGGTGATGCAAGTCTGTGTTGTACCATTAGCTGTGTGGTCCCAGGAGATGAAGTCAACATAATCATCTGGTAGGAGACTAGATCTCTAGTCGCTAAGTCGGTTTATATATCCTCCTAGGCCAGAAAGAGGGCATGTTTCTTGTGAGTGCTTGTATCATAGAACAATATGTGATAGGGCAAATTGTGACCTGGAATGGAATTATTGGCAACTCTAGAGATGTGCCGGACTGAGAACCAGAGATAAGTAGAATGTCCTTAACACTGCAAGGAGAGCAAGAGTTACAACAGGTTTTTAACCTCTCTGCAATGCTTGTGGGACAACCAGGCTCTTTTCCCCAAACTGAGATATACTAAGTAACCCAAATAAAGAAACGCCATCCAAAGCCTCTTAACCATCTGCCTGCCTACTTGCATGCCTGAAACTTTATTCATTCATATCCTACTTTTGATCTTACCATGAGAAAGATGTTTGCAGCTGGGCGTGGTGGCTCATGCCTGTAATCCCAACACTTTGGGAGGCCAAGGAGGGCAGATCACTTGAGGTCAGGAATTCAAAACCAGCCTGGCCAACATGGCGAAACCCCACCTCTACAAAAAATACAAAAAAATTAGCCGGGTGTGGTGACGTGCACCTGTAATCCCAGCTACTCAGGAGGCTGAGGCAGGAGAATCACTTGAACCCGGGAGGCAGAGGTTGCAGTGAGCTGTAATTGCGCTACTGCACTCCAGCCTGGGCAACAGAGCAAGACTCTGTCCCCAAAAAGAAGAAAGACGTTTGGGTTCAGTAGCTAAGAAGGTATTAACTGAGCTCTATGCCGTTACGCTGTGCTGTTAGACACAACCAGTCTCCAGTTACTTACTTGAGAGAGGTTAAGAGTTTGCTTGTGTCCTTGTTTTATTTCACCTTGGTAGTCTGTGGGGTGGCTTATTAAATTCCATTCATAGTTGTAGGTTGTTTCTGAGAGCAAAAAATAAATATGAGTAGTTATAAATTCTGAGAGGACACTAGATAACCTGGGCAGAGGGAAGATGACAGCCTTTAAACCACCAGTGCAGATTACCTTAGATATACTCAACTCAGCTTTCTTTTTTTTTTTTAACTTATATATATATTTTTTGTTTATTTGTTTTTATCCCCTCACTCTTGTTATCATCTTATGAACTTGACTTTCAACTATCAGCCAAGATAACATGTATCTTCTTAATGTAACATTTCTTTTTTTGTTATAAAAACATACGTCTTACAGGAAATTTTTAAAATGTATAAAGTTAAAAAAAAAAAAACCTCCCTAACTTAACCATTAGTATGTGATGAGTTTTTTCCTAGGGGGCTACATCTGACTATCCATATCAGTTTTAACATAGTATAATACATTGTGCTTTTCTCTTTTTAACAAAAGGCAAGGAGATTTCAATTCATTTGATCTGTTGTAGGGGTTTATTTAAGGACACAAAAACAGTATAAACATGTCTATGTTAAGATGAAACTGTCTCCCAGCTGCAGATATTAGTAGTTAAAATATAAGGTACCTCACCTCAAAGGATTAAAATGCAAATGCCAAATATTATCATCTCTGTGTATAAAATTTTGACCAATATGTGGTGGAGAAAAAAATGAATTAAGGAACTAACCTGAATGAGAAATAGTCAAACACCTTAAGAATGAGTTTACCTTAAAAACAATGCATTTGACAGGCCACAGGTCCCAGGTCAAATGCTTACTGAATGGTAGAGCACTGGACAAGTAGAAGAAAGAGCATTTTGAATAAATTTTTTTGAGCAGCTAGTGTGAGGCATCCTGAGAACCTGAGAGCCGTGATTGTCAATGCCACAGTATCTGCAAACAAACCTATGGGTGCACGCCACTTCCCTCTCATCCCGGTGGAATCTTCCCAGGTTCTATGGGTTATTACAGTTCAAGAACTGGTACGTGGCAGCCTCTCCTGATCTGCTTTGCATCATCAGAAATTTATGACTTTCCATCCTGACCAATTAAACGATATATACTGTATTTAATTTCCTAGATTCTTACTCCATTTGAAACTATTTCAACAAATGTTGATGCTTAAGAATAATCAAAGCCTTGTCCTCCACCTTTGTTTGTGACGTCGTGCAATACTGTGAAAAAGAATCGGCGTTGTAAATAGCCTGTAAGGACCTGCTGAAGAAAAACACCCCAGTTCCTAGTGGTCAGGGAGGAAGGTTAAACTCTCACCTACAGGTGGCGCTGGCGCAACAAAGGCCTTCAGTTCAACTTCATTGTCGGGTAAAGTTATAATTAGGTTATCTCCAGCCGATACCGTAAGTTCTTTCACTAAAAGTTAATTAGAAATAATACGTGCAATTATATAATATAATGTGTTACATTACTGCTCTACACTAGATCTGTTTTTGGTATCCATAAATTAAAATAACATATGCTTTTGTAATAGTTCTTCATAAGATTTTAGCTAAGGCACGTTTTTCCTCTGGCTAGAAATTGAACTGTACACTATATTATAGTACAGGGTTTTAAACCACAAATATGAGTTGGCACTGTGACAAAAATAATGATTCAAATTGACTGAGCAACGTATTGAGTGACAAGAGTTGCGTGAAACAGGTTTCATGCAACTGTGAATTGGGTCCATTTTCTCCCTTGCTATCAGCTTTTCTTGACGCCCTGGTGTGAGCTATTTTTAGTTATAAAAAGATTGAGTGTAATCCTAAGTGTTTCTGTCTCATTAGTCACACTCCACTCAGTTCTGATAGTAGCCTCATGAATTACTGCTAATGGCCTTGTACTTGGAACCTTTCCAAGACAAAATCCAGTCACCCTCAATATAAAAAACCTATTTTAACTTAAGCAGCAGGAACATTAACTCTTATCAAAAGTGCTTAGCCACCAAGTAAGCATTCAGAACAATACTTGTTTACTTTCTCTGTAACCAGATTACATTGATATATTCATAAATTCTATCGGTTTGGCTCCATTGGACATTAGTTTCACTTGTAAAATATATTGCGATATGTCCAGATACTACACAGAGAAAAGCAAAGATTTAAAAAAAAAAAAAAAAAAAAAAAAGCTGAGTGCTCCAGAGGGATCAGCTGCAAGGAGATGTCAGACAGGTTGTTCATTTAATCCACTCCCCTCCTCTCAGTCCTCAGTCCCTCGAGTGCCTCCTAGATCAGCTGCAGAGGCTCTCAGTGGCTTTGCTGGCTCCTCTCTTGTCATTTTCACTAACTCTTTATCCTGAAAGTCAGCAACTGTAGACCTAGAAGGGACATTGATCCAAACCTATCATGTTATAGGTGGGGAAATTAAATCCTAGAAAAGCAAAGTTGTCCAAGGCTGTATGGTAATTAGCAATAGGTCCACCAATATTTAATTTAAATGTATTCATTTCAACAAACACTTATATACCGGATTAAACTGTGCCAGGCATTGCCCCAAGGGCTTTAAAATGATCAATTCATTTAATCCTCATTACAACTGTATGCAGTAGGTTCTATTAAAACCCAAAGATCCTGGGCCAAACTCCCAGGCCAGTTTCTTTTTCCGTATACTACACAGCTTCTCTCCCACTATTATCTTTCTCTCTATGGAAGCTCAGGCTCAAAGTAAATACAAAAGTTAGAGAGAGTAATCTCCAAAATACATGGCCCACAGAAAAGCTCAGGAAACATGACCCTTACGTCTAGCATATTCTAATAACTTCCTTATTGGAAAATCTAATGGAAGCTTTGCAATCCTCACCACAGCCTCTGCGACACATGGAGCTTTGATACGTCTTCCCTTTTGGAACTACAGGAGACCAGAACATGCCACCCCAAAATATGATTTGTGAAAGGGAAATAAATCTCGGGACCCCCAAATCACTAAGCCAAAGGGAAAAGTCAAGCTGGGAACTGTGTCAGGCAAACCCGCATCTCATTTTATTCCTAAACGAGATACCTACAAAGATTAAAAAAAAAAAAAGCTACATGCCTTCCTTATAATTTGCCCACAAGAAACTCCTTGTGGGCCTCAAGATCTTTGCCCTAAAACAGTTTTGTTGAATTTCACCCTGGCAATGTAAATCAATAGCTTATCTTCACAGGTGCAGGGGGTGGGGGAAAGAGCTCAGCCATCCCTCTGCTCACCTGAGACAAATGCATATCTAATTGTTTCCTCTGCCCTATTGTTTATGAAAAAATACAGATTCACTGAGCCAGACAAGGCATAAGTGACTATTCCTCTACCCCCTCTGGCAAGTAAATTGTGTATTCAGTGAAAGACTGATCAAAGACTCAAAAGAATGCAATATTTGTCTCTTATATACCTATGACCTGAAAGACCCCCTTCCAGTTGTCATGCCTTTCTGGACCAAACCAATGTACATCTCACACATACTGATTGATGTCTTATGTCTCCCTAAAATGTATAAAACCAAGGTGGCCAGGCACAGTGGCTCACACCTGTAATCCCAGTACTTTGGGAGGCTGAGGCAGGTGGATCACTTGAAGTCAGAAGTTCAAGACCAGGCTGGCCAACACGGAGAAACCCTGTCTCTACTAAAAATACAAAAATTAGCCGGGAATGGTCATGGGTGCCTGTAATCCCAGTTACTCAGGAAGCTGAGGCAGGAGAATCTCTTGAACCTCGGAGGCAGAGGTTGCAGTGAGCCAAGGTCACGCCACTGCACTCCAGCCTGGCCACGAAGCAAGACTCCGTCTCAAAACAAACAAAAAAAAACAAGCTGTACCCTGACCACCTTGGATACATGTCATCAGGACCTCCTGAGGCTGTGTCACTGGTGAGTCCTTAACCTTGGCAAAATAAACTTTCTAAATTGATTGAGACCTGTCTCAGATACTTTTGGTTCACAGACTGTAGGAAACTAGAATATGCCATTGCAACTATAACTCTTTTATACAAGGATTATTTTGAGCTGTGTTTTTTGTTTGTTTGTTTGTTTGTTTTGAAGAAACAGCAGACCAAGAGGAGCTCTGAAAACAGAGTAGAAGTTACTCCTTTGTAAGGGGAATTTATATCTATAAAGGAAATCTCCATTTGTAAGGGTCTCTCTCCTTCTATACCAGGAAGAGAAGGGTGACTACATTCCAAGAGATCCACATCCATAGAGAAGGTCCTGACAAATCTGCATAATGAACCTCACTCTTGCTTACTTCGTTTATTCTGGGCACCTTTGGCCACTTGCCTTCCCCACAATCCTCTTTCCTTGTTTTAGTTCAAGATGCTATATAAGCCAGAGTTCCAGGCTTATATAATATAAGCTTATATAATAAACCTCTCTGAGATTTCCTCATTTCCCTGGGCATCTCCCACGTATAGGTAAGATGTACATGTTATAAACTTGTTTTTTTTTTCTCTCTTGTTAATCTATCTTTTGTTACAGGGGCACTAGCCTAGAACTTAGAAGGGTAGATGGAAACTTATTCTATCCTCCTCCATAGAACTCTCTCCCTCTAGCTTTCCTCTTTATCTCCTACCTCTCTGGCACAACTACCCAATCAGTTTTGCAGGCTCCTTCTGCACTTCCAGCTCCTTATAGAACAATGTCCCCAAAGTTCCAGTCCTCAGGCCTCTCCTCAGCTAACCCCCCTCTCTCCCTGGATGATCTCCTATGTCCCCCGTGTCTGCAACTATCACCTCCACACCGATGACTCGTAATCCTTTATCTTCAGCCCAACTGCTCATCTAATTTTAGTTCTGTATTTTCATATGTCTTAGCGTCCTCTTCCTTCACATCCTTACATTCATTCAATCACTTATCAAATCTTTGTGACTCTGCTCCCTTCCTGTCTCCTAAATCTGGTTCCTTCCCTCCATCTCTGCAACCATTCACCATAGCCTTTTCATGGATCTTGTTGCCTCTAGTCAACTCCACACTATTTTCTTTTTTTTCCTTTTTTTTTGGTTTGAGACGGAATCTCACTCTGTCGCCCAGGCTGGACAGAATGCAGTGGCATGATCTCAGCTCACTGCAAGCTTTGCCTCCCGGGTTCATGCCATTCTCCTGCCTCAGCCTCCCAAGTAGCTGGGACTACAGGCGCCCACCACCACGTCTGGCTAATTTTTTGTATTTTTAGTAGAGATGGGGTTTCACTCTGTTAGCCAGGATGGTCTCGATCTCCTGACCTCATGATCCACCCACCTCGGCCTCCCAAAGTGCTGGGATTACAGGCGTGAGCCACCGTGCCTGGTCCCTTTTTATTCATTTTTTACTTTTTTCAAGACAGTCTTGCTCTGTTGCCCAGGCTGGAGTGCAGTGGAGCGATCTCAGCTAACTGCAACCTCTGCCTCCTGGGTTCAAGCAATTCTCCTGCCTCAACCTCCCAAGTAGCTGGGGTTACAGGTGTGTGCCACCACGCCCAGCTAATTTTTTTTGTATTTTTAGTAGAGATGGGGTTTCACCATGTTGGCCAGGCTGGTCTTGAACTCCTGACCTCATGATCTGCTCGCCTGGGCTTCCCAAAGGGCTGGAATTACAGGCGTGAGCCACCGGGCTCATCCCACACTATTTCTTAATACAAATCTGATCATTTTGCTTTCCTGCTTAAAACCATTCAGGGATTCTCTATACCCATCCAGGAAAGTGCAGAATCTTTAGCACAAAATACATGATCTTTCCAGTTCTTGTCCTGCTTACCACTCCAGTTCCAGCCATACTGAATCCCTTACAGTTCTTCCGAAATGTCCCGTGAGCTCTTGTACTTCTGTTTTCTTGCACAGGCAATGAATGAGAGATGATGGATGGGAAGCACTGAGCATATTGCCTGGCACTCTGTAAGTGCTCAGTAAATACAATGATCACGATTGTTATGAAACATGTTGCTCCCTCCACCTGAACAACAGACCAATGCCATTTTTGCTGGCTCACTCTATCCTAGCATCATCTCCTCTGGAAAGGCATCCCTGGACCCTGTTAGTGGATCAGGGTGCCCCTCTGCTCCCACAGCAGCCTCTCACAGCACTTACCATATTGTATCAGAACCACCTCTTTACCTGCCAGTCTCCTCTCCTGGACTATGGAGTCCCTGAGGGAAAAGACAATGTCTTATTCATCTTTTTATTCCCAGTATGCAGCACCGTTTCTGGCACATGATAGATGCTGAAAAATGTGCCTGGAGGGAATGAGTAAACTTTAAAAGTTGTCACCACCAAATTCTACAGCCTGTCTTCAGTACATTTCTTGAAATTGTATTTTTTAAAAGTTACCTGTCCTGGGAGCAGTGGTAGGAGATATGGGTAGCTCAGATGGGGTGGACTCAGAGGGGGCTGCGCTAGTGGGAGGTGTTGGGATGCTGTGCTCTGTACTCCCCGGGGTGACTGTGAGCACTGGGCTTTTCTCCACGGTGACTGAGCTGAGCTCCAGGCTTGCCGGAGGAAGACTATGGGAAGGCATTAGAACCTACGAGATCAATTACAAGGATAAATTGTTATTAAAAAAAAAACAGTCCAACTCTTCAAGCAACTCAATGTTACCAACCTTTTTCATAAATTAGCTTTGGTAATGTTTGAAAAACCATGAATAATATTGCAAAACTCTGGAACTCTAGACCATCTCTCTCAAGTACTCTCTTTGCTGTCTATTAGAAACATAAGGCAACTGTGGGTTGGACAATTAGTATAGGTGAACTCACACAAACACTCAAAGAATGAGAAAGTAATTATAGTAGCCCCTAAACTGACCAGTTCAATGGACTGAATGTTTCTGCCCCACACCTCCTTCCACCCCAAAAAATTCATTTGTTGAAATCCTAACCCTCAATGTGATAGTATTTGGAGGTAGGGCCTTTGGGAAGTAATTAGGTTATGAGGGTAAAGCCTTCATAAATGGGATTCGTGCCCTTATAAGTAGAGGAGAAAGAGCTAGCTAGCTCTCTTTCTTCCTTGTAAGCACACAGCAAAAAGATGACTACCTATAAATCAAGAAACCCTCGCCAAGAACCCAACCCTGCTGGCATCCTAATCTCAGACCTCCAAACTTCAGTTCTGTGAGATATAAATGTCTGTTGTTTAAGCCACCCAGTTCATGGCTGATATGGCTAGGCTTTGTGCCCCCACCCAAATCTCATCTTGAATTATAATCCCCACGTGTCAAGGGAGAGACCAAATGGAGGTAACTGGATCATGGGACGGTTCCCCCCATGCTGTTCTCGTGATAGTGAGTGAGTTCTCACGAGATCTGGTGGTTTTATAAGCATCTGGCATTTCCCCTGCTTGCTCTCTCACCTGCTGCCATGACTGTAAGTTCCCTGAGGCCTCCCCAGCCATGTGGAACTGTGAGTTACTTAAACCTCTTTCCTTTGTAAATTAACCAGTCTTAGGTATGTCTTTATAGCAATGTAAGAATGGACTACTACAATGGTATTTTGTTACAGCAGCACAAGCTAAGACAATCACTAAAGCAACAATTGAAGACAATCAAATAATTCAATAGTAAACAGGCTTCTAGAGTAAGTCATCTTTATTCATTTTATCCATTATGTATAACCGATAAAGTTACAGAGTTAGCCAAGTTAAAGTTCTTAAACTAAACAGTGTGTGCTGGAGGGAAAAGTCTCATAATATGATAATAAAATATCTTTTGCGACTTTTAGTCAGTAACTGTGTGGGGCCAGGTAAGTAAAACTCTTAGACTAAGAATATAGAAGGCCCACAGGGACCATGTGCAGTGAGAAACTCACAGAAAGAAAAGCTATAATTCAAATGTAAATCAGAGAGGGGGCCATTGGTGCTAATTGAAAAGACAACTACTCTTTTCTACAGTTGAGAAAAGTCCATAAGGATATGGCATACATTTTGTGCTTGGAGGTGTGATCCCTTACATCACTACAAATAGTAACTGAGCCCCTACTGGGTTCCAGATATTTACTAGGCAACTGGTGAAACCTGCAACTAAATTTTCAGAACGAAGGCAAAAAAAAAAAAAAACAAGACGAAATAATGAAATTAAGCTGTATTGATCAAACTAAGGGAAACCAATTGACCAACATTTTAAAAATCAGGTAGTGGGTTTACTATATAATTTTAAGATGTTTGATTTAATTGAATTTTCAGGCATCTGGGTTTGTGAAGTGAGTGCTATAGATTAAGCTGTTCATTGAATCTGTGCTCTCTAAGAATAGCACGAAATTCAAAATTACTGCAAACCAGGGCTGCAGAATAGGTGTCCATAACATTTTATACTGGGGCCTCTGCAAATCCCATAGGATGAATTGAATTTTTTTTTAATCAAGTCCTGAAAAATTATTGCCAAGTTGAAATAAAGAATGAAGGTAGACAGTGGTCAGAGAAATTAAGGCACCTTGGGCCAAGGTCACTAAGCCAGAAATGGCTGAAGGGGAAGAAACCTCTCATCCTGCTCTTCTCTAAAACATTCACTTTTCCACCATGCTGCCTCTCCAGGCTGGAATCACATGCCAATTCTTCCCTTCACTATTCAGTAATCCACCCACAACCTCCACCACAGAACTACTCACTAAGTCATCAGGACACAAGGTCCTCTCTGACAAACCCCTCCAAAGAAAAATCAATCCTCTATGGAAGCCACTGAGCACCAGCATCACCCATTTCAGCCTTCAAGTTAACCTGGGCCTCGTCAGCAAAAGTTTCAAATGGCTCTTGTTTCTATGTTCTCTACTCATTTACTTTAAAACAACTTGTTTTAGGTGATTTCTCTAGTCTTGTCCACAGGAAAACACAGTTGCAAAAAATGTCCTTTATCCTCTACAAGTTTGATCTTGATTTATTTTTCCTAGATACCCTGTTCAATGGCACTATTTTATGCATAGTACTGTTATGAACATTCATGTACAAGTTTCTATATGGACATGTTTTCTTTCTCTTGTGTAAATACCCAGAAGTGGAATTCCTGGGTCATATGGTTAAGTCTGCATTTAACATTTTGAGGAAATGCAAGACTGTCTTCCGAAGCAGCTACACTGGGGCCAGGCATAATTGCTCACACCTGTAATCCCAGCATTTTAGGAGGCCAAAGCAGGAGGATTCTTTAAGCCCAGGAGTTTGAGACCAGGCTGGGCAACAGAGTGAGACTCTATCTCTACAAAAATAAAAATAAAAAAAATTAGCTGGGCACTGTGGTCCCAGCTACTCAAGAGGCTGAGGTGAGAGAATCACTGGAGCCCAGGAGTTTAAGGATGCAGTAAGCCATGCTGCACCGTGGCATTTTGACCTGGGTGTGGAACAAGACCCTGTCTCTCAAAAAACGAAAATCAAAAACAAACCAAAGTGGCTGCAACATCTCACATTCCCACCAGCAGTGTATGAGAGTTCCAATTTCTCTGCATCCTTACTAACACTTATTATCTATTTTTAGATTTTATTCTAGCCATCTAGTAGATGTGAAGTGGTATCTCATTGTGGTTTTGACTTGCATTTCCCTAAAGATTAATGGTGCTGAGCATCTTTTCATGTGCTTCTTGGCTATTCTTCTATGATCTTTGGAGAAAGTCTATTCAGATCCTTTGCCCATGTTTGAGTTGGGTTATTTGTCTTTTAATTATTAAGTTGTAAGAGTTATTTATATATTCAGTATACAATATTTATGGTATATTTATCCCATTTTATGGTATATTTATTCCATCAAGAAAGCTTTACTCTTTTGATGTTGTCATCTGAAATACAAAAGTTTCTACTTTTTATTAATTCAAATTTACCATTTTTCTATTTTATTGCTATGCTTTTGATGTACTAAGAAATAATTGCCTAAGTTTACAAAGATTTATGCTGAGTTTTCTTCCATGTCTCTTATAGTTTTAACTCATATATTGAGAACGTTGGTCCATTTTGAGTTAATTTTTTTAAAATAAGGTATGAGATAGGGGTCTAAATTCATTCTTTTGCATGTAAATATCCAGTTGTCCTAACACCATTTGTTGAAAATACTATTCTTTCCCCATTAAATTTTCTAGATACCTTTACCAAATACAATTGAACTATTTTACATATTTTTTTGGTGAGAGAAAAGATCTTAGTTTCTGTCATCAATTCCAAACTTTGCACTGCATCAGAATGAAATAGTTTCTTTTCTTTCTTTCTTTTTGTTTTAAGAGATGGGGTCTCACTCTGTTGCCCAGGCTGGTCTCTCACCCGTAGCCTCAAGCAGTTCTCCTACCTCCATCTCCCAAGTAGCTGGGATTACAGTTGTGCATCAGTGTATTGGGCTTGAGCAAATGACTTCTTATTATGCTATGCATGTAATTTTTGTGAACACTTATTCAGAGATTGTCTACAAATCTAATGTACTTCAGAGGAAAATTTGCATTTCAATGGAAAGCAGCATGTTATCGGTGGGGCAAGGTGGCTCACATATGTAATCCTAGCATTTTGGGAGGCCAAGGCAGGCAGATCACTTGAGCTCAGGAGTTTGAGACCAACCTGGGCAACATAGCGAAATCCCATCTCTACCAAAAACATAAAAATTAGCCGGGTGTGGTGGCACATGCCTGTAGTCCCAGCTACCTTGTGGGGCTGAGTTGGGAGGACTGCCTGAGCCCAGGAGGTCAAGGCTGCAGTGAGCTGAGATCACGCTGCTCCACTCCAGCCTCGGTGACAAAGTGAGACCCTGTCTCAAAAAATTAAAATAAGATAAAAATAAATAAAAAAAAACATTATCTACTGGATACCTCTCCAGGTTATCTGCCTCTAGTCATTCTTGTATTTGAGCTATTTTTACAACTCTGTAAGTTATAGGTCATAAAAATGATAAAAATGTAAAATAATTCTTGTCTATAGACATGTAAATTCTCCTGTCTGCTAGAGCTTCAACTGAACTCCCTCCTTTCCTCACTGGAAACCCAGTTTTGCCTCTGTTTGCACACTCATTTCAATATATTTTTTAACCTATGAATGTGCCTGTTCTTCAGGTTTTCTTGTAGGATAATTATAATCTAGTTCCTTCAGTGAGTAATGAGTAGAATAAAATCTCTAACACGTGTTCATTTTATATCTAAACAATTCACAATTTCACCTATTTGAATAATTATCTTTTTTTTTTTTTTTTTTTTTTTTGAGATAGAGTCTCGCCCTGTCACCCAGGCTGGAGTGCAGTGGTGCGATCTCGGCTCATTGCAAGCTGCACCTCCCGGGTTCACGCCATTCTCCTGCCTCAGCCTCCCGAGTAGCTGGGAAGCTGGGACTACAGGCACATACCGCCACGCCTGGCTAATTTTTTGTATTTTTTAGTAGAGATGGGGTTTCACCATGTTAGCCAGGATGGTCTCAATTTCCTGACCTCGTGATCCACCCACCTCGGCCTCCCAAAGTGCTGGGATTACAGGCATGAGACACTGCTCCCGGCCCTGAATAATTATCTTTTAACAAAACCAACCTCAAAGAACTAATGAGCCAAAAGATTTTTAATAGAGCTTGATTTCAGAGAGTTCCATCTGTATAAACCAGGAAGTAAATGACTTGGCAACATGAAAGAGAGTAAATTATTTTAATATTTACTGATATGAATAAAGAACATGGTTAATCTCTAATACTTTCAGATTATTTTTAATTGAAAGTTTTTTCAGGCCAGGTGCAGTGGCTCATGCCTGTAATCCCAGCACTTTGGGAGGCCGAGGCAGGTGGATCATGAGGTCAGGAATTCAAAACCAGTCTGACCAATATGGTGAAACCCCATCTCTACTAAAAATACAAAAATTAGCTGGGCGTGGTGGCAGATGCCTGTAATCTCAGCTACTCAGGAGTCTGAGGCAGGAGAATCACTTGAACCTGGGCAGCGGAGGTTGCAGTAAGCCAAGACCATGCCACTGCACTCCAGCCTGGGTGACAGAGTGAGACTCTGTCTCAAAAAAAAAAAAAAAAAAAAAAAAAAAAAAAAAAAAAAAAAAAAAGAAAGTTTTTTCATTTTAATCCAATTATAAGTAAGGAAAAATATAGACACTTCAAAATTCAGAAAAATATAAGCAGAAAAAAACCTTCTGATTCAATCTTGGCTGGGCACGGTGGCTCATGCCTGTAATCCCAACACTTTGGGAGGCCGAGGTGGGGGTATCATTTGAGGTCAGGAGTTCGAAGCCAGCCTGGCCAACATAGTGAAAACCCATCTCTACTAAAAAATACAAAAATTAGCCGGGCATGGTGGTGCACACCTATAGTCCCAGCTACTTGGAAGGCTGAGGCAGGAGAATCGCTTGAACCCAGGAGGCAGAGGTTGCAGTAAGCCGAGATCATGCCACTGTACTCCAGCCTGGGCGACAGAGCAAGACTCTGTCTCACAAAAAAAAAACAACAAAAAAAAAAAACACTTAAAAATGACTTCTAGACATTTTTAAACAATTTTTCATGGTTGAGATTATAATGTATAGTCAATTCAATTCAGCATTCCTCACTTATTCTAACATAAGTACTGGAATCTAAAGAAGGAAAACTTTTCCTTTAAAAAATTCTTGAAGTACTCCAAGCTTTTTTTTTACTTTATTTCCACCTATACTCAGCTTCCTCTGATCAACATGCTCACCACATTCTCAAGTCCTGACCAGTTTCCAAACAAGCAACCTCTGAGCTCTCCAACTACTCTCTCCTCACCACACAGTTCTCATTGTCTGTCTCCCTGACCTCCTGCCATTAACACTTAGGCTTTCCACCTGCTTTTGAAATCGCTCCACTGCAGTGACCCTCATTCTTTTTTCACCTGAGCTTTTTCATGGAACGTTTTATGACGCTTAAGTTCTCTCCTTCATAGCTCTCTCATCCTATCCAATTGTTCATGATGCCATGTTGAGTTTCTAGCAGCCAAAGCACCTGTTGGGTCTTGAAGAAACCTACTAGGGTGGATTTTCAAAGCCCCTGGGTGTATGTGCTGGCCCCAGGGACTTCTATACCATCTCCCGTTGCCTTAAATGTCGCTAGAGTATCCAGGCGCGGTGGCTCACGCCTGTAATCCCAGCACTTTGGGAGGCCAAGGTGGGTGGATCATGAGGTCAGGAGATCTAGACCATCCTGGCTAACATGGTGAAACCCCATCTCTACTAAAAATACAAAAAAATTAGCTGGGCATGGTGATGGGCGCCTATAGTCCCAGCTACTCGGGAGGCTGAGGCAGGAGAATGGCGTGAACCCAGGAGGTGGAGCTTGCAGTGAGCTGAGATCATGCCACTGCACTCCAGCCTGGGCGACAGAGCGAGATTCAATCTCAAAAAAAAAAAAAAAAAAAAAAAACGCTACAGGCATTTCTAGGGAGAAGTGCTAAGTCGTTATGAGCTGGCTGACTCGTGAAGGCAGAACTATTCTTTTTAACAGCCTGGCCATGGAGGCATAGCAAAGGAATGAGATGTTCTGCTTCCTAGAAATCTCTGAGAGACAGTCATCTTTCTTGCCACCACCTGAGACAGGTGCCCTTAGGCGGAACCTCCTTAAGCTCATACAGCCTGAATGAGTGCCCGGCTCCTGAAACTCAGCCCCTCCTACGGTCTGCCCCACTCAGCCCATCCCACCCCCAAGCACATCCTGAACACACTCACCTCTTTTCCAGAGCTGTTGCTGGATTGTTCCTGGAGCTGAGAAGCCTTTTCTTTCTCCAACACCTCTCCTGAAGATGGAGTAGTCGGCAAGGGAAGCAACACACTTCTCTCAGGGAGTTTTGGGGCAGGGGTTGAAGCCGACTCATTCAGGTAATGGAGCTCAGGGTCCTGCTGCGTCTCCGCTGGCACCGCAGGACTGTCTCCAACAGAGGAGTTGAAGGCCCCCTCGCTGCCCGGCAGTAGGCCCCAGTCCGTGTACTCGGCACTCCCTCTGGGCTCCTGCTTGCCACTGGGTTGCAAGAGGTCCTTCTCCAGCTCCCGGTAGTCATCTGAGTACTCAGACATCTCCTCTAGGCCCCAATCTTTGCCTAGAAAGGTCAAGTCCTTTCTGATATCCTCAGGTGAGTCCCCCCAGATCCCCGAGGGGGAGCCCCTGTTCAGCATCATGTCCCCATAGTCCAGCAGCTGTGCAGGCCTCTGAACAGGCCGGAGCACAAAAGTGAGATAAGACCTGATGGGGCCCATCTTCTTGGGCTCACAGTTCTCTTTGTGGGGGCAGCTCACCAGGTAGCAGCGGCCCTCGAACCACCAGGCCAGGTCACAGCTGGACAGGTCACAGCAAGCGGCCGTGCAGTCTACGACAGGGAAGGTGTGAGACACCCGCATGATTCTGGTGGTTTCCAAGTTAGGTGAAATGACTGCATTGGAATATGTCCTCCCCTCGCTGCACTGCTTACGGGCACAACCTTTAAACAAAGTAGTTTCTAATGAGGGAGAGAGGCATATCACAGGGAAGCACCTCCAGCTTAAGAAACCAGGAAAAGGGAGTCTTCTCAATCCCTGGCCAGTCTGGCAAGCAAATAAACAATCAGCATTTCACACAGAAAGATCACAGCAATCCATCAAACCATCCAGCCATATATTCATCCTCCTACCTTCCCACCCACTCATTCATCTTCCATCTACTCATCCTTTCATTCATCCACCCGTCTTTCCTCCTATCTTTCCACCTTTCTACCCATCCATCTATCCATCCTTTCACCCACATACTCATCCATCTACCCTTCTACTTTTCCATCCATCCATCCATCCATCCATCCACCCTCCCATCCATCCATCCATCTTTCTATTCTTCTACCTTTCCACTCATCCATCCATCACTCCATCCCTCCACCCATCCACCCACTCATCCATCCAGAGATTCTTACACCTATCCATGCACCCTTCCTTCCATTTGTTATTTTTTCATATAGTTTCACTCCATTTACTTAACAGGAACATTCTTCTACATTGTATTTATACTATTTATAATACTTTGTTCCTCACATAAAATTCAATTATACAGGTTTACTTTACAAAATAGCATCATGTCTCTGTTTTATCGTTAATTGATTTTAAGTCTCACAGGCTATTTTAATGGTGGATAAATTGACAGGGAAGCAAACTGTCACAAGGAGGCAAGGAGACCTTTGTAAGGCAGAAGCCTCCAACTCAAAGCTTAGGGCAGTTTTCAGTGTGGCTGGAGGTGGTGGATTCCTTGGGACACCTCTGGAGTGCACCGTTCCTTTGTTCTGCAAAAAATCACCTGAATGGGGGCTGTTTAGATATACATACCTTAAAAGCAAAGATCTTAATGCTAAATAAAGAAGTTTGAGAAGGTGGGGCTCCCAACAACTAAATCATTCTTCATTTGGTCCAAGTTGCCATAATTACTTCAGAATCTATTAGAGACACTCTAGAAAGCTCTTCTATCAAACTGGAGACCAGGGAACCTGTCGCCTATGTTTGTATGCTCTATGAATCCTAGCCCAATCTGTGGGAATACTAGTTACTTGATGATTCTTGACAAGTTAATAAAATCACTGGTTAGCCTTTACAAAGGTAAAAAAGATAAAGAAGGCTGAGTGTGATGGTTCACACCTGTAATCCCAGCACTTTGGGAGGCCAACATGGGAGGATTGCTTAAGCCCAGGAGGTTGAGGCTGTAGTGAGCCATGATGGCACCACTGCACTCCAGCCTGGGTGACAGAGCAAGACCCTATCTCAAAAAAAAAAAAAAAAAAAAAAAAAAAAAAAAACCACCTAGAAGCATCTGCACCGTCTTGAATCTCCACCTGGTTCAGCCCTCCTGCCTCCACCATATCCATCAAGGTGACCCATAAGTCCTACAAGGTGTCTACCTCTGGCCCCTGGGCCTTCAGCAGCCACTCCTACACAAGCTGGCCTGGTGCCAGCATCAGCTCCTTGAGCTTCTCTCGAGTGGGCAGCAGCAGCAGCTTCCAAGGTGGCCTGGGCACCAGTATGGGTCTGGGTGGAGGCTATGGCGGGACCAGTGGTATGGAGGGCATCACAGCCATCACAGTCAACTAGAGCCTGCTGAGCCCCCTTAAGCTGGAGGTGGACCCCAACATCCAGGCCATGTGCACCCAGGAGAAGGAGCAGATCAAGACCATCAACAACAAGTTTACCTCCTTTATCAACAAGGTATGGTTCCTGGAGCAGCAGAACAAGGTGCTGGAGACCAACTGGAGCCTCCTGCAGCAGCAGAAGACAGTTTGGATGAATGTGGACTGCATGTTCAAGAGCTACATCAACCTATGGCAGCAGCTGGACATGCTGGGCCAGGAAAAGCTGAAGCTGGAGGCCGAGTTTGGCAACACACCAGGGCTGGTGGAGGACTTCAAGAACAAGTACAAGGACAAGATCAATAATTTTACAGAAGGGTGGGTGCGGTGGCTCACATCTGTAATCCCAACACTTTGGGAGGCCGAGGTGGGTGGATCACCTGAGGATAGGAGTTCAAGACCAGCCTGACCAACATGGTGAAACCCTGTCTCTACTAAAAATACAAAAATTAACTGAGCATAGTGGTGGGTGCCTGTAATTCCAGCTACTCGGGAGGCTGAGGCAGGAGAATTCCTTGAACCCAGGAGGCAGAGGTTGCAGTGAGCCGAGATCATGCCCCTGCACTCCAGCCTGGGTGACAGAGTGAGAAGACTGCATTTAAAAAAAAAATAAAAAGTAAAAAAATAATTTTAGCGATGGAGAATGAATTTGTCCTCATCAAGAGGGATGTGGATGAAGCTTACATGAACAAGGTAAAGCTGGAGGAGTCTCGCCTGGAAGGGCTGAATAACGAGATCAACTTCCTCAGGCAGCTGTATGAAGAGGAGATCCAGGAGCTGCAGTCCCAGATCTGGGACACATCTGTGGTGCTGTCCATGGACAACAGCTGGTCCCTGGACATGGACAGCATCATTGCTGAGGTCAAGGCCCAGTACAAGGAGATCACCAACTGTAGCCAGGCCGGGGCTGACAGCCTGTACCAGGTCAAGTATGAGGAGCTGCAGGCACTGGCTGGGAAGCACAGGGATGACCTGTGTTATACAAAGATGGAGATCTCTGAGATGAATCAGAACATCAGCCGGCTCCAGACTGAGACTGAGGGCCTCAAAGGCTAGAGGGCTTCCCTAGAGGCCACCATTGTGGATGCGGAGAAGCGTGGGGAGCTGGCCATTAAGGATGCCAATGCCAAGCTGTCCAAGCTGGAGGCCACCCTGCAGTGGGCCATGCAGGACATGGCATGGCAGCTGCATGAGTACCAGGAGCTGATGATCATCAAGCCAACCCTGGACATCGAGATTGTCACCTACAGGAAGGTGCTGGAGGGCGAGGAGAGCTGGCTGGAGTCTGGGATGCAGAACATGAATATCCATACAAAGACCACCAGTGGCTACTCAGGTGAGCTGAGCTCAGCCTATGGGGGCCTCAGCTACAGCCTGGGCTCCAGCTTTGGCTCTGGCGGGTGCTCCAGCTCCTTCAGCAGCACCAACTCCTTCAGGGCCATGGTTGTGAAGAAGATCGAGATTTGTGATAGGAAACTGGTGTCTGAGTCCTCTGATGTTCTGCCCAAGTGAATGGCCACAGCAGCCCCTCCCAGCCTACCCCCTCCTGTGACTGCCCCAGAGCCTGTGGGGGAGGCCACTGTGCAGGGGAGCATAGGGAACAGGAGACCCACCTGAGGCTCAGCGCTCGCCCTCAGCCGACCCGCGGGAGAGTTCACTGCCTGGGGTATCCCCCTTTGCCCATGCCTCCAGCTACAAAACAATTCAATTGGTTTTTTTCCAAAATAAACCCTCAGCTAGTTCTGCCAACTGCCCAAAAAAAAAAAAAGGAAGATGAGCAAATTGCAAATAACATTTATTGGGATGCAATAACTCAGGAATTGATATTTTGAATTAAGGGAGAATACCTCATAAGAAAAGGGCAAAAAGGAATGAAAAAGTAGAGATTTGCAAAGGAAAAAATATGGGTCTCTAAACATTAATGACATCATCTAAAACATTAATGAAGGTATTTTCTAGAGTATATTAAAGATGAAATAAGGGGACATTTTTTCTTACACACTAAGCAGGAATGAGTTTAATAAGATGGATGGATGGAGGGGAGTAAGTGATCTACAAGTCATGATGGGCTTTTCCAATGGCAATACTTTCTGGAGTGGCCCTCACATCATATAAAATGGTGCTGCCCAAAATTTGGGTGCTTCTGAATCATCTCCAGGTGCTGCTGAAAACCCAGATCCCAGAGCCACATCCCTAGGAGGTCTGGAGTGTGGCATGAGAAACTGCATTTTAACAAGGGTCTCGCTAAGGTTATCTTCATTATGGCTGTGTTACATTTGGACAAACTGTACATAACAGTTTTTCTAGTCATATCACCACCCTCAATCCTTGGTATACTCACATGGGCTCGGCCAGCCCAGTCTAGTCATGGGTCTTCTTAAATGATGCTCACCAGTGATTTTTTTGCCATGAGTGCATCCACCATAAGCAAACTGAGTATAATGAAAATAAAGATTTCTGATAAAAGGAAGTCTGGCCTTTCCAGCCAGATCTAGTATGCAATTCTTTTCAATATATAAACATAAAGTTTTCCTAGTATATATGAAATGTGATTTTATTTTCCCATGGAATAGTCATGATAAAAATAAACTTAAATTCCTGTTTACGGAAAACCACTCATGCATGAGGTCTGCCTTTCATGCTTTCACCTGTAAAATAATTCTATTGAAAAGCAAACCAACAGCGTCTTCACCTCAGGTTGATCTGAGTTGCTTACACTAGTCAAGAAACTCAAGTCCAACACGGGTATCTCCAGGGTAGTAGTTCCCTACCTGCAATTGTCACCAGCAGCAGCAATGAAGAGAGCACACCTGTGGGGGGCGCCATTGTGCACCACACAGTGGGTGATGGCAGGCTTCTGAGGCGGCCCTGAAGAGAGTTTGGTGCAAGCTTCCTTTGATGTTTTTTAGGAGCCAGATTTGGCCTCAAGAACTTCAAAGGAAAAACATAAAAGAGGAAGGAAGAAAAGAATAGGTAAATGTAGAAACATCCAAAATTATTTCTATCATTCATTCATGTCAGTGGGAAGCCTGTCCTGGTCACATCACAGAGCCACAACCCAGGCAAACATCCACCTAGAGCGTTTGTTCAAATAGCCAGTATAGTTCCTAAGAAGAGCCAAAGAATTTCATGCTTACTCTCCTTACAAGCTGTGGAAATAAACGAGGACCAGTCAAATGAGAAAAGCAAAGGCTATTTATTCAGAGCTTGTTATAGAAAGGCAGTCAGCCACCATCACTTGTTTTTGGCAGAGACTCAAAGACAGGCAGAGGAGTGGGAAAACTTTATAGCAGAAAAAGAGAAAGCCTCAGGTGTGCTCTAATTGGAGGCTGTTGCAGTGGGAAGCTGCAGGCAGCTCGCTAGAAGTGGGGCATCCTACGTGACTGGTTAGGAGGCATGTTTGGCTTTCTCTGACTGGTCCAAAGTTGGAAGAAGGGATAAAAATTAAGGAAGCCATTAGTTATTAATCAAGTCCTGGTCATTCGAGGCTGATTGTTACAGAAGTTACTGTTTAGCTTCCAGGATTGTTTATAGAGATAGCAATCTGGCTTCCTACAAGTCTGACTTATAGCAGGCTGGCTTCCTAGGCTGCTTATTGTAGACAAGGGACTGGTTTCCCGGGCTGTGGATTGTCGGTCAAAGTTCTATTTTATATTTCATCTGGCCATTGTCTGCTTTTATATCCAGGCTCTCAAAGCTAAAACTATGAAATAATGATGGAATAAATCACACTACTGTATTTCTTTTTTTTTTTTTTTGAGACAGAGTCTTGCACTGTCATCCAGGTTGCAGTGCAGTGGCACAATGTTGGCTCACTGCAAACTCCGCCTCCTGGGTTCAAGTGATTCTTGTGCCTCAGCCTCCAAGTAGGTGGGATTACAGGCGCACACTACCACACCCGGCTAATTTTTGTATTTTTAGTAGAGACGGGGTTTTGCCATGTTGGCCAGGCTGGTCTCGAACTCCTGGCCTCAAGTGATCTGCCCGTCTTGGCCTCTCAACGATTACAGGCGTGAGCCATCATGCCCAGCCTATATTTCATGAATTCTAACACATAAATATTTTCACATTTTACCATTTCTGATATCAGGATGTCCTACAGTTGCAGATGGCCACATGCCAGGCCGGAAGTGGATGGCATTGTTTATGCATGCACATCAGCTATGCAGAACCGGGGTCAGAGGCTTGGAAGAGCATCCCAAACACAACATAAAGCACTCTCTTAAGAAATGCTGCATCCTGGCCGGGTGCGGTGGCTCACGCCTGTAATCCCAGCACTTTGGGAGGCCAAGGCGGGTGGATCACGAGGTCAGGAGATCGAGACCATCCTGGCTAACACGGTGAAACCCCGTCTCTACTAAAAATACAAAAAAATTAGCTGGGCGTGGTGGCGGGCGCCTGTAGTCCCAGCTACTCGGGAGGCTGAGGCAGGAGAATGGCGTGAATCCGGGAGGCGGAGCTTGCAGTGAGCCGAGATCACGCCACTGCACTCCAGCCTGGGCTACACAGCGAGACCCCGTCTCAAAAAAAACAAAAAAAGAAAAGAAAAAAAGAAATGCTTCATCCCCCAAAGCTCATGATGGCACGCAGGTAATATGTGGAAAACCAACGGGTATCAATAACTGCATTGACAAGTTATTGGGCAGGAAGAAAATTTAGGAATACCTTCATGTGTCAGTTATATGTTCCTTTTTACATATGCACAAGAATGATTTATGATAAAAATTTGTCTAAATAAGCACCCCCCTCAATCTCTTTCAATTTGTTTAAACATTCTAAGTGAGAAGAAAGTGGTAAATCTTGGCTTAATTGACAGCATTCTTTTCCTTAGTGGTATTTAAAATAATCATGCATTTTATTAAATACAGTCATTAGTATCTTACATTTCATTGAATTTAGTTAATATAAGCACTTTATTTTTGCCTGGTACTTTCTCAGTGTGATCTTCACCACAACCCAGACATATTATTATCTCTGCATTAGGTGATAGAATTGAGGTTCAAAAAAGTGAACTGGTTTGCCCAAAGTAGAAGAACCAGTACAAGGCAGTCTGGACTTGGATCTGTACTCCAAGTGCTTATTATTTCAAATACATAACAAAGGCTCCCAGGAGGAAACACACAAGTTCATGTTCAAAAAACCTAGATAAGGTTTCCTAATGTGGTGTCAGAATCCCACTGTGAGTTGCAAGATGGTATGTTGTAATAAACTAGATTTTAGTTCCAGTTCACACCAGTCTCTTCCACCCACTCCTTCATTCCTCCTCCCTCCACGCAGAGGATGTGTGGATAAAACCTTATAGGAGGACAACACTCTTCCGCACCCCTGTTTCCAGAAGCACTGCAGTACTTTTAGAAATGTGTAAGTGTTGTAGGGATGAAAAAGAGAGGGAAACACCCCGACAGATGTCTCCAGTCAGTTATTTAAGAACTCTGTGGCAGCCTAATGGGGGCAGGAAATAACCAGAAAGGACAAGGAGCCTGCAAACAAAATCAAACACATAACATTCTCTTAAGATGGTGTCTGGAAGTTCTAGGCCTTGTTTTTGAGTTTAATCGAGAACCAACTCAAATCACGAGAGTGCCGCCCGTTGAAATGCACATAGGGGACTGCCGTCGACCACACCGAGCACAGCTGCTGCCTAGCCTAACACCATCACTGGCCATGCTCTGGGTAGGTGAAAAGGGCCTTTAAGGTCCAGAGATGGGCTGAGTTAGACCAAGGGACAGGAAGGAACCAGACTAAAGGTGAGCTAAGGTAAGGTCAGGAGGTGGGTGTAACACCTCTGTGTCAGTACAACGGACCTGAGGCCATCAGAACACCTGCTTTGATAAGGTAAAATGGAGAAAGAAAACAGTAAGCATTTCATAACATTCATGCCTAAAACCCTAGAGGAAGAATACCTGGTTCTGCAAAGTTTGCCACCAATAACTCCCTTTGCTTCCAGTGAGGAAAGTATGTTAGAGATGGGAGGTGGAAGGGAAGACTGGCCATCTTCCATCTGCAGCCATTGACTACCCCCTAACCAAAGGGCAAGAGAAGAGCAACTGGCCTCCCAGAAATGACATTTATTCAACTGCCCAAGGTGCTGGGGCCCAGAATAGCAACACTGCTATCAGCCAGGGACCACTGGTCAAGAATCCCATGGATACAGATTGGGCCTCCACCATACCATATGGTACCTTCAGGCAAATTAAGAAAAGGCAGCTCTAAGAGAAGATACTGCTCTGAAGGAACACAGTTTGGCAAATGGACTATAAGCCAAATTCCCAATCCCATGCCCCTTTGGTGAATGCCTTTGGTTGTGCAAGGTACAACTTTCACAACCATATTGTACCTGGAAAGCAATTTATTGTCATTATCTCAGTGCAAACATTACAGGTGCTCAGCATAAAAAGCATTTCCTCTTCTCAATACCATATTTAAGGTTCTTTCTTTGGGGGTACTTTAATGTAAGAAGACAATGTGTCTCCATTTCCTCAACATTAAAAGGCATATGGACTAGATGTTATCAAAAATTCCTTCAGTTCTAATAGCTTATAAGTGTTGCTCTTTTGTTTTTGTTTTCGTTTTTTATTTTGGGACAGAGTTTCGCTCTTGTCACCCAGGCTGGAGTGCAATGGTATGATCTTGGCTCACAGCAACCTCTTCCTCCCGGGTTCAAGCGATTCTCCTGCTTCAGTCTCCCAAGTAGCTAGGATTACAGGCGCCAACCACCATGCCCAGCTAATTTTTGTATTTTTAGTAGAGATGGGGTTTCACCATGTTGGCCAGGCTGGTCTCGATCTCCTGACCTCAGGTGATCCACCCGCCTTGGCCTCCCAAAGTGCTGGGATTATAGGCATGAGCCACCATGCCCGGCCAAGTGTTGCTGTTTAAATACATAGTTAGTACTTTATGGATTAAATAATCCTTCACCTATATTATCTTATTTGATCTACTTGTAGGAACTGTTTCTGAGTTAGGAGTTCTCATTCCCATTTTACAGGAAAAGATGCTGCTGAGTTTCAGAGTCAGTCTTTATACTCAAGACCTCAAGCTTTCACTGTGGCACCCCCACCCTCTTTGATAGTTCTGTGAAGTTCATCCATTCCACTGTGGATTACTTAAGACTTTCCTTACTTATTATTCAGTCTCCGAATGACCCAGTTCTCTTGCTGGACCCATGCTCTCTCCT